>NC_000002.12:112338102-112641133 GCF_000001405.40 Homo sapiens
CACAACCAGCTAATTTTTTATATTTTTGGTAGAGACACAGTTTCATCATGTTGGCCCGGCTGGTCTCAAACTCCTTACCTCAAGTGATCTGCCCGCCTCAGCCTCCCAAAGTGCTGGGATTACAGGCGTGAGCCACTGTGCCTGGCCAGTCTTTTATTTTAAAATAAATACTTAGTCCTAACCTAGTGAATTATCAATAGCATTTAAAATTCCTTCTATCCTGATACCATGAACAGTAATTTTCCCTTTTAAGTTATGATTTGACTCTAATTTTGGGTCTTGTATCTGGTCTTTAAACACCTTTCGTTACCCTTTGGAATAGAACAATCATGCTACTGTTAGCAAAATTATTGTAGGCATAAGGAAGAGCTGTGAGTTCAAAGAAGATTGTGAGTTCTTGGAATAGTATTTTACAGCGTTGTTTATTCTTGACCTTCTTGTTTTTTAAGCTTAGAGTTTATAAGAAAAAAGTGAATATATAGCTAATTATAGCATTTTAGAAAAAATTAGCTCTGCAGATAGTCAGGCCCCATACTTCTTGGCTCATTACTGATTTTAATACCTTCATGAGAGTATTAAGGTTGAAAGGAATGGTGAAATTTGCATTATCAGAGGTCTGATATGTAATTTATTGTAAAGAAATTAAATATATAGAGGCTCAATTAAAAAATAACCATATTCTCAAACCTCCATTACCACTAATATCTTGGGGTTGTCAATGATAGACTATATATATATGTATGTATATGTGTGTATATATATATATATATATATATATATATATATATATATATATATATATATATATATAATTTTTTTTTTTTGAGACGGAGTCTTGCTCTGTCACCCAGGCTGGAGTACAGCTCACAGCAACCTCTGCCTCCCAGGTTCAAGCAATTCTGCCTCAGCCTCCCGAGTAGCTGGAATTACAGACGCCTGCCACCACACCCAGCTAATTTTTCGTATTTTTTAGTAGAGATGGGGTTTCACCATGTTGGCCAGGCTGATTTCGAACTCCTGACCTCAAATGATCCACCGACCTGAGCCTCCCAAAGTGCTGGCCTTACAGGCATGAGCCACCACACCTGGCCTAGACTATACCTTTTATACACTTTTTAAATAGAGAAAGTGAAAAATGATAAACTAACCATTATAAAATAGAGGTTTGAGTCCACCTGTATTTTACAGAAATTTGCCCTCAAATGTTTGAGAGGGAAGTCACATATGATAGAAAAATATCTTTTCAAGGGTAGAATGATATTTCCTTATAAAAGTGACAATCAAAAAAGACTCATTTGTATACTTGCCAAAGTTTAAAAGTTTTTTACATTCCTTACCCTAAACCCACTGCCCCATCCACCCAGAATTCAGAAAGGGTTTGGCATAGATCCAGGGCTCCAGGGCCCAGGTCATTTTGTTATTAGTCTAGGGCTTTTGTCCTCCACAGTCTAGGCAGGGCATCTTTGTATGTGTGTTGCTGGTTGGGGCCAGGGACGGGGGCAGGCGGGAGTTGTCCAGGTTTAAGATTGTTTGTTTTCCATCAGATCCACAAGCAATATCTGTGGGCTGAAATCCAGGTTATACCTATTCACTATGACTTTTTTTTTTTTTAACTTTCTACTGTAATTATTTCAGTTCCCCGAAGTTGTATCTCAAATGTTGGGGAAATGCTGCCTTGACTATTTTACTTTGGAAGGTTTTACTAGATATCAGTTTAGTAGATTAATGACGTTGTTAATCTGTCTGCTCAAAAGACACCAGCAAGGGGGTATACTTTGCTGAACTGATAAATTATTCTATTAAGGACTAACCCAGTACTTGGCAAAATTAGGAATAACTTTTCCCCTCCTTCTTTACTAATAAATTTTCCAAGTTGCATACTGTTGTTGCAAGTTTCTGTAATTTTTTTCTGTATACCTTTCTATTGTCTGAATTTAAATAAAAATGTTTCTAATAATATCTGTCTGGCAGTGTGATGCTTTGCTTTAATAAATCTTCAGCATTTAAAGACAGAACATATGGGAACCATGTGCACATTTAAAAGCTTATAACTGGAACCCTCCCAGACTTTCCTGGAAAAAAAAGGGGGATAGCATTAAACTATTTGCCCTTCAATTTATCTTTAGTACACTGAAATTGTGCTTCGCTTATCTACATAGATGCTGTTAGCATTTAAAGCCCCATTTCCTGATATTACCTTCATTCCAGGAAACGTCTCTTACATTAGCTAAAGTTAATTTTCTGTTAGAAGATCTGAACCTAAGAAGTTGTTAGCAAATGTACTGCTTAATAGAGCACAAACTCTTTAGGATCAAAATGGGATCTCATTGCAGGAAAGGCTTTCAGAGAACTGGTCATGCTTCCCCCAAAGTCAGGAAATGTCATTAAAAGATGTTTTCTGGCTTCTGTTCTAACATGTTCAATGGTCAAGAACACACTGTCTTAAACACGGGAGCCTAGTAGGTTACTGGATGTAATTCCTGAGCAATTCTGTCAGAAGCTTATTCCTTAAGAGATAGCGTGGTCTGGACTTGGTACCCTCTCTTCTGAGCAATGTAATACTGGGCAAGTCAGGACTTCACTGAGCATTGCTTTCCTCATCTACAAAATGCAGATTTATTCATTCATTCATTTAAGAAAGATCGAGCACTTAGCATATGCTATTAGGTGTTGAGATACAGAGATGAGTAATAAGATGGATTGCTTTTTGAATATTGCTTACTGCAAAGTGAATGAAGTCACGTTGCTTTGTGGTGGATATCAAATGATCAAGCACACAAGGATACATTTTAGTAACTAAAGGGACCAAAAAAAGTATGGTGGATGTAGGGTTACATAATTTTTTTCAAATCAAACAATGCCCATCTCTGCCATCCTCACATTGGTGTTGGTTTCACCCCTTTGACTTCGTTTTCCACAGTGGCACATTAGTCTACCCAGCATTTTTGAGCCCCAAAGTATTTACAATAATTACGGTAAAGCCTCAATATATGCGAATTGGGTGATGGTGTGCTCGAGGGCTTATGTGCATCATCTTATCAAATCCATAGCTAGTATCCAGGACAGTCCAGTAAGGTGAGCCCTGGTTCCCATTTTAAAGATGGGCAAACAGCATCGTGAGGATACATAGCTTGCCTAAGATCATAACTGATGTGTGTGACAAAAGCTGGGATTTAAACACACCTGCCTGGGTCCAAACCAGTGTTGTTAACTACAACAACATGGCTGCTTTTCAATACTCAGAAAACAGCACAAACTCTTAGAATAGCGATTTCCAACTTTAGTTGCAACTCTCAAGACCTCATTCCATTGTCTGCAAGTGGCTTTTCGCAGGTGTTTATATTTATCATTAGCGCAAAATTAATTTGACTTTGCTAATTCAACAATAACTTCTCAAGTAATGGTGTTCTCAGGTTTTACAAAATGAGAACTAAGGTTGACCATTTTCAGTGGTCTCTCCAGGTTCTTTCCTGGGGCTTTAGAAGCACATTCTGCATTTTGCTGTAGTGATTGGCAGCTCAATACTTGAAAATAGGATCTGTCACCCTCACTCCTTCCACGTCTTCCATAAAGGGCCAGTTGGGATCACTCTTGGATGATTTAACAGATTCACTTTTGCCATCCAAAGACTGGGGTTTGACCCCTCCATATACAGCAAAACTTCATGTCCACTCAAGACATGGTATTTACAGCCAAAGAATAGTTTAATTTTATCTAGGGAATAATTAAAATCATAAAGGTCTTTTCTTTTTTAAGCCTTGAAAGGGACTTCGGGCTAGATGATCTCAAATCTCTCTCTTTATCTGATAACCGAAGGTTTAGAAATGATAAAGAGCTCAAGTTTATGCCAGTGGTTACAATTTTATTTAAGCTAAAGTAGGGGACCAGATGGAGTTAAATAAATATAGATCAGAAGTACATATTCATTAAACATTCACCATGAGATATACATGCAAGTCACTTTTTTTTTTACTACAATAAGTTATTAGAAACCCCATCAATAAAGTGCTCAATAAATATTTATTGACTGAAGAGATTAATTTCAATTTAGAAAAAGCTTTGGAAAGGTTAACATACTTGCAATTATTTTCTACTGTACATTAAGTACTTAATGAGTAAGAAAGAATGCTGATTGTTTTTTTTCCCTCAGGGGTTTCCAAGACAATAAATCAATCAGCTGCTGAAGTTGGAGTAATGACACATGGGCAATGTTGTCATATTAATGGCTTCCGAGAAAGCAAAAATACCTAAAACGTTCCTACAAAGCAAAGCAAAATTCCAATATGGAACACATTAGCCACAACCAAAGATTGCAAATGTCTCCACTGATCTTACAAGCATGCAATACAGCAGGTCTCTGGAGTAGCCTCAAAGTGTCTCTGATTATCCATGGAAGCACTTTTTTCCAAAAGTGAGCCAAGCCTCTCTCCATTCCTGATATCCACCTCCTACCCCTAAGTAGCATCAGAAAGTTTTTAAGGCCGGGCAAGGTGGCTCACGCCTGTAATCCCAGCACTTTGGGAGGCTGAGGCGGGTGGATCACGAGGTCAGGAGATTGAGAACATCCTGGCTAACATGGTGAAACCCCGTCTCCACTAAAAAATACAAAAAATTAGCTGGGCATGGTGGCGGGCGCCTGTATTCCCAGCTACTTGGGAGGCTGAGGCAGGAGAATGGCGTGAACCCAGGAGGTGGAGGTTGCAGTGAGCAGAGATCACGTCACTGCACTCCAGCCTGGGCGACAGAGCGAGACTCTATCTCAAAAAGAAAAAAAGAAAAAAAAAACAGTTTTAAAAATATTTTTTAAATTATTAATGGATTTTCACTTTTTTTTTGAGCTTGCCAAAGATTGCCTCATTGTCTTGTGACAATCATCCACCTGGGACAATGAGGTGAAGATAAGAGACTATTACAGTTTGTTACAAGGAATGCAAAGCAAATGAACAAAATATTCAGCTTTGACACTCGAAAACCAGACTTATCCTAGCCTGGCTTGAAACTTGAAATGATTGTCTAAATTCCTTTATACTCCTTTCAACATACCAATAACTAGAGTTTTACTAAAAGGAGGGCTAAACTACTGAGGAATGAGGTGGAGGATGGAGTCAGGGAAGAAAGTCTTTTTCTGTCTGTCCTTGGACAATTCCAAGAAAAAGAAGAAGAGAAAAGGGTTAGAGTGGGTTGACCAGATGTACATCCAGAATTGTTTCTTTGTAGGTGCTGGGAAGTGTCTGAGATTCTGGGAGGAGACTTCGTGCAAGGGTGCCATGGCTAATGTAGGGCAGCCAAGCTTAGGCAAGAGTGTTTGCTCAGGGTATCCTGATTCTCCTGGGGCACTCTCAGTTCCTGTGTAGTGTGGGTGCCCTTTGTGATAGGATGAGGTGACTACACAAGGGAGCGGTTCCCCAAGGGTCTTCAGCCATTAAGAGCTGAGGAGAAGCAGAGACAATGAGGGAAGCTGGTTGGTGCTCCCTGCAAGCACTCTCCAAGCAAAAAGAAAAGAAAAAAATCACCGTTTCCCCAGGTGTAGACACAGCATGAGAGGCCAGCAGCTGTTGTGATTAGTGACTAGTACAGTGATTATCAACCAGTCGTCACCCCAGGACCAGCACAAAGCCTACCCTACCCCAATGCCATAAAGGCATGAAAACCACTCCTGTCTTCTCCCTCATACCCAGATGCCATCTTAGGGACGGAGTAGATCATACTAAGCTCTTAAACCAGTTTGGGGTTTAATGTTTTTGTCTTGCTAATCAGTGGGTATGAGCTAAGGAGGAAGGCCAGACATGTTATAGAGCAAATTGGGCATATTCTTTCCACTTCTGAGTTTTGTGAGCTACTATTGTAGCAGCAACCCAATACACACTTACTGAAGACTAGTCTACTTCCTGCCAAGCAGCTGGAGTGTGAGGTGCTCCAGAGCTCACTACAACAGACTGGGCAACAGAAGCTAAGTGTTTTCTCTGAGGCCTTAGCTGCTATTTCCATTAAACACTGGCCCAGAGAGTCTTCCTGATGTCCCAAAGGGTGTGCAATTCTTACACAGAGTCCATGGTTTACTAACAAAATATCTCACTCAATGTCTGAAGAGGCAGTGTTGGCAATTTAGTTACTGGCATCCACTTCCAAAAAGGCAGACACTGAAAATTTTGTAATGCATTGCTCAAGAGGGCTTCCATACAAGTAGAAAGGCAGAGAGGGTGGCATGGGTGAGGCTGAGCAAGCATAGCTGGACGATAATTTAGGTAGGAAATTAAAATGAGTCCCAGAGGAAAAACAGATGTGCAGGCTGAACTGGGATTTTATGTGATAAACTGAGTATAGAAAACAACTGAAACTGACATCACTGGCCCAGCTAGCAGTGGGGTGACCTCACCAAGGATTATATTCAGTTTCATAATTGCTGTAAGACTAGTTTGGAAATTTTAAGTTACTAACATTATATCAAGTTCCTATCTATGGGATTTGTTTATCTCCTCAGTCAAATATCCTTAGTTTGAAAGATAAAATTTATCCTTCCAAAATCAAAATTATAAATATGTATTTGTCTGGTCTATGTATGCATTTGTTGTTTAAACGTGCATGTGTGTGTTGTACTGATATACCAGCTGTACCAGGTGTACCTGATACCAGATGTACCAGGGTTTAGTCTGGTTTTAGAATTGGTGCTAGTTGCTTTTTGGGTTCAGATAGTTAGTAAAAAAGTACCAGTTCAGTTCAGAGTTATATGCAGGAAGTCAAGAGAAACACCCTAATACTCATTATGTGAATTAAGTGTAAACCATCTCAGGAGGCTGCTAAGTCTCATAATAATGCTACAGAAGAAAAATGTTTTCCTTCTCCTTAATATATTAACACAAGTTTTCTGGGTATTACAGTCTGAGTGCTATTTTATCTAACCCTTAAAACGACCAGGACGGAGAGGGTGAGGAAGAACTGCCTGCCCAGTCCTCTTTTTCTTTTCTAATCTTCAGACTTATCTAGGTTTTTTACAATTTTTAACCAGTTTTTACCTTTCTTCTCTTTATTTCAGAGAAAGAGGTGTCTGTCCTACCTCCCCCTCACCTCGACTTTTTTTTTGAAACCGGATCTCGGTTGCTCAGGCTGGAGTGCAATGGCATGATCTCGACTCACTGCAAACTCCACCTCCTGGGCTCAAGCGATTCTCCTGCCTCAGCCTCTCGAGTAACTGGGACTACAGGTGCAAGCCACCAACGCCTGGCTAATTTTGGTATTTTGTAGAGACAGGGTTTTGCCAGTTGCCCAGGTTAGTCTCTAACTCCTGGGCTCAGGGATCCGCCCACCTCGGCCTCCCAAAGTGCTAGGATCACAGGCGTGAGCCACCGTGCCAGACACCACCGCCCGTTTTCGAATCCATTTGGCACCTCCTTCGCCTAAGAATTTGCTTTTCCAGGCGTCCCCTTTCTGTTCCGTCTCTGTACTGCACTAACTTCACCTATACACAGGTCTGTATCCTCCTGTTAAAACCACTGACCAGGACTGCCGCTTCTGGGTGCGATACAGTAACAGGCATTGGATTCCTCCTCTTCCCTCAAACAACTAGAAAGCTGGAGGAAATAAACGACGTTACTGTTAGGCATTGGATAATAGGCCATGAAAGATACGGATCTATTAAAAAAAGAAAACTAATCAGGTAAGCTCTGCAATCGCCCCAGCTTTTTCCCTGTAGTTCCATTCTTGACCACAGAGCAGGGCATCCCGGGCAGAGCGCAGCTGCGCAGCAATCTTGCTAAATGGAGCAGAGGTGGAGATGAGAGGAGCAAGGGCAGCTGCGTGGGAGCACTGCCGAGGAGAGCGCTGGCAGGCACAGAACTCCAGACGTCTATGTAAGGGTCCTCTGCAGTTTTTGTTGAATACTAAAATGTGTATTTGAGCTGCCTTCCCATGCAGGATAAAGAGAAGGAAAGGTCCAAGCTAGTGGGAGGGGGTGCCCACCCAGCACTCCCTCGCCCTCCCTGTCCCCTGGCAGCCACGAGGAAGACAGGCAGACGATTCTGGATGACCACCTGTCCAGGGTCCTCAAGACCCCTGGCTGCCAGTCACCAGACTCAGGCCACTACCACCTCCTGCTCCTGCACTCCAGACTACCACCACCACCACCACCACCACCATCACCACCAACATCACCATCACCACCACCATCACACCACCACCATCACCACCACCACCATCACCACCATCACCACCACCACCACTGCCACCATCACCACCATCACCACCACCATCACCACCATCACCACTGCCACCATCACCACCATCACCACCACCACCATCACCACCATCACCACCATCACCACTGCCACCATCACCACCATCACCACCACCACCATCACCACCATCACCACCGCCACCATCACCACCATCACCACCACCATCACCATCACCACCACCACCACCAGCAACACCAGCAACACCACCATCACCACCATCAGCAACACCATCACCATCACCACCACCACCACCATTACTACCATCACCACCATCACCATCACCACCACCATCACCACCATCACCATCACCACCACCACCACCATCACCACCAACATCACACCATCACCACCACCACCACTGCCACCATCACCACCATCACCACCACCATCACCACCACCACTGCCACCATCACCACCATCACCACCACCATCACCACCATCACCACTGCCACCATCACCACCATCACCACCACCATCACCATCGCACCACCATCACACCACCACCATCACCATCACCACCACCACCAGCAACACCAGCAACACCACCATCACCACCATCAGCAACACCATCACCATCACCACCACCACCACCATTACTACCATCACCACCATCACCAACATCACCACCATCACCATCACCATTACCACCACCATCACCAACACTACCACCATCACCACCACCACCACCATCACCACCACCATTACCACCAACATCACCAACACTACCACCATCACCACCACCACCATCACCACCACCACCATCACTAACACCACCATCACCACCACCACCACCACCATCACCAACACCACCATCACCACCACCACCACCATCTGGTCTGGTATCCTCATGAGCCGTCTTGTGCCTAAGTAGCAGGCCTATAATATTGCATGATTCTCTTAGGGGGCCATTTATCATGTTTTCAATTTCTTATAGCCATGTTTCTCTTTTCGTGGGAAGCATAGACAGGGAAGCCTAGGATTTCGCCTGTTTTTATGGGCAGTAAGAAGAAAGATGGTTTAATAGTGCCAGTAACACAACTACCTGCCTGCTGGTCGGGTAATTTGGCGTAAGCTCTATGCCTACATATCCAGTACAATCTAGTGGGGGCTGTCCAGTCCCGGTGGGACTCTGGGTGGGTCCACACAGTTTGCAACTTTGGGAATTTACTAAATGGATTTCTCTCTGTGTGATTTGAACTCCACCAAGTGACTGTTTTTGTGGTACCATTATACACTTTCTGTCTCAGATAACTAAGTCATCCTACGGGGTGAGTGAATTCTCTTCCTTCTCTAGCTATGCAATATTGTCCAATAATTGAGGCTTTTAGGACCTAGAAATTATCAGGGTGATTCTTTTGAGCTGGGAATTCATCAGGAACTTGGTCTGTAGGTACTAATTCTTGGGCTTCCTGTGGCCATTGATCTCCCATTACAGTTTCTCCACGTACATAACATGAAGTGACATTGAGAGACTAGGCTACATGCTCGGCTAATTGCAAAAACAAATTTCTTGTTTTTCCTGGAATTTCTGATACTGGCACATTTAGTTCATCATAGAAAGTTTAAAACACGGCCGGGCGCGGTGGCTCACGCCTGTAATCCTAGCACTTTGGGAGGCCGAGACGGGCAGATCACGAGGTCAGGAGATCGAGACCATCTTGGCTAACACGGTGAAACCCCGTTTCTACTAAAAATACAAAAAATTAGCCGGGTGTGGTGGCGGGCGCCTGTAGTCCCAGCTACTTGGGAGGCTGAGGCAGGAGAATGGCATGAACCTGGGAGGTGGAGCTTGCAGTGAGCCGAGATCACGCCACTGCACTCCAACCTGGGAGACACAGCGAGACTCCGTCTCAAAAAAAAAAAAAAAAAGAAAGTTTAAAACACTGGCTTAGGAGAGCATTTATAAACTTCTCCTCAAACTAAGATGTTTACTTGAGGATCCAGTCTGGCCCCGTAGATTCTTAAGGTCACACTCTCCTCTTTTTTCCTGCGAGGATCACGGGGATTGGTTATTACTAGCTCTAAGGGGTTACATTGTCCCTTAGTACAGGAAGGGCCATTTTTTCCTTTCTGAAGGTGGACTGGATCTTTTTCATTTTTTTTTTCTAAGTGGCCTAAATGACACAAGACCAGTATTTATATTTATTTCCACACAGTCCTAATTTATGACAGATGTACTTATTTTCTGCCATATAGCCTCTTTTCTAATTAAGACAACCATGCCTTATTCCTAACTTATTACTATTAATGACAGCGCAGACATTAACTTTTAAGGTGACTTGTTTGGGCACCCCTTTTTCTTCTGTTTTAGCTAACACTTTACTCGTATCGTTTATGAGCCCCCACCAGTCCTCAGTCCTTAATCTTATTTTAAAAATTGTGGTCATGGGAGGCTGAGTTGGGTCATAACACACATCAGGTTGGTCATTTCCTGGGCTACATACCTTGTATAGAATAACATTATACAAACAAGTTCTTTTTAGAGTTCCAGTACACTTATAATAACCACAAAATAATAGGACCGTAGCAACTTTTTGTCCTACCTCAGTGACTTGTTGTATACACTGGGAATAGTCCTCGGTCTGAGGAAGGTCAGTTGAAGTCCTTACTGTAAAAGTCTAAATTTTAAGGAAAATGAGTCCCGCGATGAGTTTTCTCATGCTTTGGCCATGCGTGGACCAGTCAGCTTCCGGGTGTGACTGGAGCAGGGTTTGTCGTCTTCTTCAGAGTCACTTTGCAGCGGTTGGTGAAGCTGCTCCTGTCCACGTACCGTTCACAGTCTACTGATGTTTAAGGATGGTCTCGGAGGTTGGGCCTGCTAGAATAAACTGAGTCTAACACGTCTATACGGTTATGTTCAACTGGGCTCTCTGATACCGGGAGCAAGGTGGTGGGGCTTAGGGTGTTGCGAACTTCAGTGGTTATGTGGGAATTTTCACATAGGTTAATCTAGCATTTGTGAACTAATGATGTCCTTTGGTAGTCATTAAAGTTACCACAGCATGGGGGCCTTTATATTCAGGTTTTGCCTAAGGGTTAGTTTATCTGCTATTTGTGCTAACAGGGCCATTTCTGCTAGGGCCCTTAGACCTGGGGGCCAGCCTTTGGAAACCCTGTCTAGTTGTTTTGAGAGATAGGCCACTGGCCTTGGCCAGGGCCCCACAGTCTGGGTTAAAACTCTAACTGCCATTTTTTCTCTTTCTGACACATAGGGTGTAAAGGGTTTTGTCAGGTCAGGTAGCCCCTGGGCTGGGGCCGACATGAGTTTTTCTTTTAACTCATGAAAAGCTCGTTGCTGTTGGTTGTAATAGATGTAGTTTATCTAATCTACATTTTTATTAACTGTCACCTACCAAAATATTGACTCAAATCCTGCAGCTATTTGGTTTCAAGCTTTAAATTGATCTGGTATTCCTCGTAGGACTCCAATTGCATGTAAATAGACATGAGAGTCAAAAGACCTATAAGGGACTTCTCTCCCTTTACGATGTCTTATTTTTTTTTCTTTCTGGTTGATGAAATGCCAGGGTGAAAGGGATAGTCAACTGGACTAAAATACAAGTGCCACTCCAGTTATTCGGCAGAGTGCCTACTAAAGGTCCACCACAATACTACCACACATCCGCTCGGGGGTGAACAAGGGCTGAGTGATTGATAAGCTCTTGAAAATTCTTAAGCTCACTGCATCCTTTCAGGTCTCCAAGGAACACTAAGTTTCCTACTTGTCATGAGAGACACAAAGTGAACTCAGTGTTGGGAGACGGAGGCTGGATGGCCTTCAAGGGCTGACCCACAGGGTGCCGGACTTTGGGATATAGCAGAGAGAGCTTGGCACAACTTATTACTTCAGGCTGTAGAATCCTGGAAAAGGGCTACCATGCAGCCTACACCTGGTCAACTGGATGACCACTTTAGTGGAAAGGGGACAATCTGGGCCTCTGGCCTGCCATGTGCACAAGCATAACAATTATTTTTGTTTAACATGCAGGTGGAATATTTGATCCCTTTTAACCAGGCATTTGCATCTTGGTGTCTTGTCTTAATTGCTAAAGTTTGTTTTAAGTCTTTAACTTCTATGATCCTCTAGTAAAATGAATGTATGGTTTTAGGAAATTGCAAAAACCTGTTGGGGCAGTCCATCCTTGCTCTTTACTGGTCCACAGAACGTTGGACCAACTATGGCATGAAAGGTCTACATGGGGGGGCAAGACTCCTGGTTGACACTGCGGTCTTTATAGACATCTCCCTGGATTAAATGGTCCTAGTTTACTAATGCCCAGTCTGAGGAGAGTCAGGCGGGACAGAAGTACTTTTCTGAAGTAGAAAGCTGTCTTTGACTTGGCAAGTCCCCACAAGGTATAAAAAGGCAAGCATTAAATGCAATAGTTTGAGGTGAAATTGACTTGGTTGTTAATAACTGGATGGTCAGCAATAGAACGAGGAAAGAAGGAAGAGTAATAGACTAGATAAAAAGAGTTAAATTTTTCTTAGCTTTAGTTTGTTAGGGTTTTCCCCTGGGACTATGGCCCACAACTCTGGAGGGGGTGGCGCTTTCTTGACTCGGGTGTGATGATGAGGCCATCCTTTTTTTTTTTTTTTTTTTTTTTTTTTTTTTGCTGTACGAATAGCAGTCTTGGTGGTTAGCAGCACAAGGTAGGGTCCTTCCCAGGCTGGCTCGAGTTTTTCTTCTTTCCACCTTTTGATGAGAACATGATCTTCAGGCTGGTGGTGCTGGTTTACCAGAAATTCTAGGGGTCGTACATGTGCTAAAAGACTTTTAGTTTTTGAGAGAAAGGAAAGTGAAAGATAAACCAAGTATATAATTTTTAAGAAATTGACCTTTTGTTTCAAATGTGGGGACTTTGGCAGTGGACTTTATAGTCCTTAGTGCCTTTTTACTGAGAAATTTCCTTTAGCACCTGTTTTTATTAGTTTTTAAACCAAAAAAGCCAAATACCATTTTACATTTAACAATGCTTCTTGTATGATTTTTATATCAGATAAGCTAAATTTTATCTTTATATTAGTGTGTTATTAATATTAAATGTAATTTTAATAAAAGCTTGTAGACATATTTATCTAATTTTTAATGTTTGACCATAAAGTAAGATTTTATAGACTCTTTTTAACCTTTTATAACTTTTGCTAAAGAGCAGGTTGGTGCTTTAAGAAAAACCTATTATGCTTTTACTTTAATGTCCAGTTCACAGAAAAACTCAATGATACTTCTTTAACTGTAGCTAATATGTTTACACACATAATTTTCTTTACAATTAATGTTTTAAAACTTGCTTAAACTTTCAAAACAATAGTTTTTTTTTTTAACTTTTTAATGTAGGTAAGAATGTACATTCTTATGCCCCCTTATAATCCTTTTACCAAAGGTATAGTATACTTTTCTTATACACCTTGCACATAAACTGTTTTTTTTTTAAATAGTTTTACATTCAGGAGGCCTAGTTACTTTTAAATTGTACAACATTTTTTACATAAATTCTTTTTTATAACTTTTTCTCTTTCATGACTTTCACAGACAATTCTTCAACATGGCTTAACTTTCTGACTTATTACAAATATTTCTTTCTTTAAACAACCAATTAATTTATTTCAGGACAAGAATTTACCATATAATACTCTTTTCATATAAATTCTGCCCCGCCTTTTTTTTCTTTTTTTTTTTCCTTAGGATACTTTTGAACTGGTGAGGTGTGCTCACAATGACCTTTCCTCTAAAAGTTATTTTTTTTACTTTTTCTTTTGTTGTTGTTAACAACGCAGTTGCCGCTACAGATTGAATGCATTTGGGCCATCCGCGGGTTACTGGGTTAAGGATTTTTGATAGGAAGGCCCTTTTGGGATACGCCCTTGTTTACACTGACAACAAAGTGGCATTGGAGTGTTATAGGGTTACAGAGAATACCTTCAATTATCAATTATAGGTTTTAAATTTACCTTGGCTTTTAAAGAGATAGGGTACACCTTTTTTTTTTTTTAACTGCTTGTATATCTCTCTTTCTTTCTCTCTCTGACTTTGTCTCTCTCTCTTTGACTTTCTTTTTGACTCGGTCTCTTTTTCTCTCTTTCTCTCTCTCTCTCTCTGCCTCTCTCTTTCTCTCTCTCTCTCCTTGACTTCCTCTTTGTCTGTCTCTTCCTCTCTGTCTCTTCCTCTTTCTCTTTGCCTCTTTTCCTCTCTGTCTCTTTCCTTTATCTCTCTCTGCTGGTCTTGCCAGCTGCTTATGCTGATGTTCTTTCAACCACTGTGTGTTGGGGGCATGGGGTCTAAAACTAGCTGTAACCAAGTGTCTATGTACGGGAACTGGTCTGGGTTCCCAGGCTTACAGGTTGTCTTGTGCCATACCTTTGAAACAAGGGACTTACTTGTCCAGGCTTCCTTCTAATGGCCAACCTACCTCTAATGCTGGCCAGTCTATCTTACACAAAGTTTTAAGTTTTCCTGGTGTCACAGTACTCCATAGTCTCTTTTAAATTCTTTTTTGAAAATTTTCAACTTAGTTCCTAGTAGGGTGGGCTTATTGGTGCCTGACCTATGCTTCTTCGAGACAAAACACCACGCTTACACCACACACACACCATAAAACAAAGAACGGGTAAAAAGGGCACACACACACTTTTGCAGTTTGCACCAAACCAAAATCAAAACTAAAATCAGAGTATCCAGAAATCCAAGCCAGGTCAAAACCAAAACCAAAGTATCAAGCAATCCAAATCAAGTCAATAACAAAAACCAAAGTGCCGGTACGGGCACACCGTGGGTGATCAGGCCATGCTTCCACTCAAATGGAGTAGGCAAGTTCCTAAGACCAATCCTGTCAAGCAATTCAAACCAAGTCAAAACCAAAACCAAAGTGCCGATAAAGGCATGCCATGGGTGATCAGGCCACGCTTCCACTCAAACGGAGTGCGCAAGTTTCAAAGACTAGTCTTAACAAGTTTTAGATGTCCAGACTCCAAGTGCCTGTTCCTTCCCAGTGTTCAGCCACTGCGTTGATCCTCCATGGGGGCCTGCCACACACTGCTCTGGTGAGGCATCCCACCGGGGCAAGTGCCTACCCGGGAGCGCTCTCAGGATCCGCTCGGGCTGGTCGGAGTCCCCCGCAGGGATGTTCCACAGGGCAGGCTTAAGCCGCCTAAGGAGCTGCCTCGACCATCTGCCAATCACCTCGCTTCCCGGTCAGGGAACCGAGAAATGTAGCAGGACCAGCCGCAGACAAAACTCCTCAGACACCGAGTTAAAGAAGGAAGGGGCTTATTCAGCCGGGGGCATAGGCAAGACTCCTTTCTTAAGGGCCAAGCTCCCCGAGTGAGCAATTCTTGTCTTTTTTAAGGGCTCACAACTCTTAAGGGGGTGTGCGTGAGAGGGTCGTGATCAATTGAGCAAGCAGGGGGTATGTAACTGGGGGCTGCATGCACTGGTAATTAGATCGGAACAATACAGGATAGGAATTTTCACAGTGCTTTACTATACAGTGTCTGTAATCTATAGATAACATAACCGATTAGGTCAGGGGTCGATCTTTAACTACCAGGCCTAGGGTGTGGGGCCGGGCTGTCTGCTTGTGGATTTCATTTCTGCCTTTTAGTTTTTACCTTTTCTTCTTTGGAGGCAGAAATTGGGCATAAGACAACATGAGGAGTGGTCTCCTCCCCTAAGCCGAGATCGTGCCACTGCACTCCAGCCTGGGTGACAGAGTGAGACTCCGTCTCAAAAAAAAAAAAAAAAAAAATTGAAAACAGACGAATGTACAAGGAGAGTCATTGCAGTTTTGTTTTTAAGAACTGAGAAAGTTTATTTATCCAGGACATTGTTTAAGTAAATTACGGTTTCTACCAGGAATACTCGGCAGCTCTTAAATAAGAATAGCCAATAAGTATATGAAAAAATGCTCAACATCACTAATCATTAGGGAAATGCAAATCAAAACCATGGTGAGATATACCTCCTACCCTTTCAGATGGCTACTATCAAAAAAACAGAAAATAATGTTAGCAAGGATGTGGAGAAATTGGAACCCTTGTGCACTGTTGGAGGGAATGTAAAATGGTGCAGCTCCTGTGGAAAGCAGTAAGGCAGTTGTTTAAAAAATTCAAGATACAGTTGCCATGTGATCTAGCAATTCCACTTCTGGATCTATATCCCAAAGAAGTGAAAGCACGGTCTTGAAGAGATATTTGCATGTGCACATTCATAGTAGCATTATTCACAATAGATGAAAGGTGGAAGCCACCCAAATGTCCAGAAATGGATAAATGGATAAATAAAATGTGGTACATTCATACAATTGAATATTTATCTATTCACCCTTAAAAAGGAAATTCTGGCTGGGCGTGGTGGCTCATGCCTGTAACACCAGCACTTTGGGAGGCCAAGGCAGGCAGATCACCTGAGGTCAGGAGTTCGAGACCAGCCTGGCCAACATGGTAAAACCCCATCTCTACTGAAAATACAAAAATTAGCTGGGCATGGTGGCGGGCGCCTATAGTCCCAGCTACTCCGGAGGCTGAGGCAGGAGAATCACTTGAACCCAGTAGCTGGAGGTTGCAGTGAGCCAAGATCGTGCCATTGCAGTCCAGTCTGAGCAACAACAGCAAGACTCCATCTCAAAAAAAAAAAAAAAAAAAAAAAGGAAGGAAATTCTGACTTATGCTGCAAAATGGATCAACCTTGAGAACGTTACACTAAGTGAAAGAAGCAAATCATAAAAAGGACAAATACTGGGCCAGGTGCGGTGACTCACACCCTGTAATCCCAGCACTTTGGGAGGCCGAGGCGGGCAGATCACGAGGTCAGGAGATCGAGACCATCCTGGCTAACACAGTGAAGCCCTGTGTCTACTAAAAATACAAAAAAAATTAGCCGGGTATGGCGGTGGTGCCTGTAGTCCCAGCTGAGGCAGGAGAATGGTGTGAACCCGGGAGGCGGAGCTTGCAGGGAGCTGAGATTGCGCCAGTGCACTCTAGCCTGGGCGATAGAGCAAGACTCCGTCTCAAAAAAAAAAAAAAGCTAACTTGAAAATTGAAGTCCCTATAATCCTACTTCCTAGATAGAATCAGTGATCTTGCACTTTTAGTGTTATTTTCTGTCAATCATAGTTATGTGTATCCCAATGTAATACATATATTACTTAACATGAAAAATTTTAAGCACATAGAAATTTAAAGGAAATATGCTCATCTGTGAATATTATAAAGCCACCATCTAGATTTAGCAGTTAATATTTTGCAGTGTTTAAATTTTTTTCACTGTAGTTTGAAGTAAATTACTTTAAACTTTTCACCCCTAAATACTTTAGAATGCATCTTTTTTAAAGAATGAATTCTTTCACAATATAATCACACAATTTTCACACCTAACACACGTAACAGTGCTTTCTAAATGTTGTCTAATAACCAGACTATATTCACCTTTCCCTTTTTGACCCCAAAAAATGTCTTTGAGAGCTGGTTTGTTTAAATAGGGTTCTAATTAAGGAGCATAGGTTGCATTTCATTGTTTGTCTCTAAGCTTTTAAAAATCAAGTGTAGTACCTGGCCCCCCCTTTTTTTTTCTTGACTTTGAACTTATTGGAGAGACCTAGCCAGTTGACTTACAGAAGTTGGGTCAATGTTCTCACTTTCTGTATTTATCTGATTGTTTCCTCATGGTGTCCTATAACTGTATTCTCTTTTATTTCCAGTAAAGCAGAATTTTAGGCTTGAACACAATTACATTAAACATGTTGGACAACAATTCTTCACCATTGATACCATTTTCTTTCTTTCTTTCTTTCTTTCTTTCTTTCTTTTTCTTTTCTTTTCTTTCTTATGCAGTTTCACTCTCGTCACCCAGGCTGGAGTGCAGTGGCACGATCTCGGTTCACTGCAACCTCTGCCTCCTGGGTTCAAGTGATTCTCCTGCCTCAGCCTCCCACGTAGCTGGGATTACAGGCGCTCGCCACCACGCCCAGAAAGTTTTTGTATTTTTAGTAGAGATGGGGTTTCACCATATTGGCCAGGCTGGTCTCGAACTCCTGACCTTAGGTGATCCACCCACCTCTGCCTCCCAAAGTACTGGGATTACAGGCATGAGCCACCACGCCCAGCCTGATGCCATTTTCTTCACATAATACCTAGTGTACCCACTATTAGAGATTCTAAGATTATAGGGTTAACTATCCATTTATCTTCTTGCCACTGGAAAGTATTCTATGGGTTGAAACACTGAGATCTTTGACATCTTTCCCTTAATGGTTTTAGCATGCAGTAATGATTCTTTCTCACTTCAGTTACTTAATTAGAAGTTGCAAAATGGTGATTAAATTATCTTCTTTTTTCTACATTTATTAACTGTCATTCTTACCTCTAAAGAACTTTCCCTCATCCACTGGGGTTATTTTGTATCTAAAACTTAGTTCCACTGCAGAGAAAGAATACATTATTCTTTATTTACCTTTAATTACCAAGTTTTAGCATAAGAACTTGAATAACAGCCACCCCCATCAGTGATGAATAAGATGGTTTGTTTTCATCTTTATTGAGTATGATTATGGACTCAAGAGTTTTTATGCTTTAAATGTCTTCTAGTCAATTATGGTTCATTACTCTTATTGATGCTCAAACTGTCAAAATGTTCCAGATTTGGCCAAGGGGAGTCCTTTCTGTTGGCTCCTGGGACCTTTTCATATGACTCCATTAGTCTTTTAAATGACTCTTTTCGTCTTTTGGAGTTTTAATATAACTTCATTAGTCCTGGTTCACTTTGTACATTCCTTACCCCAGACCTGAAATAAGCATCTCTCAAGCCTCCTGATTCCTTTTACTATGGAATTATATTTACACATTTATGATTGTTATGTCTTCTTGTTGAATTGACCCTTTAATAATTATGTAATATCCTTCTTTATTCATGGTAATCATCTTTGTTTGAAGTCTACTTTGATATTAATATAGACACTCTCATTTCCTTTTTCTTTTGCTTGTTTTTTTAGATACAGGGTCTCATTCTGTTGCCCAGGCTGGAGTGCAGTGGTGTGATCATAGCTTGCTGTAACCTCAAACTACTGAGCTCAAGTGATCCTCCCACCTCAGCCTCCCAAGTAGCTAGGGTACATTATACCATGCATGCCACCATGCTGGGCTATTTAAACTTTTTTTTTTCATTTGTAGAGAAGGGACCTCATTCTGTTGCCCAGGCTGGTCTGGAACTCCTAGCCTCAAGAAATCTTCCTGCCTTGGCCTCCCAAAGTGCTAGAATTACAGGTGTAAGCCACCACACCCAGCCTAATTTCCTTTGATTAGTATTTGCATTTTTCCACTTTTAATTTTATTTTTCTCTATATATATTTTTGATATGAAGTCTCACTCTGTCACCCAGGCTGGAGTGCAGTGGCACGATCTCAGCTCAGTGCAACCTCCACCTCCGAGGTTCAAGTGATTCTCCTGCCTCAGCCTCCCAAGTAGCTGGGACTACAGGTGCGTGCCATTATGCCTGGCTAATTTTTTGTATTTTTAGTAGCGACGGGGTTTCACCGTGTTAGCCAGGATGATCTCGGTCTCCTGACCTCGTGATCTGCCTGCCTCGGCCTCCCAAAGTGCTGGGATTACAGGTGTGATCCACCAAGCCCAGCCCATTCTTTTAATCAATTAAGTCTTTATATTGAAAGTGATTTTCGTATAAATAACATGTACTCGGGTCTTGTCTGTTTAATGTAGTCTGACAATCTCTGCATTACAGTTGGTATATTTAGACCATTTACATTTAATGTAATTATTGATTTGGTGGGATTTAGGTCTACCATTTCTAATCTGTCATCAAGTTCACAAACTCCTATCATTGTCATCTGCATTCTGCTATGTAGCCCATCGAGTGAATTTTTGAAAATTATTAATAATACATTTTATTGTTTGAGCAATTTCAGCTTATCAGAAAAGTGAGCAAACAGAAGAGAATTCCCATATGCCCTCTTACCCCAAACCCTCCCACCCCCGTTTCCCTTATTATTAACATCTTGCATTAGTATAGTACATTTGTTATAATTGATGAGCCATTATTAAAACTTTATTAACAATAGTCCTTTGTGGATTACATCAGAGTTCATTCTTGGTGTTGTATAGTCTATGGGTTTTGACAAATGTATAATGACATGTATTCATCATTACAGAATCAAACAGAATAGTTTCACTACCCTAAAAATCAGCTGTTCTCCACCATTTATCCACCCTCCCCACCCCCAACTCCTAACTCCTGGCAACCACTGAACTTCTTACTGTTTCTATGGTTTTGCCTTTTTCAGAATATATATATATATATATATAATATTATATATGATATATATTATTATATATCATATATAAAGAACTATTTTTTTGCAAAGATTTTTTTCCCATTTAATGGCTTACCTTTTCATTCTCTTAACAGTGTCCTTTGTGAGCAGAAAAATTTAATTTTAGTAAAGTCCAACTTACCAATTTTTTCTTTTATGAGTCATGTTTTTGATGTTATATCTAAAAAGTCATCACCAAATCCAAGGTCACCTGAGTTTTCTCCTATGTTATCTTCTAGGAATTCTGTAGTGTTGCATGTTACATTTAGGTCTATGATCCATTTTGAGTTAGTTTTTGTGAAAGGAGTGAGATCTGTGTCTAGATAAGATATACTTAGGCAGGCCCAGTGGCTCATGCCTGTAATCCCAGCACTTTGGGAGGCCAAGGCAGGCAGATCACCTGAGGCCAGGAGTTCGAGACCAGCCTGGCCAACATGGTGAAACCCCATCTCTACTAAAAATACAAAAAATTAGCTGGGCTTAGTGGCGGGGGCCTGTAATCCCAGCTACTCAGGAGGCTGAGGCAGGATAATCACTTGAACCCAGGAGGCAGAGGCTGCAGTGAGCTGAGATTGCACCATTGCACTCTAGCCTGGGCAACAAGAGTGGAACTCCACCTTAGAAAAAAAAAAAAGATATACCTTGATGTAGCATTTTTGTTATTTATCCTATATGGTGTTTTTTGAGCTTCCTGGATCTGTTCCTTTATGTCTACCTTAGTTCATTTGGGCTGCTGTGACAAAAATATCATAAACTGGAGAGTTTATAAACAACAGAAATTTATTTCTTACAGTTCTAGGGGCTGTGATGTCCAAGACCAAGGCACTAGCAGTGTCTGGTGAGGCCCTGCTTCCTCATATATGACACATTCTGGCTTTGTCCTCACATGGTGTCAGGGGCTAGCTAATTCCCTGGGGCTTCTTTCATAAGTGCACTAATCTCTGTCCTGAGGATAGAGCCCTCATAACCTGATTGACTCCCAAAAGCCCCACCTCAGTACTATCATATTGAGGATTAAGTTTCAATATAACTTTTGAGGAGACACAAACATTCAGACCATAGCTTTATCTATCATTAATTTGGGGAAATTTTCAGTCACTGTTGCTTCAAATGTTTCTTCTGTTTCTTTCTCTCTCTTTTTTTTTTTTTTTTGAGACAGAGTCTTGCTCTGTTGCCCAGGCTGGAGTGCAGTGGCATGATCTCAGCTCACTGCAAGCTCCTCCTCCCAGATTCATGCCATTCTCCTGCCTCAGTCTCCCGAGTAGCTGGGACTACAGGCGCCTGCCACCACCCCCTGCTAATTTTTTGTATTTTTAGTAGAGAAAGGGTTTCACCGTGTTAGCCAGGATGGTCTCGATCTCCTGACCTTGTGATCTGCCCGCCTCAGCCTCCCAAAGTGCTGGGATTATAGGCGTAAGCCACCACGCCCGGCTTTCTTTCTCTTTTTCTTCTCTTTCTGGTATTTCCAAAAAGTCTCCGTGTTCCACCTTCTGTAATTGTCTCGCAGTTCTTGACTCTTGTTCTGTTTTTTCTTTTTCATTCTTTTTTCTCACTGTGTGTCAGCTTTTGAAGTGTCTATTGACATCTCTTCGAGCTCACTGATTCTTTCATTGGCCATATCCATTCTTTTGATGAACCCGTCAAAGGCATTCTTCATTTCTGTTATGGTGTTTTTTATTTCTAGTATTTCATTTTTATTTCTTCTTAGTGTTTTTATCTCTTTGCTTACATTACCCATCTGTTCTTGCATGTTATGCTGTTTTTACATTAGAGCCCCTAGCATGTTAATCTTAGTTATTTTAAATTCCTGCTTGGACACTTCCAATATTTCTTTCATATCTGAGTCTGGTTCTGATGCTTGCTCTGTCTCTTCAAAGTGTGGGGTTTCTTGTCTTTTAGTATGCTTTGTAATTTTTTGTTTGAGGCTGTATATGATGTACTGGGTGAAAGGAACTGAGTTAAATAAGGCTTTAGTATGAGATTTTGTATTTCTCTGGCTAGGAGTTAGGCTTTGTTTACTCTTTGCTATATAGTCATGGATGTCAGAGGCTAAAATTTCCTTTAGTGTCCCTGTGTTGTCTCCCCTGTCTTCTCTGGGGAGCTCCCTAGAGGCTTCTTTGTAAAGTAGCTCTGAGTCTTGCAGTGTCTATCCCTAATCATGGGAAAACATCAAACAAACCCATATAGCAGGACATCTGACAAAGTACCAAGTGTCAAGGATCATGGATTGAATCCTGAAACAGAGGAAGGACACTGAAGGAAAGACTGGGAAAACCTGACTGAGGTCTGGAGTGTAGTTAGTGATACTATACCAAGACTAATTTCTTAGTTTTGATAATTTATTAACAGTTATGTTAACATTGGGGGTAGCTGTGCAAGGGGTGTGAGAAAGCTGTTATATCTTTAACCTTGGCCCATGGTTAAGGTGTTTCCAGTGTAAGGTCACTGTTATTCCTTGTAGTTAACATATATTTGGCACCACAGGATTCATTCTGGAATTCTTGGCTTATTTATAACTTTTTTTCTTTTTCTAGTAGTGAGAAACCTGGCTTTCGTGCAGAGTTTACAAACGCCAATTTAAACTTTTGTTTTGTCATAGGCAATAATTTTATTACCTTTATTACCTGTATTTATTTCAGAGCTTATGAATTTTTAATTATTCTAAGGGCTAACACAGAACTTTTTCATGTTTTCTACTCTTCAAGAGCAGGTAAGACTTTAGTTTGTAATACATTACAAGAGGAATCCTGTGGTTCTCTAAGAGCTAATTTGTCTTGGCAAAAGGCCTTAGCGAGCTGTGAGTGGTGGCTCATGCCTGGAATCCCAGCACTTTGATCTGAGACGGCTGGATCACCTGAGGCCAGAAGTTTGAGGCCAGTTTGGCCAACATGGCGAAACCCCATCTCTGCTAAAAATACAAAAAATTAGCCAGGCATAATGGCATGCACCTGTAGTCCCAGCCACTTGGGAGGCTGAGGCAGGAGAATTGCTTGAACCTCGGAAGTGGAGGTTGCAGTGAGCCGAGATCGTGCCACTGCACTCCAGCCTGGGAAACAGCGAGACTGTCTCAAAACAAACAAAAAAAAACAACAAAAAAAAAACAAAACAACAAAAAAATTAGACGGGCGTGGTGGCATGCACCTATAGTCCCAGCTACTCAGGAGGCTGAGGCAGGAGAATCACTTGAACCCAGGAGTTGGAGGTTGCAGTGAGCAGAGATCATGCCGCTGCACTCTAGCCTGGGTGACACAGTGAGTATCCATCTCAAAACAACAACAACAACAACAAAAACAAATTAAAAAACCCAACAACAACAAAACCAGCAAACAAGAAAACTAAACAGGCTTTAGGGAAAGAGCAATCTAATTATCTGATTATATGATTGGCACTAAGATGGGAATGACTCTGGCCTAATTTCTTCAATTTACATTTTAAAACAGGAGCTTAGTTAGCCCCCAAATAATATGTAATTGATGTATTAGGGTTGGGGAGTGAATATTTTTCAAAGCAGAAGATATTTCTCAATTCTTGCTTACTTTTGGAGGTTGAAGTTCAAGGAAGCCCCTGCCTTGGCACTGTATTCCAGGGAGGTATTTGGAGTTAATTTCAGGGCTTAGCAGTGACTCTTTAGAAAAGCAGTATACGATTGAAATGTAATGTGGTACAAATGAGATCACTACAAGTAATTTAAAAATGTGCTAGTAGTGTTTCTTTTTCTGAGACGGAGTCTCGCTCTGAAGCCCAGGCTGGAGTGCAGTGGCACGATCTCGGCTCACTGCAAGCTCCGCCTCCCAGGTTCGCGCCATTCTCCTGCCTCAGCCTCCCTAGTAGCTGGGACTACAGGCGCCTGCCACCACTCCTGGCTAATTTTCTGTGTTTTTAGTAGAGACGGGGTTTCACCGTGTTAGCCAGGATGGTCTCGGTCTCCTGACCTCGTGATCCTCCCACCTCAGCCTCCCAAAGTGCTGGGATTACAGGAGTGAGCCACCACACCCAGCCTCTAGTAGTACTTTTATCAAAAGTAAATAGAAACATGGAATTAATTTTCACAATACATTTTATTTAAACTAATATGTTCACAATGTTAAAATTTCAACATGTAATCACTATAAAAACTACTAGTGAGATATTTCACATTACTTTTTTCATGTAAGCCTTTGAAATCTGGTGTGTATTTTATATTTACTGTACATCCTGATTTGGAATAACCACATTTCAATCTTTCAATAGCCACATGTGGCTAGTGGCTACTGTGTTAGAGCAGTTCTAGAACAAAGGAGTCCCTTTCAAACTATTTTGAAGTCATCGTCTATAAGGCAATATGAAAGCTGATCTGAATGATTTCTCCTTTTCCAGGAAAGGAAACAAAAATGAAATCATGTTAGGGCTGCATATTTTATGGGTCCCAGGACAAATAGACATAGTCTGAAAGAATGATCTCAGTCAGAAACTCAGAATGAATCATATGAATTAAACATTGGACAATGTCCAATGCTCAGCATGTGTTTTTGGTTTATACTAAGAACATATTATGCCACCAAATACAGATATTTACTATTATACTTAGTGTAGGAGGTATATTGAGACATTGTTCTACACTACCACAGTTCCATATTTTGTGAAAAGCTATGTTGCACTTTTTTTTTTTTTGAGAGTGTGCCCAGGCTGGAGTGCAATGGCATGATCTCAGCTCACTCCAGCCTCCGCCCCACCAGGTTCAAGTGATTCTCCTGCCTCAGCCTCCCTAGTAGTTGGGATTACAGGTGCGCACCACCACGTCTGGCTAATTGTTGTATTTTTAGTAGATACGGGGTTTTGTCATGTTGGCCAGGCTGGTCTCGAACTCCTGACCTCAGGTGATCCACCCGCCTCAGCCTCCCAAAGTGTTAGGATTACAGGCGTGATCCACCACGCCCAGCCTTATATTTCACTCTTTGGGAATTGTATCTTACTGTAATCTTAAACTACACTAAAATAAATAATGTAAACCTTTTGTCAAATTGCTCAGAGTAGGTTTCTACTTTGGTTATAAGGAATAAAATTCATGCTTTTGTATACACACTAGACATCTAAAGCAATCAACTATAGTTAACAAGCAGTGCTCTTACCAAAAGGTAACTCTTTCTAGAATCTGTCACACCATTTAATAGCAGTATGAGCATATGGTGGGTTTAATAATTGTTTTCCATGTTTATAGGTTTTCTTTAGTTTTATCAGCACTTAAAAAGAATCCCTTTCACTGAAATACAATCTGTGGTGAGACTTCTAGCTTTTCTCGATCTTACGCTGCCAGATTTATGTCACTGCCAAAGCTATGCAATGGGTGATATTTACACTGTGCTCAAACAAAGCAACCAGAAAAACACATCACTGAATAATACAGATATTCTGAAGTCAAGCAAGCCAACTTTCATTAACAGATCAATTTCCTTAGAAAAGTTGATGAAACTAAAGACTGAAGTTCAAACAAAAAGCCCTCTCAAGGGGGTATGAATTTCTGGTAACTTATGGGGTAAGAAAAAGAGCAAGAAACTTGAAAGTAGGGAAGAGAAAAAAGAAAAGGAGCAAGAGGGGATAGCCAGCTCTCAAAAGAGTCTCCAATAGGAAAGCAAAATCTGTATCTAGCCAGTACCAACATGTGAAGAAAGAGTGAGCATAGCAAAATTTAGAAAGGTTGCTTGAAAACCAAACAAAAAACCAAATACCTGTAATCCTAGCACTTTGGGAGGGTGAGGTGGGCAGATTGCCTGCACTCAGGAGTTCAAGACCAGCCTGGGCAACATGGTGAAACCTTGTCTCTACTAAAATCCAAAAAAAAAAAAAAAAAAAAAATTAGCCGGGCATGGGCTGGGCGCGATGGTTCACGCCTGTAATCCCAGCACTTTGGGGGACAAAGGTGGGCAGATCACGAGGTCAGGAGATCGAGACCATCCTGGCTAACACAGTGAAACTCCATCTGTACTAAAAATACAAAAAATTAGCTGGACGTGGTGGCGCGTGCCTATAGTCCCAGCTACTCGGGAGGCTGAGGCAGGAGAATCGCTTGAACCCAGGAGGTGGAGGTTGCAGTGAGCTGAGACCATGCCACTGTACTCCAGCCTGGCGACAGAGCGACACTCATCTCAAAAAAAAAAAAAAAGTCTCTTTTGGCCAGGTGTGGTGGTTCACACCTGAAATCTCAGCACTTTGGGAGGCCGAGGTGGGTGGATCACTTGAGTCCAGGAGTTCAAGATCAGCCTAGGTAACATGGCAAAACCTCGTCTCTACCAAAAACAAACAAAAATTAGCCAGATGTGGTGGTGCACACCTGTAGTCCCAGCTACTTGGGAGGCTGAGGCAGGAGAATCACCTGAGACCGGGAGGCAGAGATTGCAGAGAACTGAGACTATGCCAAGGCACTCCAGCCTGGGTGACAGAGCAAGACTCTCTCTCTCTCTCAAAAAAGAAAAAACAAAAAGCCTCCTTTAAAAAATGCAGTTTGATGCTATAAATTTATCAGTTAATAGTTTTTGGGGCAAAAAATGTTTTCTGACATTTCAATAAGAGCTATAGACGAAGTCCAGCATTAGTCATGACTCTGGACTAAGTCTGGAAATCTGGAATCTCTTCCCAGCTCTGGGAGGTACAAAGTTTTAAAAAATAAGGTCAAAGTGCTGGAAAACATTCAATTTATTTCCTTATTAACACAATTGTTCACTCATAAACGACAGTAACACTTGGTGCTGTGGGTCATGCACTGAGGTCAGAACAAGGAACAGAAGAAAATGAGGTAAATTGGTAAATCTTTTTGCAGGCTGAGAAGTGAGAGAATGCTGGCATGCCTACTCTGTGCTGGGTTTTTTTTTTTTTTGTTTTTTTTGTTGAGATGGGGTCTTGCTCTGTCGCCCAGGCTGGAGTGCAGCGGCGCAATCTCGGCTCACTGCAAGCTCCGCCTCCTGGGTTCACGCCATTCTTCTGCCTCAGCCTCCCAAGTAGCTGGGACTACAGGCACCTGCCACCATGCCTGGCTGATTTTTTGTATTTTTAGTAGAGACGGGGCTTCACCGTGTTAGCCAGGATGCTCCCGATCTCCTGACCTTGTGATACGCCCACCTTGGCCTCCCAAAGTGCTGGGATTACAGGTGTGAGCCACTGCGCCCAGCCCTCTGTGCTGGGTTTTATTATGTCATCCAATAACTCACAACTATGTAATTTATTTCCTTTTTACAGATAAAGAAATGGGGGCTCAGAGCAGTCAAGAACATGCCCCAAGTTATTCGTCAGTGAGGCAGAAATTGTGGTGTCCTTGTGTAAGTTCACAGTTTATACTTTACCATTATACTGTGCTCCAAATTATCTGATATTTACTTTCAAAGCATGTGTAGGAAGTTTACTATGATGATGCAGAGACATTGTACAGAATCCAGTCCCTTGACTCTCAGGTCCCCAGAACACTCACTTCACGATTTTGTTGACCTCTTATGTCAACTTAAACCTGGCACTCTCTTGGCTTTCTCTGCTCTTTCTGGGCACTCCAAAGCTTCTGTACTTACATGCTACAACTCCAGTCACAGGAAGATGCTGAGTTCTTTAGTCCCAGATCCATATTCCTGAGAAAACCTAATTGCCTAGGCTCAGGTCATAACTCTGTGTCTGTTTCAGTTGATTATGGCTGGGCCTACTGCCCCTCTGTATGGTGGTGGGGCAGAAGTTCCCAGAGAGAGGCAGGGGTGACAGAGACTGTTGTCTCAAATGCTAGGCAGACATCTGGAGTGGTAACCACTACATCTGTTCACAGTGAGCACATCCTTGCAGGGAAACTGGGTTAATCATCTCTATTATTGAAACTCAGAGGTATAGTGTTTCTTCATAGGAATTTTCTTTCCTTATTTGAGATGGGGGTCTCACTTTGTTGCCCAGGCTGGAGTGCAGTGGTGTGTGATCTTGGCTCACTGCAGCCTCCCCTCCCGAGTTCAAGCGATTCTCCTACCTCAGCCTGCTGAGTAGCTGGGACTACAGGCATGGGCCAACATGCCTGGCTAATTTTTGTATTTTTCGTAGAGACAAGTTTTCACCATATTGGCCAGGCTGGTCTTGGACTCCTGACCTCAGGTGATCTGCCCACCCTGGCCTCCCTAAGTGCCGGGATGACAGGTGTGAGCCATCGCGCCCAGCCTATTTATAGGAATTTTCTGTAGGTATATAAGTAATAATTTGAAGGTCACAACTAGATGACTTTTTGTGTAACCGTATCTTGAATGGAACAAACATTTTCTTTCTACGTAATTATACATAAATAACCCAATGCTTTTTAATACCCACGAAAAGCCATTAGCTCAAAGACACTTGCAAACTTGTATCAGGTTGTTTTCCTTGGTGTGTATTAAGTTTGAAGCAAAGGGGATTTTCACATACCAAGACGAAGCAGAAGTCTTCCACCAAGTTGAAATCATCACGTTGCAATTTAATCATATGATACAACCAATTTTTTGATGTGTTATGCCATTCGCCAAATACCATACAAAGTACGGTATGCCTTCTCAGTGCCTTGTTAGTAATTCAGTTACAGTTCTGCCGAACTTTCTTTAAAGGAATACAATTCTCAATCTTACACTGTTCAGAGCACAAGCATAGCTTATTGTATACAAGAGATGTGCATCAGTTCCCACTCCTCAGGGACTGTATGAATTTGGCTTTCTTTTATTTTTTTGACAGAGTCTCACTCTGTCGCCAGGCTGGAGTGCAGTAGTGTGATCTCAGCTCACTGGACTCTGCCACCTGGGTTCAAGTGATTCTCCTGCCTCAGCTTCCCAAGTAGCTAGGACTACAGGTGCACACCACCATGCCCAGCTGATTTTTTGTGTGTTTTTAGTAGAGACGGGGTTTCACCATGTTGGCCAGGATGGTCTTGATCTCTTGACCTCATGATCTACCCGCTTTGGCCTCCCAAGGTGCTGGGATTACAGGCATGAGCCACTGTGCTGGGCCAAATTTGGTTCTTAGAAACCAAGGAGTGATGTGTGCACCAGGCCCAGGGCTGAAGAGCTGCTTCTCACTAGATGCCTCTCTTGGTCTGGCTGCTGTGTCCAGTCCTATCCAGGGTTAGCTCTGTTCCTCCTCCTTGTGGCATCTGTGTTTCTCTTTCTGCTCTGCCTCTCCCCATCTCCTAGTCCAAACATCCAAAGAAATAAATTACCTCCAGGAGATCGAGACCATCCAGGCTAACACGGTGAAACCCTGTCTCTAGTAAAAATACAAAAAATTAGCCGGGCATGGTGGCCGGCGCCTGTAGTCCCAGCTACTTAGGAGGCTGAGGCAGGAGAATGGCGTGAACCTGGGAGGCAGAGCTTGCAGTGAGCCGAGATCGCGCCATTGCACTCACGCCTGGGCGACAGAGCAAGACTCTGTCTCAAAAAAAAAAAAAAAAATTAATGACCTCTGCCCCTAACTGAACAAAGCCCTTCATCTAAGGCCACCCTTTGGTTGGCAGCCTTAGCCAGACATCTGCTTCTGGTCAAATCAATGTCTTGTCCACAGGGAGGCCCAGCGCTGTTTCTGGTTTTAGCTGGATGCAGGGTGTCAGACATGGCAGGTACTACGGTCTACCTGGCGGGTATCAAAGAGTTGGTCGACGTTCTCACAACAACCTAATAGGGACCAACCATGGAAGGCCAGTAGTAAAGGAGTTTGAAGTTCCCTTTCAGAAACCAATTAACAACCCCAAAGAGACAGTGGGTAACATAAAAGAGCAGCCATAAAAATATACAGTTTTAATAGAAATATTAAAATAATCATTACACTTCCTCTCATTGCAGAAACCATGAAAGAATATGCCTTTTGTAATCAAAGTAATTTTTTATCATGCAAAAAAGTATTTTGTTATGACATTCGTAAGTGGAGACTGTATTTCAAAACAAGTTTATACAGACTTCAAAAGGTCTAAAGTCAAAGTGAAATATATTTAAATATGATTAGTTACATCTAATGCAGCTGGCATACTCATATTCACAGTTTATAAAGTAAAAAAACTAAACTCTTCATGTCGGCTCTGAAATAGATGCATTTTCATTCATACATTCGCTAGTTAGGTCTGTTCTTCTAAGGAGGAAAGACGAGATATATGAGATATTTTTTAAAGAACAAACTCAACATATCAGCAGCAAATTTCAGTTAAACTAAATTGGAAACCAATGTTCTGTGTAACCAAAGTGCAAAGTCAGTTCCCCAGCTCAGAAAGAAAATTAAGAGTATAAACTGAAGGCTTAAGAGAACTTCAGAGAGCACACTGTGTGATTAATACATAAATATTAAAAATTATCCAATTTTTGATTTAAGAACAACACAGTTTGGATCTAGTCATTAAAACATATGCACAGGTGTCAAAGGCAAGTAACACTACCACCTAAGGTTATTCGGAGGAACTGTGAAGATGTAGCACGGACCTCTAAGGTGTCTAAAATCCCTTCTGATGGAAAGGTTATGGAACACTATCTGCCAAAAACACTGAAAGCACCACTTTTATATTTAGATCCAATGCTGAGTGATATAGTCACTGTTGGGATAGGTTTTTATTTGGGAAAATGGAGAGGATTCTCAAAACAGATTCATGGCTTGCATGCAGTGACACCCTATCAAGAGCCTGGAAAGACACCATGAAATCACCTCAACTCAAGTGGTGGGCCCACCTACTCATAGTCAGTGTTACACTAGCCAGCTCTAGGGCTCTGACAACATAATGAGTTTTGAGGTAGTATACTTTAAAGAAAAAAAGAAGAGTTTATTTTAAAGCAAATAACTAAACTGTATTTTAACTTAGCACAATTAACTGCAGCATATTTACTTCATAGCCCCTTAACATGTCACTTTTACCAACAAAGCTTTTTCCTTCATATTCTAATCACAAAAATTTCTCAACAATTTATAACAATCTGTAAATCTGACCTTGCAATAAATAGTCATAAAACGTTATTTTTATTACTATTATTATTTTTAGAGACAAGGTCTCGCTCTGTTCCCCGAGCTGGAGTGCAGTGGTACAATCACAGCTCACTAGCCTCAAGCGATTCTCCAGCCTCAGCCTCCCAAAGTAGTGGGATTTCAGGCATGAATCACCACACCTGGCCTTGAAACATTATTTTTAAAGCCTAAATTCCAGTTGGTATGGTACCAAAATTTAGTTTAACTTCAAAATTCACAGTACTGCCGAGAAATGGGCGGGTCCTGAGGTTCCAGAGAAGTGGGGAGTGAATTCATTCCTGGTGGTTTTATTCTGGCAGCATGCATGGGAGATCACATGAGTTAGAGGGCTGTGGCCTGGTATCAACACTTCAAGCTGTTGTACTTTTACTTCAAGTTGAAACTTTTAAAATACATCTGTCATACAGATGTACAAATATATGTAAATGCAAACACATATACACACTTTTTGACAAAAGAATAATGGTAACACACACGAACCATTTTTGTAAACAGATTCTATTTGGTTAATAGAAGTATTCCTTCCATCAACCTATCGAAGTCCAAACCAACTACGAAGATAGGATGCTCATCCAGAAGAACGGGAAGGATTTTCTTCCTCATCTTTAGAAAGTAAAACAAAGAAAAAAAAAAGAAAAAAGAGAGTATTAAAATTTCTCAATGTAAAATCTATATTTTAGAACCACTCTACAATATAAGCAAATAATGTCTTTTTTACTGATCACATGCCTTTTTTGGTGGGGGGGGGGGTTCTTTTTTTTTTTTTTTTTTTTTTTTTTTTGAGATAGGGTCTTGCTCTGTCACCCAGGCTCGAGTGCAGTGGCGTGATGAGACTTCAATGCAGCCTTGATCTCCCAGGCTCAAGTGATTCTCCCACCTCAGCCTCCCAAGCAACTGGGACCACAAGGTGTGTACCACCATGCCTGGGTAATTTTTTGTTTTTTTGTAGAGATGCAGGTCTCACTGTTTTCCAGGCTGGTCTCAAATTCCTGGGCTCAAGTGATCCTCCCACTTCAGCCTCACAGTGTTGGGATTGCAGTCACGAGCCACTGTACCCAACCATATGTCATTCTTTAGACACACTGCTTACTAAATTTCTCTTTTTAAAGGATATACTGAATTTCCGGTTGAGCCAACTTAACAGCTAATTTTCTATTTTAGCTTTAAAACATTGATAAGCAACATGAAGCAATCTAGAACTTAACCTTTAAATGGCTTTATTAAAGCAATCCAGCTATGAAAATTATGCAGAAATGATTATCTACAAACAATCTTACCAGCACATAAGAAATTCTTCCTCTATTCTGAAATACCATCTTCTCACAATATACTTTGATGTTATGAATCAATGTCTGTTCTTGAACATTATTTATTGTCTTTCTCTATTAAACAATTCCAAAATAAAATTTCCAGCACAACTAAATATTGTTGACGATAAGAGGATTTTAAAAAAAATTCTTTTAAAACAGAAGCTTATATACAACTTAGAATCTAAAACCAATAGATTTATGGGAAACCTTAAAACTGAACCACAACAAACAAAAACCAAAGTTTTAATCATTTAAAAATCATGTTTATTGAGGTACAACTTACTTATAGTAAAACCTGCCCTTTTCAGCATATAGCACTGAGTCTTGACAAATGCACAGTTACGTACCACCACCGACCAAGGCCTGGCACATTTTCATCTCCTCAAAGTTCTCCCTGGCTGCTTCTCCCACTCCTTGGCAACCGCTAACCTGTTTTCTGTCCTTATAGTTCTGCTTTTTTCAGTGTCATATAAGTAGAATCACACTGTACATAGTATTTTGAGTCTGACCTCTGTCAACTGGCATAATGCATTTGAGAATTACCCATGTTGCTGAACTGGCAGTGCATTCTTTTTTATTGCTGAGCAGTATTCAATTGCACGGCTGTACCAGTTTGTTTATTCATTTGCCAGTTGAAGGATAACTGAGATCTTCCTCGTTTTTAGCAATTTTAAAGAAAGTTTCTACGAATAATTGTGTACAGGTTTTTAATTAAATGTTTTGGAGATATAATTCATATACCACATAATTCACCTTTTTAAAGTGCATAATTCACTGGTTTTTAATATATTCACAAGGTTTGTGCATAGGTTTTTGTGTGAATACTGGTTTTCATTCCTCTTGGATAAAGATTTAATTTGGTATTACCCTTCCAGACACCTTTCTGTGTTTTCATACGTATATATGTATGACAGTTTGACCTTAGGCAGAGTAGCATTTTCAAAATTTTACATGGGGAAACTTTCTAGAGTTACAAGTCATTTTATTTTTCTGTTCTGTCTGGTTTTATCTGCGTGTTATTTACAATCTGCTGCGTAACAAATTACTACAAACTTAGTACCTTAACACATATTTATTTCACAGTTTCTGTGGGTCAGGAGATCAGAAATGGTTCTATTTCAAGGTCTCTCACAGGGCTGCAATCAAGATGTTGGCATGGCTGGGGTCTCATCTGAAGGCTGGACTGGAGAAGAATCTACTTCCAAACTTATGTGGTAGTTGGAAGAATTTAGTTCCTCAAGGCTGCTAAACTGATGGCCTGTGTTCCTTGCCTCTGGGATGGTAGCTTGCTTCAACAAAGTGTGCAAGCAGAGAAGACAGAGAGAGGCCGCTAGCAAGATAGAAGCCACAATCTCTTGTAATCTATCATTCTTGCTGTATTCTACTGGTTAAACATAACTCATTAGGTTAGCCTACTGGCTCTCAAGGGGAAGAGATTATACAAAGGCATGCATTTCTGGAGGAGGGAATGAGGGCAAACAATTCTGAAAAGTCTGTCTTCCACAACCTGAAGAACTTCTAGAAAGTAGGAGGAAGCGATATTGCTTAGGGATGGACAACTTGGCACTGGTTATGTGTTCCAAGTGAGGTAACCTTGTTCCCAAGAATAAAGAGAACCAGACGACTGTAAACATTTCCCTAAACTGAAATGCAGACTGTTGTATGTTCACCTGAAATGAATGGTGTAAGCTGAATATAAGATTTTTGACAAAATAAAAATTTTGCTGTGTTCTCAGATCTGGCAGGCTCCTGCCCTTGTGCAAACAATGTTCCTGGCAGCTATTCATCTCCTTAGGTAAATAAGAATTGGAGAAAAGCTGTGCTTAGATAGGGTGCATTTGCTCTTGCCTTGGAAGGCTGTTTTCTGATAAGGTTCTATATCCTCTGCAAATCAAATCAGGCACTTACAGTGTGAGTATGCATTCTCTTCCTGCCAGTCTGGAGATGATCAAAAAGCCTATAACAGGCTTGGCCTATTTTCCTATTGGGTTGCTGGGCTTTTTTTCTTTATTTACTTGTAGAGAGTTTTAGACCTCTGTGTATGTATGGTGTACAAGTGACAATATTCAGATCTGTAAACTGTAACCCAGTCTGGGAGCAAAGAAGATATAGAAAAATGACTTTTACTTCCAGCTTTAGTAGTAAAATTGAGATTCAAATTTTGCATATAGAAGTACTATATGGCTAACTTATTTGGGGAGCAAAGCTGACTTACCATAAGTCTATCTCAAATAGAAATGAAACACTCAATTTGTGAAATATGCTGAGTTTTAATGCGTGTGGGGGCAGGGTGAATTAACATTTGTGATGCAAGGAGAAGAGCAATCTATACTTACCACTGTCTATTTGACATTGGGGACTACTGCTACACTCTAAGTCATTTTACCTTATAACGCAGAGTTGTAACACGCTACTCTGAGCAGCTCATGACATCTGCTTGAAATTTAAGTTGGGCCCCTAATATGTGTTTATTATAAAGATTTTGATGCTGCTTTTCAGAGTTGGGTAACCTACTTTACCCCCCTAAGCTAATGTTTCCCAAATACACCCAAACCCACAGAAAGGAAAACTATTCCTCATTAACTCACAGCCAACATCATAAACATTTTATATCTAGAGCTGATGATACAGTCAGGTATTTACCAACACTCATGTATATATGTAGAGTTTCAAGAAATAATTGCTTATCCTTACCAGATTCAACATATTCTAACGTTTCACATATTATTTTTATTTCTTAATATTTTTTTAAAGATGGGGTTTTACTCTGTTGCCCAGGCTGAAATGCAGTGGCGTGACCAGGATTTCGACCAGAAGTTTGACTGCAGCCTCGAACTCCTTCTAACAAACAATCCTGCTGCCTTAGCCTCCCGAGTAGCTAGGACTATGGGCACATGCCACCAGATCTGGCATATTTTAAAATTTTTGTAGACATAGGGTCTCGCCATGTTGCCCAGGCTGATTCTGAACTCCTGTTCTCAAGCAATCCTCCTGCCTGGTCTTCCCAAACTGTTGGGCTTACAGGTGTGAGTCATTGAGCCCAGCTTGTATTCTTTTGATTTAAAAAAAAAATATCCTGAATGTGATCCACCAAATTAATTTCACCATCCACTAATAGGTAGCAACCTGAATGAAAAATACTGTTATAAACTTTACACAAAACCAGAGATTATAAACATTTGCCTCCAAGGAGATGAGAGAGGCAAAAGGTACTTGTTTGCTCTGATGGGCCCTGTTTCCTTCAGTGCCAGGAAGAGTGGCTCTCAGACCTTTCTTCTGGCATCCCTCATGTATGCAGTGTTGGTTATTATTTTCAAGGCCTTGGTAACAAAATGCCCCTAGTGTGACCAGTCAGACTGACAGTCCATATCTGTAATATGGTGGTAAGTTTCCTTTGCATGTCTTTCTTTCTGGCATCTTAGACCTTTTACCTAGGAAATTTTCTTTTTGCTTGAAGTACATCATTAAGAATTTCCAGTGAAGGCAGATTCTTAAAGTTTTTGTTTTCCAGAAGAGATCTTGGAAAATATAAAAGGTTGGCAGTTATTTCTTTTAGTACATGAGATAGTATTACACCAATGCTGTTGAGAAGTCTATTGTGAGGCAATGTGTCTTCTTTCTCTGGCTGCTTTTGAGATTTCTCTCTGTCTTTTTTAGGGGCAGTTTTACTCTTATGTGACTAGAAGTAGATTTCTTCTTTTTTTTTTAATACTGCTTGAGATTTTACTGGGTTTTTGAATCTGTGGATAGATATCCTTCAACAGTTCTGAAAGATTTCCAGCCATTCTCTTCATATATTATCTGTGCTGTATTCTTGTCTCTCCTTTTAGAACTTCGATTAGTAAAAACATGTTTGATGTCTTTTCCCACTCTTGTTTTTTGTTTCTCCCATGCTGAATTCTGTGTAATTTCTTTTGAACCATCTTGTAGTTTACATTCTTTTTTTTTTTTTTTTTTTTGAGATAGGAGTTTTGCTCTTGTTGCTTGGGCTGGAGTGCAATGGCACCATCTCGGCTCACTGCAACCTCTGCCTCCTGGGTTCAAGCAGTTCTCCTACCTCAGCCTCCCAAGTTGCTGGGATTACAGGCATGCGCCACCATGCCCGGCTAATTTTTGTATTCTGAGTAGAGACGGGGTTTCACCATGTTGGCCAGGCTGGTCTCGAACTCCTGACCTCAGGTGATCTACCCTCCTCGGCCTGCCAAAGTGCTGGATTACAGGTGTGAGCCACCGCACCAGGCCTTACATTCTCTCTCTTAAAGAGAGAATGTAAGGTATCTAAATCTGCTGCTAAACCATCATTGTTTTTAATTGTAATAAGGTCTCTTTTATGTACTCACATTGATAAGAGACAAGTAGGAAATAATCTTTAAAGGGCAAACTAATGTAAATGTGTTTTCCTGTCTGTTTACAGGACTTAGCAAATGCACATCTTAGAGTTCTGGGTTTCTAATGTGTATCTCCTCTATGAAATTCTTTAAAAATATCTGTTATTGGTATCCCTTAGGTTAGTCTCTTTTAGAACTTCTAAATCAATGGACCCTTAACTTATAGGAGCCACCTGGACGTTAGCAACACCTACATTAAACATGCTGAGCTTTTAAAAGAGGCCTGTTAGACATGCTGAGTATTTTGAGATAGTATCATTGTTGTATTGAAAACTATTGAAAACTTTAATTTTAAAATGCAAACGTTCTTAAAGTCCTGGTTAATTTTATAACTATAAAATTAGTTATAATTTTGAGATTTCTGTCTTGTTTTTTATAAGGGCAGTTTTACTCTTAGGTGACTAGAAGTAGATTTCTTCTTTTTTATAACTATAAAATTAGGTTTACTTTTGTTAGAATAAATTAAAGACAGTGAATTTGTAATTTGAATAAGTATTAAAAATATACATGATGTATTCTTATTTGGGCCCTTGTGACAAAAATACTATTGTGGCTATAGAAACCTATCCTATAGTTTGAAGAACTGAGATTACTGTCAGTATTGAGAACATTCCTCCTTCATCATTAGAAAGATTATTAAAAACCAGATTCAAAGAAACTATCAATACTACTTATGAAGTATGTCTGTAAAAAAAATTAAGCCTGAATCTTATCAGGCCTCTAGACCGGGGGTTCTCAAGGTATGGGCCCCAGACCAGAAGTATCAGCAACAAATTGCTAAAAATGCAGAATCTTGGGTCAGAAATTGGGGACCAGCAATTGGAATTTTAGTAAGTATACCAGATGATTCAGATGCCTGCTCAATTTTGAGGATGACTCTTATCAGTTTAGTTATTAGGGTTTACAGGGGATGGGGAACATGTTAAAGAACACCAACTAGATAAGGTCAATCAGTCAAAAGTAAGTTGTCTGGACATTCTGGGCCTCCTCATGTCTTAGAAAGCACACAATACCATCTATGATGTATTTTTGTCCACCATCCCACCCAATTGCACCTGGATCTTCCTATTTATAGGCAATTGGAACAAGCTCAGTGTTACCCTGTAATGATTAAAACCCAAATATAGAACTGCTATAGCATAAATGACCACTTTCTTCAATTAATAAGTGGCACATTAAAAATATACTTATATATATAATTGTTATAGATAAAAAAACAACAAAATGACTGGGCGTGGTGGCTCACACCTGTAATCCCAGCACTTTGGGAGGCCAAGGCGGGCAGATCACAAGGTCAGGAGATTGAGACCATCCTGGCCAACATGGTGAAACCTCGTCTCTACTAAAAATAGAAAAATTAGCTGGCGTGCATCTGTAGTCCCAGCTACTTGGGAGGCTGAGGCAGGAGAATCACTTGAATCCGGGAGGCGGAGGTTGCAGTGAGCCATGATCGGACCACTGCACTCCAGCCAGGGTGACAGAGCAACACTACGTCTCAAACAAACAAAAACACAACAACAAAATAAAGCTTAAGGAATATCAACCAAATGCAATATATGAGCCCTATTTAGGATACTATAAAAAGACATTCACAATAACACAGGCAAAATGAACATAAACTAGGTATAGGTGACAGAGAAATCCAATAAACATTGAATTATTCACTGGGGAAAGAAATGATGTGTGGGATTTAAGTCTCTAACTCTCCCCTATTTACGCCAAAAGATTGTCCATGAGTTGAAAACTGTTAGAGATGGGTGACAACTCAAGAGAGATTATAGCGTCTTCCTTGTGCTTGTAAATGTCAAAAATAAAAGTAATTTAAAACTAAAACAAAAACGAAACCATAATTCTTAAGATGCAGCTTGAATTCAGTTAACTATAGCAGTTGTATATGAAGCATTTCAAAGAAGTTAATGACATCACAGTATTAAATCCATCTGACATGGAAACCAACTCTAACTACATCATAGTTTTTTTTTTTTTTTTTTTTGAGATGGAGTCTCGCTCTGCCGTCAGGCTGGAGTACAGTGGCGTGACACATCACTGCAACCTCCGCCTCGTGAGTTCAAGCGACTCTGCTGCCTCAGCCCCCTGAGTAGCTGGGACTACAGGCGCATGCCACCACGTCCAGCTAATTTTTGTATTTTTAGTAGAGACGAGATTTCACCATGTTGGCCAGGATGGTCTCGGTATCTTGATCTTGTGATCCGCCTGCCTCGGCCTCCCAAAGTGGTGGGATTATAGGCGTGAACCACCGGCGCCTGGCCTATGGCACAGTTTTAAAACTGCATTTGCCTAGAAAGTGGACTGCTGTATATAGACCAAGTGTTGGGCTCTATGGCTCCATTGTCTTAGGCTATTTGGGGTTGGAGGAAGGAAGAGGCGTGAAGTAGAAAAGGAACAAGCTAATAAATGCTTTTTAAAAAGTAGAATTTAAAACAAAACCACGTTCAGCTGAACACCAGAACTCAACACCAGGATAAAAATCCAATTTTCAAAGAGCTAGAAGATCAAGCTAAGCACTTATTGTATTTTGCTGAACGTTAAAATTATATAAATGTACTACAGTTGCCTCAAGATGTTAAAAAGTCAGCTTTTCAAATCTAGTCACGGCCTACTCATATGACAGACCCAATTCAAATGAGCAAAATTGAAAAGTTACACATACAGACAACTTCTCAACCACCAGGCTGTTTAGTTTAAGTTAGAAGTCAGAAGTTCTGAGACTCTCCTTTTACCCACCTTGAGCAACCGCAGCAAGTTTTCCCTTTTCTTCAGGGCTGAGCTGCAACATCGTATTTATAACAGGAAGAAGTCTCTCTCTTTCACTACCTGGCTTCAAGAAAATGAACTGCAGCAAGACGTTCTTCAAGTATTCCAGGTTAGCTGCAGACTTCTCTCGCTCTTGATTCCTTTCCAATCTTCTTATTTCACTTTTGAGAAGCTGGTGTTAGAGAAATGAGTTAAAAATGGGCTTTAGGAGCTTCTGATTAAATATGGCAGACTGAACTCATGTATTTTTCTTCTCTTCCCCCCAAATTTCCCCCTTCCCTCCATATGGCAATAAAGGAAGGAATTCAGTTAACTACAGCAGCTGCATGTGAAGCATTTCAAAGGAGTTTATGACATCACCGTATAAAATCCATTTGACATGAAAACCGGAACTCCAACTATGAGATAGTTTCAAAGCTGCATTTGCCTAGAAAGTGGATTGCTGCATATGAACCAAGTGTTGGGCTATAGGACTCCATTGTCCTAAGCTATTTGGGGTTGGAAGGAAGAGGGGCGAAGTAGAAAAGCAACAAGCTAATACAAGAGGAGAAAAAGTAGATGAGACACATCAAGAAATTCTCACGAGAAACAGATGAAGAGGTGGAAATGAGTCAGTCCAGCAGCTTACCAAGTATCACTGACAAGAGGAGAGGATGCATCCTGTGTAAATACTGGGGTTCTTGTCTCAGAAGCACAGGGTATCATGGAAATGGAGTTGAAAGCTGGGGAACTGATGGAACGTCTCCATGAGGAGCAACTAACTGGAGCCATGGGTTGGTACCAAGATGTTCCCTCTGCCTTCTACTTTCGATAGAAACTAAGCCAGTATGGCATGGGGCTCTGAAAATGGGCTGAGGGGAACATCGGCAGCCTCCACTAACCCCCTGCCCCTACCCTGTTCCTAAAGTCCCAGGCAGTTAAGACGTCCACAGTGAACGGCACTTAATCAAAACAAAAGTTAGACACAGTGAAAATTCAGGAATATAAGACAATGTAAAACACTATCAGAGAAATGAGGCAAAGAACAATATAAAAAAGGTAATATCATGTTCAAGTCTTTGAGGAAGATTTCCAGGTTGAAACCAAGCCATAGCTTTTAGTATATTTTCATTTTAGGTTAGGCAAGAAAGTTAGCGAACTTTGTCCTCAAACCTAGGACCATTTAAAAAAGTGACAATAAAGAAGACGAAGAAATCATGAAGAGAGTATAAATTTATGAAAATATAACATTTGGCCAGGCGTGGTGGCTCATGCCTGTAATCCCAACACTTTGGGAGGCTGAGGCAGGCAGATCACGAGGTCAGGAGATTCAGACTGTCCTGGCCAACATGGTGAAACTGTGTCTCTAGTAAAATAAAAAAAATTAGCCGGGCATGGTGGTGCATGCCTGCAGTCCCAGCTACTCGGGAGGCTGAGGCAGGGGAATCGCTTGAACCTGGGAGGCGGAGATTGCAGTGAGCTGAGATTGCACCACTGCACTCCAAACCTGGTGACAGAGCGAGACTATCTCAAAAAAAAAAAACAAGAAAATATAACATTTAAATAAGTCATTTAGGTTTACTGGGCTAGTTAGTGATTTGTTAGCTATGATAATGTTTTTATTAGTGGGAAAATGTTATTTTATAGAGATGCATACTGAAGTATTTAATGGTGGAATGTCATGATATATACAATTTACTGAAAATAACTGAATTCGGCTTTAAAATAATCTGACAAGGATAGCTAGTGGCCTTGCACAGTGGCAGGACAGATCTATTAGGAGCAGCAAAGTACAGGGGAAAAGCATGTACTTTTCAGACAGCTATGAGTTTGAATTTTGTTCCACCATTTACCAGCTTCAATTTTTCTCTCAACCAGTGATGAGATTAAATAATGTATGTAAAGCCCAGGGCCTGGGTCATAAGAACTCCTCAACAAGCAGTATGACTATATTCTGAGGGGTGATTTATCAGTGAGCCAGGGTGGAAAAACCTCATTTGAGTAATCCTCAACTGTTCTGCAACATTCCTAGATGTTTCTGGTGTCTACTTTAAACAGGAAAAACTTCCCATGCCACTTTGCCATCTCCACCTGAAAACTGTTTAGTAGTTCAGTACTATAAATATCAGTTGAATAATTTAAATTCACTGGTTATCTTTAGAATTCAAAGACTCACACCCATTTTTTATTTAAGCATATGTGAACAATGATTTGTGAACATCTCTCTAGTTTCTAAATCTATTACGGTTTCTTAGGAAAAGTAGGAATTAAGAAATAATCTTTATGTAATAGGTGTAAAAGAAGTATTTTGGCTGGATGCGGTGGCTCACACCTGTAATACCCGCACTTCGGGAGGCCAAGGCAGGTGGATCACGAGGTCAGGAGATCGAGACCATCCTGGCTAACATGGTAAACCCTGTCTCTACTAAAAATACAAAGAAATTAGCCAGGCATGTTGGCGGGCACCTGTAGTCCCAGCTACTCGGGAGGCTGAGGCAGGAGAATGGCGTGAACCTGGGAGGTGGAGCTTGCAGTGAGCTAAGATCGTGCCACTGCACTCCAGCCTGGGTGACAGAGCAAGACTGTCTCAAAAAAAAAAAAAAAAAAAAAGGCAATATTTCTCACCATCAGGAATCTAATATAAAGATCAAGACGTTATAGATGCATCTGCAATGTGAATTTTTAAACTTGGGTGCATGTGTATGGAAGGTCCAGAAAACCAAACTGGCGGTTTTCACGGTGGCCAGGTTTTCTGATCTCACCTTAATTTGCTCCATAAGGACTGCATTGGTTGCCTCTATTTCCCGAAGCAGGCCGTTTAAGTGATCTGCACTTTTTGTGGTGGAACGGAGCTTCTGAACCAATTCTTCTTTGGTAAATTCAGCATGCCATAATGGAGGCTCTGCAAGATGTTGTTCCAAGAATTAATTTTCAAAATCATACATTACAGATGAAGATTCTAAATAAGAAAAATCTAAATATAAATATCTTACTATGTGATATTTTATAGGTCTGCTTTCTTTGCCATTCATCTATTCAGCATACCTCAATCAACAGATTATATGTTGTAGGTGACACAAATAAAACAGTATCTCTGTTGTAAAGCATGTAATCTAACTGAATAAAGCCCTATGAATCCCAGTTCTGAAATTTGTCAGAATTGTGTTTATAGACAGTTTTATTACACATCTTCTTCCCATCTATTAATATTCCAAGATTTTATGTCATTTCACGTATAAGGAAAGCATTAACATTTACTGGTCACGTATCATGTTCCCTCATAAGAATCTTCTATCAGGCGGGGTAGGTATCATTATTCAAAGTTTACAGATGATGAAACAGGCTCACAGTTGACAGGTAATTTTTTCAGAAATCACAAAGTCAAATTGGCTTCTGGAGTCTGCTGCTCTATCATGATGCCTCCGTGTCACCACTATTAACTTTGCCTGAAGGAACCATGACTTGCAGTTTCTACCCCACGTGGTCAGTGACCATGAATACAAATGACCCTTACTCCAGGTGATTCTGAAGTTTCAGGAAGATGACAGATTCCCCCTAAATTTTGAACAGTAATATTAATTACAAGTAATAAAATATACCAAAACATCACTACAAAAATTTAGCATTACTTCATCAAGAGGAATAAACTGAAACTGTCAGTTTCTTGGAAGGGTGAGAGGATAGTTTATCCTGCTTTCTAATACCCACCACCTATTTGTGACTATAAACTTCCCACCACTTATTTATGGTTCAAGCCTAGGGCAAGAGCTAGCATTTTATTTTAAAAAAGATTTGTTTAATAATTTTTCCATTTGGACAGTGTGATGGTTAATACTGGGTGTCAACTTGATTGGATTAAAGGATGCAAAGTATTAATCCTGAGTGTTGTCTGTGAGGGTGTTGCCAAAGGGATTAACATTTGAGTCAGTGGGCTGGGGAAGGCAGACCCACCCTTAATCTGGTAGGTGCCATCTAATCAGCTGCCAGCGAATATAAAGCAGGCAGAAAAACCTGAAAAGGCGAGACTGGCCTAGCCTCCCAAGCTACATCTTTCTCCTGTGCTGGATGCTTCCTGCCCTTGAACATCAGACTCCTAGTTCTTCAGTTTTGGAACTTGGACTGGCTCTCGTTGCTCCTCAGTCTGCAGATGGCCTAGTGATCGTGTAAGGTAATACTTAATAAGCATCCATCCATCCATCCCATCCATCCATCCAACCATCCAATTAGTTCTGTCCCTCTAGAGAACCCTAATACAAACAGGTAGTGGAATATTGAAAGAAATTTTATTGGAGCAGCCCAAAAAAGCATATGTACCTTAGAGTAATAGTAATTAAATAAGACAGTGAAATTAAAGAAGAAGAACATATTTAGACAGAGTAACAGACCAAGTTTAGTTTCGGGAGAATTAAGCAGCTGCTCTAAAGACTGTGTGTATGTGCTGGCGGAAGACACAGACTCCGTATCAGTTGTCTCCATGCCTTCTCCCTCTTCCCGGGTTACAGTGTGCATGTCTAGAAGCGGGAGGTCTGTGTTTCTCCTTTCTCGAAGGTTCTTCAAAGATTGTTGAGAGGAAACTGGGCCTATTAGATTTTTTTTAAAGGTTAAGTGTGAGATTGTTCAAAATCTATTGATTCGGCCTTACAGAGGTACACAATAAAATGAAAATATCAAATGATAAGAGTAGAGGAATTAAGTAACTATAAGTGAAAGGTGTATGAAGAATTGCTAAAACATTTCTTAAAATTTAGTCATCAAGGCCGGGCGTGGTGGCTCAAATCTGTAATCCTAGCAGTTTGGGAGGCTAAGGTGGGTGGATCACGAGGTCAGCAAGTTCAAGACCAGCCTGGCCAAGATGGTGAAACCCTATCTCTACTAAAAATACAAAAATTAGCCAGGCACAGTGGCAGGTGCCTGTAATCCCAGCTGCTGGGGAGGCTGAGGCAGAGAATTGCTGGAAACCAGGAGGCGGAGGTTGCAGTGAGCCAAGATCACGCCACCGCACTCCAGCCTGGCGACAGAGCGAGACGCCAGCTCAAAAAAAAAAAACAACAAAAAAAAACTTACTCATCAAACTTTTAACTACGTTAGTCATTTTAATAGCAGCTATAAATTAATTGCTACTAGCTAAGATAAACTGTTAGATAACACAGCTCATAATATAGTACTACTTATTTTTTATTAATTTAGAGTAGAGGGCCAAACTACTGCTAAATACTGGCCAAAATTAAAAGACTAGATTCTAGAAATTTTTCAGGATTAGGTATTTCAGATTGCTGCATACTTCTTGAAACACACTTGCTGAAATCTGCTTGGTAGACATCCTCAATCACTGCCCTTATACCTTTACCTCTGCAGCTTCTTAATTGTTGCTGCTCACACCTACAGTGCTCATACAGTTAAGAGCCCAGAATCCAGGGCACGGAACTAATCAATTACATTGCCTAGCAAGACTTTCCTGTTTGCTGATAAACTGTAAAGTGTTATTTTTTCTGAGACAGGGTCTCACTCTGTCACACAGGTTGGAGTGCAGTGGCACGATCTTGGCTCACAGCAACCTCTGCCTCCCAGGCTCAGGCCATCCTCCCACCTCAGCCCCACAAGTAGCTGGGACTTCCAGGTGCATGCCATCCCGCCCAGATAATTTTTGTACTTTTAATAGAGATGGGATTTCACCATGTTGTTCAGACTGGTCTCAAACTCCTGGCCTCATGTGATCCAACTGCTTTGGCTCCCAAAGTGCTCAGATTGCAGGGGTGAGACACCACGCCTGGTCTAAACTGTAAAGTTTACCAGGCCCTTTGACATGTATTGGTTTATTGACTCCCAAAAATCTGAAGTTCAGAGAAATTTAATGACTTTGCCCAAGGTCTCATAACTGAGTTAGAAACCAGAATTGTAATCTAGATTTTTATTTAAACTTCAGATTTCATTTATTTTGCATTTCATTAAATTGCCTTAGTCCTGACTGCCCTTTCTGAAGCATTTTCCTGGGTTTCTGGTAAGCTGACTGCTTATTCCACTGCTGATTGCTAGATTACAATCTCTTGTGCGACCTTTGCCCTGGCTGATTACTTCCTTTGTTGATTCTTTGGCATATATTAAATTCTTCTGAAGTTGCTTTTTTACCCTAATAAGTGACCGATAGCTGCTAATGCTCCAGTGACAATATTTCCCATGGGAAACCAAAACACCATCAACTTGCTACTAAAATACTGCATCATCATGGCTGACATTTTTCCATTTCTTCCTGGAAGCAGAATGGAAGATACTGGGTACGGCTGAACTAAAACTCCAACTAATTGTAAATGTGAAAGCAAAGAAGCTATATTGGTTATGCAATTCTACACATTCAGTGCCGCTTGAGTGTTTCTAAGTTCCTTGCTCTAGCTAATGTTTCTATTTAAAAAGTAGACAAATTTGATGACTAACAACGGAGAACACGAAACAAATCTGGTGAATACCAGAATTAAGACATGTGTCAGCCAGGCGCAGTGGCTCATGCCTGTAATCCCAGCACTTTGGGAGGCCGAGGCGGGTGGATCACGAGGTCAGGAGACCGAGACTATCTGAGGGAGAATCTTCAGGTTTTTTCTTCTCTTTTGCTGTAACACCAGTCAAAAAAATTGACAAAGATAAGGTATTAAGTATTGACGTTAATACTCTACCTGAAAATAAAAACCATGGAACCTATCTATAGGTTAAAACAGCATACTGATAAAAAACACATATACTTTGATGCAGAGATGTACGATAATCATGAATTAGAATTAGCATCCTGATTTAGTGTTCTACCAAAAACCCTAAGTGAACACAGAATCTATTTAAAACCAAAGAAAACAAAAAAAATCTTGTGTTTACTTAATAGTCATTGAAAAGAATTACTACAAAATTTCTAGAATTTAAAAAGGTTAAAAATTTTAAAGTGTTGCCTAACTATACTTAGCATACAATAGTTTACCAAAATATCCACGCATTTGCAGCAATTGAAAAAAATCTTAAAACATAAGCAAGTATTAGTATACATATGAAACTAATCCAAAGCCAACTGTGATTAGTTCCTGTAAGGAAAGTTAACAATTGCCAAGAATGGAAGGTGACTAGAGTTGCATCTAGTTTGCCTGTGTTCAAGCATGATACTAGATAAAATTAAATAAAAACTGTGACTCTATGGGTAGCTAACACTATAAAATCTAAGACCATTCATATGGCTGAAAACAACCCATCCCCAGCCACCATCAATGCAAAGGGCAAAAAATTAGAAACAGAAAAAACTTCTATATGCAACCTGTTCTGATCTATTAATGTAAAGAAGAACTTCTGGCTAAAGGAGTTTAATAAAGTAAGCCAGTTATGAAGCATGCCATGTATACCAACTGGTGACAGGGAAACATTCTGAGAGCTATGGTGTCCAATATGGTAGCCTAGCCACATTCTATTAAAACCTCACAAGGTGGCTAGTCCAAATCAAGACATGCTAACAGTAAGTGTAAACACACACACTGGATTTTGAAGACTTGGTGAAAAACAATAATGTAAAATATCGTTAATTTTTATATTAATTAGAAGTTAAAATGATATTTTGGACATAATGAGTTAAATCAAATCTATCAATAAAGTTACTTTCATCTGTTTCCCTTTTTAACTGTTTCTTTTTATTCTTTTTAATATGGCTACTAGAAAATTTATTTATTTATGTATTTATTTGAGATGCGGTCTTCCTTTGTCACCTTTGTCACCCAGAGCTGGAGTGCAGTGATGTGATCATAGTTCACTGAAGCCTGGAACTTGTGGGCTCAAGTGATCCCTCTGCCTCAGCCTCCCAAGTAACTGGGATTATAGGCACAAGCCATTGCACCAAATGACAATTTTAAATTACATACACAGGTTATATTTTATTTCTATTGGATGACACTGCTCTGCAGAACCAGTGCCCTTCCTTTTACAATGTTAAATCTGTCCCTCTCCTTCATTATAAACAAAAACTTAGTATCATTTCCTAGCTAGGAGAAATAACAGTACACCATAAGATACAGATTCTTGTTCCACTTCTGCTATTACTCAGTAAAGACCCCTTGGGTAAATCAGATAGCCTCTCTTGGCCTCAGTTTACTCATGTCTAAAGTCTTCATTTCTAAGGTCCCTTGGGACAATGACATTATCAGATTCAAAACAGAATAAGGCTCTATGTTCTACAGTAGTGTATAGGCACATTCGTTCTTAGCTCAGGGATTCTTAACCTAGAGCTCACAGAAACTGTACGCAAGTATACATCCACTTTTAAGTTAACACTTTTCACATTTCTCAAAGACCGTATCTTTAAAATAAAAGATTAAGAGCTACCTTAGCTGGTAATAAAACTGGTATACTTAAAAAAAAATCAGAGATTGTTACTTTATCATTGTACTTGTTTGGCATGGCTAAGATGTGTTACTGGTCACTAAGGGTGAGATTTCACTTCCCTAACCTGTTCTTGAAGGCCTTCAACAGATCCCACTTCTTGTTCCACTCTAGTAGCCACACTTCTAAAAATGATCTGTGCAACATATATAATATGCAAGCTGTAGAATGCTGGCTGTTAAAAATGGGGTCCATTTTCAAATACAACATTTTTCTAAACCATGCACAAAAGAACAGCCCTACAGGGACACTCTTCCATACTGTATACATGCCGTTGCCACTACATGTGAATACTGGCAGACGTTAGTGGCTAAAGATAAACATTAGATAAAACATAGGTCTTCATTGAGCAGACCTGAAATAGCAGAGCAATGAAGTACATTACAAATCAGCATCCCACTACATTTTAAAAAACAAACCAACAAGGGTGTCATGCCACCAGTCAAAAGGTACTTTGCTTAAACTGGCATTCTTTAACATGCATGTTGTAGTGGTAAGTACTTCATTTCATACAGCCACAGTAATTAATACTTTGCTAAGGGCTACCCAGCTGCTAAAAACTGCTGTTATCTCATACTGAGAATGCTAGTTCTATACCTTTGCTCTCAGGCTGTGAGGAAGGGGTGCTAGTCCAAAAGGCCATGGGATTAGATTTAAAAAGGCTAAAATTAAATCCTAGAAAATAAAGAATATTTCATTTTTTAACATTTTAGGAAACAAAATGAATATGCTTTTAAAACATAAAAAGCCAGAATCCCTCAATTTATACCACCAATCTGACTGTCTTACATATTCATTTATCCCTGTAGTTTCATTCTTTGCTCATTTAATACATGAGCAAGACTGACATACAACACATAAAATGAGAACATCTCAATATCATGTTTTTTTTTGTTTTTTGTTTTTTGTTTTTTTTGGAGACAAAGTCTCACTCAGTCACTCAGTCAGGCTGGAGTAAGTGGCATGATTTCAGCTCACTGCTACCTCCATCTCCTGTGCTCAAGCGATCCTCCTGCCTCAACCTCCTGAGTAGCTGCTAATTATAGGCACGCACCACCATGCCCGGCTCATTTTTGTATTTTCAGTAGAAACAGGGTTTCACCATGTTGGCCAGGCTGGTCTCGAACTCCTGAGCTCAAGTGATCTGCCCACCTCAACCTCCCAAAGTGCTGGCATTCTAGGAGTGAGCCACCGTGCCCAGCCTCAATATCATGTTTTCTGAGTGACAAAAGAAACAGAACAAATGAAAATGAACACTTTAAAAAAAGACTCACGTTAATGCGCATGATTCAAGCATGACTCCGTACACTGTACCAAGTTCTTTTGCTCTGCCCTAGCATGATAGAAGTATCTTCCAGTTACTGAAATGTCTTTAACTAAGTTCTCTTGCTCTTTGAAACCTCACCGAGAACTTATTAAGGGAGAAAAAAAATTGCTCAAATATTTTGGGGGTGTTCACAAAGCATCGTTTATATCCCAACATTAGTATCCCACAAAGAGTCTGCATCAAGCTAAACATTAAAAGAAAGAAAAATTGTGCTTAACTTTAACAACAAAGTACCTACCCTTTTCTGGTGTTTTAAATGTGTAGTTGATTGAAGATTCTTCCGTTGGAAAGGAAGCAGAGAGATTTTTGACTTTGCTATCTGAAGACTGTTCGATATCAGAGTTCTTTGACAGTTCACATTTTTTAGGTTCCACTTTGCTTTCAGATCCACTCTGGGCTACTGAACTAGTTTCACTATTGTTACTTTTCAAAGGTGCATTAAAACTAAATCCAAACAAAGACCCAGTGGCAGAACTGTTGCCAAATGCAAATGGTTTTGATTTTTCACTACTAAAAATTCTTTTAACAGACTCTGAAACAAATACAAACTTTGGAGGAGAAACCACTGCTTTTGTTGTTGTTTCAGATGTGCTAGACACTTCAACTTCTGAAGCTGCATCTGCTACATCATCACCCTGAATAACATCTGTCCTCTCTCTTGTGATTTCTTCTAATACAGCTACAGCAATTTTGCCACATGGTGACTCTCTGGGAGTGCTTGACCGAGAAACATGAGGTGTTATCAAAGAATCTTTTTCCTGGGCTGTTTTTGCTTCATCAAAAATTTTCTTAAACGAGTCTGCAACATCCTGTAGTTTAAAACGAACAGCTAAATGCTCTACTTTTCTTTCTCCATCTGCAAAATCACATGCAGTCCACACCCATACTCTTTCTGTCCCTTTCATATTTTGCAAACTCATGTCTGGAGTTATTCTGTGATTGGCACAAAGTTTTAATACTTGGTCCCTTCTCATCACTATACGAACTTGCTTATTATCATAATTCTGTAAAATCTTTATATCACCAATGCCCCTTTCTTTCCATTGACCAACATCTTTATCATATCTGTAGATTTCTGCCCTGTGACTAAAAACAACTTGTTCATTTTCCTCACCACTGGATACTTCAACTAGATCAGGTAAAGGAACAACAGGTTCAAAGTACTGTCCATCTCTCTCTTCTTCTTGAGTAACAACAGATTCTTCATCAGTGCCAACTGAAGTCCCACTCTGATTCAACTTGGCAGGAGACTTAGATAGACTCAAAGCAGATTTAAAACTGAAGTTAGATCCTGTTGTTGACTCATCAAAGCGGAAAAGATTTTTTCTCACAGGGCTACTTGCCAATGGAGAAGCATGTACTGAGCTACTACTGACACTATCATCCAAAGCATCTTCCCTTAAGTCATAGTTATCCCATTCTAATGTGGGCCCAGTGTTTTCAGCATTGGGTTTTATTGTTGTGTCTGAGGCACCGGCCACACCTGTACCTGAACCCTTATTTTCTTCCTCAGTGACTTTTGTTTGATCATTTGTCAAAAATGTTTTGAAATCTTTCAGTCCACTCTTCATTTCTTCAGCTCTCTGTATTAACTTGGCAGCTCTGCCAGTATCTACAAGTTTATGGGGAGTTTGAAGTGGTATGTCTAACAGAAGCCGCTGGCATTCCTCAAATTTCTGCTTGAATTCTTCAGCCAGCTCTGGTGTTTTAAATTTTGCTGCCAACCGCTCTAGTTTGGCATCACCATCAGAGAAATCACTGGCTGACCACATCCATGCTCTATCTGATCCAGAGAGGGGCTTCAGGTTCATTGTAGTCGTTATCCAATGATTAGCACACACTTTTAGTACTTGTTCTCTTCGCATCAGCATTCTTAGTTTGCCATTGACCTCGTTTTTGAGAATTTTTAAGTTCCCCAAGCCCCTTTCTTTCCACTGCCTTACCTCAGCATCAAATCTAAATAGTTTTACCCCCTGTGAATACAGAACTTTTTCACCTTCTTCTCCTGTTACAAGTTCTACTTTTTCAGGCATTTGAACTACTGGTTCAAAATGGATGTCATCGCTGTCCTCAGTCTTATAGGCATCATCATCTTTCTCAAAGTCACCGGAAGTGTTTGCTTTATTGGCCATTTTACCGTATCGTGATGAGAATAATTTTTCTCCAGCACCTGAAAATCCCTTGAAATTGAGGTCTTTTTTGCCAAACTGAAATCCTTCTCCTGAAGTTGATTTTGCAACATCTGCAAATGTAAAAGTGCTACTTGTTTGGCCAAAAATCACACCACGGCCCTTCTTCCGGCCCCTAATATCCTGAGCCTGTAAGCCAGTATCATTTTCAAGAGGCTTTTCCCTTTTCTTTTCTTGATTTCCTGGTTCCGAAATGCCAAATTTAAATCCATCAGCAGACACAGGGATGGAAAATCCTTCTTTGGTTGACTTAAATTCTGTATTAGAAGAACCCTGAAACATAAATGAAGGTGAATTTTCTTGATCCACATGCCCAAAATAGTCATGAAATAAATACCTTCTTCATTCCTAAACAATTTATCAAATGATGTTAACAATAATGATGATGATGATGATGATAACATTTATTGAGCATTCATTAATGTGCCAGCTGGGCACTGTTCTAAGCACTTTACATTATTATCTCATTTTAATATCCTCAAAAACCCTATGAATTAAGGTATTATTATTATCCTCATTTTACATATAAGGCAACTGATGCACTGAGAGGTTAAGAAACTTGCCTGTGGTCAAAATAAGCAGAAGAGCAAGGGTCTAAATGCACCCCAACACTCTGTCCTCAAAGCTGTCACATTCAACTACCACTGTAATATTGAGTCTTCAATCAATTGTTATATATATAGCTGTATCAGGCCTGAAAGTACTTACCACATAGTGGGTCAGCAAGGGCATTACAGTTCTATTTCTGTTAAAACAGAACGATGAAGGATCCACCACCACCACTCCCATTTTTAAAATATTCTAAATATTCACACTTATTAACACAAAAATAAGGTGACTGAGAAGGATAATTTCTGTATTTGGAGATAAATTTAAAATATCTACATTTTAAGGGACATAAAAGTTTTAATAGTGAACTGCTCTCTTGAATTTATTTGAAGGAACCCTAAACAATTTAAAAAGAAAATAATTATAAATGTATAAATTATTCCTTTGTTACCTTTGTGGGAGTAACATTAGCTGCTGGTCTGAGAAGATACTGGGAATTATATGCTGGTGACTGACTATAATATACTGAAGGGCCAGTAGTTGCAACTGAAAAAAAAAAAAGAAAAGAAAGAAAACACTGTTAAAGTCTATACTACAGTTAAGACTATCTAGGCAAGAGCTATAAATACAAAAGCAATAGAAATTAAAGAAAGATTTAACTACATAAATTTTAAATTTCTGTACATCAAAATACACCAATCAAGATTATCAAATGACAAACTAGAAAAAAATTGCTAAATATGACATGAAGAATGAGAGAATAGCATCGCTGTGATCAACAAGAACTACCTCGCAAGCATTAAAAAAGGAATAAAGAAGATAGTAACTGTTGCCTTTTCTAAGAAAGATCAGTATGATGTGGAATTATGGACATTCAGTCACAGAAAGGACGTAAGGAACCAAGATGCCATCTGATAGTCAATGCATTTGAAGTGGGCCTAGAAAATCTGCAGAAAGACTAGGTTGTATTTTGTAAACTAAAGCTATTACTGAGAATGTTCAGCTCAAAAATCACCTGACAAATTCATGGAAAGGATGTCATAAATAACATAAAATGTGTTCCCTGGCTTAAAATAAAAAGCACATCAACACTCATACAGATGTACAAACTGTCTGCTCCCTCTGTTTGGTCTGTTTTGCCAGGAAACAAAATGACTAGAAGGCACCCATGTTAATGACAAAACTACCAATAGTCATTTGCTTGAACTGTTTTATGATAGTTTTACCAGAAAACAACCAAAAGACCTTTTATGCCTGTACATGGAAGAAGAAACAGAAACTGTGCCAAGAGGTTCCAAACAATTGCCTCTGGAAAGCACTGAAAAATCAAGACCTAGAAAAGGCTAGCCAGAAGCCCAAGTTTGATTTCGGAAACCTTACAGAGGTGAGGATAGCTATTTTGAAATTACTATGGGGAGGAAGCAGGCACAGAACACAGAACAACCTGACAGAAATGGCCCAAGAATCTTAAAGTCTTGCAAGATGTCTGTCTGCATGAAAGCAAAAAGAAAAAATAAAATATTAAATAAAAAAAAATCTTAGTCTGAAGTTTAAGTAGGGACTTTAATTGACTACTGACTCTAAACTGTGCGGCTCTAATAAATCTACTAAAAGTAATCTAATTTTTTAAAGCACCATATGAATAGACAATTTAGGAAAGAAATGTTAATAGGCCTCAAGGAACATGTTTTTGAAGTGAGCCTTGAAAATCTGCAAAATGACGAGGTTGCATTGTGCAAATTGAAGCTATTATGAGAATGTTCAGGTCAAAAAAATTACCTGACAAATTCACGCACAGGATCTCACAAGGAACACAAATGTGTTCGTTGGCTTTAAAAAAATCACATTAACATTCATGTTGATATACAAAAACTCTTCTCCATCTGTTTTGTGTGAGTTTTACCAAGAAACCAAACAACTGGAAGGTACGTTGAAGATGGCAAAACTACCAACTGCCATTTGCATGAATTGTTGAGCATGACTAGTATTAAAAAAACTTAAAAATTGATATCACTTTTGTTCCTACAAATTGGCAAAGGATTTTATAAACTAGTAAGTCAGCATTAGCAAAAGTGCGAAAATGGCACTATCAGATACTAGCGGTAAGAGCATAAACTGAATATTTTGAATACCCTACAAAACTAGGACAGTGTCCTAGAATTTGTAATGGCATAAACCAGAAACAACATAAATAAAGGAACAGAATTTACAGTACTTCCATGTGATGGGATACCATGAACTCATTAATATTCAAAAAACATTTAAGTTTAAAAATGCTCAGAACTAAAGTAACATTTTAAAAACAGGCTAGCTCATCTACACACAACATAGTAACATGGTAACAATCTCATAAAAAATACTATATGTATAGAGAAAGAACCAGAAGGAAATGCTCTCAAATATAAGAAATGTTAATAAGGTGGTTAGCTTTTAGTTTTCTTCACCCTGTTCAGTACTTCTGAGTATCTCCTATGAGCTCATTAATCTTTAATTTTAATCATCTTATTTTAAAAAAACAAGGACCATCTTGATATATGTTTACTTTTATTAAGGAAAAAGAATCTATGAACACAGGAACAGAAATCAGGAGATCTTGGCTCTCGCCCTTTCAGTGCCACAAAGCTGTTTTGTGAACCTGTAAATAATCCATTTGGAGTCTCCATGTTTCTCAATTGTAAAATGACGATGTGCTGCTTCTACACATTTCACAGGGTCATTGCAAGAATAAAATGAGACAATGAGAATGTTGGATTTACATGCTTGTATAAGAACAGAAGACCTTTTATGCCTGTACACAGAAGAAATGGAAATCATGACCCACAAGGCACCAAATAACTGACTGCACACATCACTAAAAAAGCCCCAGGAAAGGCTAGCCGGTTTGTTTATCCTCTTACAAGGACCTATATGATGTGTAAGGTTTTAAGAAAACAAGGTTTGAACGTTAGACATTTCATATACTTATCTATGACTTACGACATTTAATAAGCTTGACTTCACAAAGATTTTCTGTTATTTTGCTTGTGTTGAGAAGATACTATCACAAAAGGCTAGTGGGGTTGCCTTAACTATAGGAACCATCACACAAATGTGCTCATCTAAACTAGATTTTTTTCTAAATCTTTCCTGGGCTAAAAAGAGAAAAAAAAAAAGGGCACTACTACTACCATTTCAGAAGTCTGTCGTACGTAAAAGGAACAATTTTGTTATTTCTGGCTGCCTGGGAGCAATGTATTATACTGGCAAGTGCTTTGGAGTTACACCACTGGAGTGTGAATCTCGGCTCTATCAATAACTAGCTGTATAATAATGAGTAAGTTACCTAACCTTTCTTTATCCATTTCCTTATTTATAAAAAAGGGATTAATAATGGTGCCGGCCATTCTAAGTTACTGTAATTAAATCAAATTACATTCACACAGCACTTTTGCACACAGCCAACCCACAGTAAACACTATTAGTAACCTTAGTTCATTAACTGTTTACTGTATACTCTAATAAATGTCTGATACACACCCACGCCCACCTGCACATACACAAATGCTCATAGTAATTATGTAAGGCAAGTATTATCTCCACATTTCAGACAGGTTAACTTACACAGCTATTATAGTAAGTGATAGAGCAGAACTTAAAAACCCAGTATGATTCAGGTCCAAACTCCTTTTCTTTCTTTATATAACCATAATATTTCAAATTAAGTAAGATTTCCTATATAACGTCCTGCCTCTCATCATTATCATCAAAATAATTCCCCAGAGGTGTAGGTTCTTAATTAAGCATTTCTTAGTGCATAACTCTATTCAATAACATTTTGCAATTTAAGGAATAATCTCATCTCAGCTCATCTGAGGTGTGGATTAAGTGTTCTTTAAGCCTTTATATACACGTGATCACATACGGCTCGTTTTTTCTGCTTGGGATTATAAAAATCTCCGTAACACCTAATACAGCTTTTGAAGTCACATATAAACAGACGTTGACATGTATATTAACAAACATATATAAACAAGGTGATTTCACACGTTATCTACTTAAAAGAGGGAAGTAAAGTAGTTTTACTAAAATATGCGATTATCCACTTGCCAGCTCACCTGTTAGTGGAGCCCCATGAAATGTCTGTGACCCCTGATATCCATCAGGCACCGAGTCTGGTCCATAATTCTCTGTGGGCCAACGATGACGGGATGCTGACTTACTGCTATTTAGTTTCAACTCCTGCATTTCTTTCTATTGGAAGAAAAAAAAAATCAAATAATTTTAATCATTTAATTATATCATGCCAGAAACAGTGCTGGGGAAACTTACTCTTTTAAATTTAAATAACTGATTTTTTCTTTTTTTCTTTTTTGAGATGGTGTCTCGATCTGTCGTCCAGGCTGGAGTGCAATGGCACAATCTTGGCTCACCGCAACCTCCACCTCCTGGGCTCAAGCAATTCTCCCACCTCAGCCTCCCGAGTAGCTGGGATTACAGGCGTCAGCCAGCACGCCCGGCTAATTTTTGGTATAATAGTAGAGATGGGGTTTCACCATGTTTGCCAGGCTAGTCTTGAACTCCTGACCTCAAGTGATCCACCACCTCAGCCTCCCAAAGTGCTGGGATTATAGGTGTGACCCACCACGCCCGGACCTGATTATATCTTTTGAAAGTTTCTATTTGCCAAAGAGTTCTAGGTACCTGGTGCTGATTTTAAAATATGATTCTTAATTTGTTAAAAATTTATCTGCTCCCATTTTCATTCGTTAATACAAAACCTAATTCATTAACTCTCTCACCTAAACAAATAACCTCCTAAATGATCACACCTTCATTTCCATTCTACACTTGCCTACATTAACCTTTCTGACGTTCACCTCCAGCCAAGACAATTCCCTGCTCAAAAAAACAAGTACCTACAAACTAAACTTCTTTCCCCAACTTTCACAGTCCTCTAACATTACACTGACCATCCTTTCAGTGTGTTCTTTCTACACTGCAACCTGGACTACCTGACATTCCAAATCACCTCCCCAAATTAGCTTTTCACTTAACCCTGTGTTCAAACAAAATACAACTAATTCTCAAGGTGATGTTCAAATGCTCCACCAGGAAAGGGAAAAAAGTAGTAGCTGCAGAGAATTTATTATGTATATAATAATACGTCCAATGCACTTAAACTCTTAATTTTTACACCATCTACACTGTTAGGTAAACAATATTAGCTCCTATCTTAAAATGAGAGAAACGGATGCAGGGAATAACAGCTGGAATTTGAAACACATCTGACTCCAAAAATGTTTTCTTAACACAACTCTGCTGCCTTGACAAGATGGCAGATAGATCCAATGCCGTCTAGTGTAGCTATGTGGCTACCTGATCTCTGCTGAAGAAAACTAAATGACAGCACCATACCCAACACCCTAGAACCTACAAAATGTCCCCTTACAAAACAGACACTTAACAGGAAATTCTTTTTCCAAAGAAATTGTAGTGGTATCAGAAAACAGGTAAATTTTGAAAAGTTTCAAACTTCTCTGTATCAGCCCAGGAATCCGATCAGTTCTAACAAGTGAGGTCAGGGACAGATCTAGCATGTCTGCTTTCTGTTTCTACAAGTGTTTCAATTAAAAATTTCCCAGAAAGACCTAACCATGAGGTCCAAAACTATCTCAATTTTCAAGCTAAATAAAATTTCCCCCATTCATCCATCTACAGTGCCTAGTCCAGATGCTACACATACACATCCAAGAAATAAGAAACTAGTGGAATCACCTAGAAAACTTTATAGTCACTGTTGGTATCCGCACCAGAGCTTTGAATTTGCAATCACTGCTGTAACTGTAATTTTTAACATTCAGTGTGATGAGAACTGGCTTCAATAATTCTCTCATTTTAAAGATAAGAAGCCAAACAGTCACAAAGGAAGTGACTGGCCCAAGATCATTAATTAATGGCAGAGTCAGTACTAGTACCAAGCTTTTCAAGCTCATGGACTAGTGCTCCACTATACTTCCACAGAATACAATGTTGGGAGCCTGAAACCTGTATGTTAAGTCAAAATTGTATGTAATTGTCATAGGCCACGACTACACAGAATTAACATTCAAAATTTTTGTGCAAATTCAAAAATGTCTTCCCCACCAAATAGTATTCTCTTAATTTGCAAATGCTGCTGATCACACTGTAATAATCGCCACACATCAGCATATCCTTGATGTAACTTTAGCAGTATGAGTAATTTAGTTCTTGCTTGATAAACATGAAAGAACCTACTTTTATTTCCAATTCCAAAAAAGTCAAGCTCCTTTGAACCCTATTGTTAAAATAAGATATATATACATAACTATTTCCTTACATAATTAAGTCAAATTCATATGGAAGTATTAAAATATAGTAAGACTTTTTGAAGCTCAGACCACTTTTCGATTCCTAGCTATACATTTGAAACACATGTAATCCACAGCTAATCTGGGAATGAACTCATAGACCAGAGTATGATTAGTACATTGTAGCACTTCAATCACTCGGGAACCTTCTCTGTGTCAGGAACTCTTATATTTTAAATAAAACAGTTTCTACCTTTGAAGGTCTCAAATTTTGTGGAAGATGAGGAGAGAGACACATAAAGTACTTTCAAAAATATGGTAAAGGGCTGGGTGCGGTGGTTTACACCTGTAATCCCAGCACTTTGGGAGGCCAAGGTGGGCAGATCACCTGAGGTCAGAAGTTCAAAACCAGCCTGGCCAACATGGTGAAACTCTGTGTCTACTAAAAATACAAAAATTAGCTGGGCCTGGTGGCGGGTGCCTGTAATCCCAGCTACTCGGGAGGCTGAGGCAGGAGAGTCACTTGAACCTGGGAGGTGGAGGTTGCAGTGAGCCAAGATCACACCATTGCACTCCAGACTGGGCAACAGAGTGAGACTCCATCTCAAAACAAAACAAAACAAAATATGGTAAAGGGTCAAGACCGAGGTATGTAGGCTGGGCACAGTGGCTCACACCTGCAATCCCAGCACTTTGGGAGGCTGAAGCAGGAGGATTGTTTGAGCCAGGAGTTCAAGGCCACCCTGGGCAACATGGCAAAATCCCATCTCTACAAAAAATACAACAATTAGCTGGGCCTGGTGGCATGTGACTGTCTGTAGTCCTGGCTTCGTGGCAGGCTGAGCCAAGAGGCTCTCTTGAGCTAGGAGGTTGAAGCCGCAGTAAGCTGTGATCATACCACTGTACTCCAGCCTGCACAACAGAACAAGACCCTTGTCTTAAAAAAAAAAAAAAAAGACCAAAATGTCCCCTTGCCATACTATTTGGATGGCAAGGGGACATTCTGACCAGCTTCAGAAAAAAAGTGAGAGAGTAGCCAGGGAAGGAATCTTGGAATAAAAAGTACAGCTAGAGAAATTAAGTGACTTACCTTAATGGCCTCTACTTGTTGGCAAATCATATTCAGTAAAGAATTCCGATCTTCTGTCCATCGAGGTGGTGTTTCGGGAGAATACTGAAAAAAAAAATAAAAATAACAAAACAGCATTTAAAACACTTAGAACAGAAACAATTTCACAATGAAATGATTCCATTCTTTCCTGTTTACCTTGTAACTTTTACTTGGTGATAGTGAATATTTGGTAGGAGACGGTGTAGAATGTTTTATTTCTGAATCTGCATTTCGCAAAGAACCATTTTTATAGAGAGGACCTCCTTCACTATAGTCTTCGAGTTCCTGCATGACTGAATTAAGCATCTGTTTTACAGACTCCAGGGGCACAGGCAACTAAAAATAAAAGACATTAATTAAGGGCTTTCATTTGCAAAAAATTCCAAAAGTAAAAACTCTAAAATGATATATTTTATCTTATTTACATTTTTGTCACTTTAATAAGCACTTTACACTTTAAATAATAATACACGTGAAAGTGTTTTTTAATTATCTTTTTTCTTTGTTTTTCTGTTGTTTTGTATTATTATTTTTATTTTTTTGTCTTTATTCTATTTTTTTCTTCAGGAACACAGAAAAGTGTTGTACAGTCTAACATCTTCTGATTCTAAAGTCCATGCTCTTTCTATTACTTCTGTTAACCATGATAATTGTAGAGGAATGTTAACTTGGAAAGCTTTTCCAAGTGAACAAAATAAGTTACTGATGTTTTCTAACTGATTTTCAATGGTGACAGAAATACAGATGCTACAATACACCAGACAACATAAATCCTAATAAAAGAGTAGTAACACAAATTAATCAACAAAACACTCAGAAGACTGAACATAATTTAACATCATCATGACAATCTCAAACAGCTGACAGCAAGAAAACAAGGGCGTTCATAATGGCTGATGACGATGAGAAGAAATGCTCTTAAGTTGTCAGCAACAACTTTCAATTTCAGCAAAGTTCATTAAGAATTAGTCCTGAGGTTATAATATTTGTTTTGATTACACTGCTAAGATAACAAAATCAATGTCTTATCTTAGAAATCTTTTCTAATTCCCCAAGAAGTACTTTTTAAGAGCATATACCTAGATTCCCAAGTTTAAAAAGACACACCAAACCTAAGACAAAGCAAGCAAATCTAAGCATTTAGACACACGCATCCCTTCTGTGCATTAATAACAACATATTACTGAGTATTTTTGAAATTACCAAAATATAAGACCAACGCAAAAACACTGACCAGTGGGTTATCAGTAAGAACGTACATACAACAACCTGCTACTTACTTTCTTGACCACTGAAAGATTTGAATCACCGTCATCTATAATCTTTATTAGGTAGTCCCTGGTCTTTGTCAGATAATTTCTGCATTCTTCTTGTTCTTCAGGAGAAAGGGCATCATTTTCAATGTCTTCTGCCTTCCTGTGAAAAATCTATACAAATAGTGCTTTCATGAAATCATTAGCTTTTTAAAACAAAAAACTTTCAGCTTGGCCACGCATGGTGGCTCATGCCTGTAATCCCAGCAACTCGGGAGCTGAGGCACAAGAATCGCTTGAGCCTGGGAAGCAGAGGTTGCAGTGAGCCAAGATTGTGCCACTGCACTCTAGCCTGGCCAACAGAGAAACCCCGTCTTTTAAAAAAAATAATAAATAAATAAATACAACTTTTAGCTCAAGTACTGCATCTACTTACCAGTGCAAGATTCCAATAAGAAACAACACTTTTTATAGATTCAAAAGCAGTCACAGCATCTTCTATATTTCCATTTACTGCATCCAATATAGCAAAAGTTATGTGTGCGTCTTCTTCATATTCAACAATTTCTGATGCCTAAACACATAGAATAGTTTTTAGTCAAATTGTTTATACTCAGAATATAAAACCCAAATGATTTTCCAAAGATTTTATATGATCTTAAGAGACAAACATCTCATTACTCTTCTCTGTCATATCTTATCTGTGAGAGCTAGTGAATTTAGAAAACAAGATTACCGTTAAATAACAAGGCAATTAATTTAAGCAGTTTATAGCTCCACGTCTTTGTTTATAAACTGGAAATTCCCATCTCCAATAAATTCATAAAGGAACTCTGTTACCTGAATGTCTACACTATGAAAATGTTTAAACAGAGGATCAATAGGTTCAGGAATACTGTTCTTCTTTATTATCTTCAACAATGGCAAAACTTTCTTCCAATAATGAACACTTCTCCCTATGTATTCTAGTTGACCATAAAAAGAATTAAGACCGCTGCCCTAAAAAAGAAAGTTAAAAGCACACAACTTTAAGGAACACGCATGATTAGATCTAAAGTTCATTTACAAGTTGTAAGAACTGGCTAAAATTTCAAGTCAAAACCAAATGGTACCTCAATAGTCATTTGTTCAACTTCCAAATACTGTAATAACTAAACCACCTTAATACCAGTGAACTCACTGCAACCTCTGCCGTGCAGGTTCAAGCAATTCTCCTGCCTCAGCTTCCCAAGTAGCTGGGATTACAGGCACCTGCCACCATGTCTGGCTAATTTTGTAGTTTTAGTAGAGTTTTTTTTTGTATTTTTAGCAGAGACGGGGTTTCACCGTGTTAGCCAGGAATGATCTCGACCTCCTGACCTTGTGATCTGCCCGCCTCGGCCTCCTAACGTGCTGGGATTACAGGTGTGAGCCACCGCACCCGGCCTCTACACTCAACTTTTAAATGCTTCTAATGATACCACTCTAACGTAGCAATCCAAACTACTTTTTAACAGTTGTCCTTTTTAGATAGCTGAAACCTGCCTCTTCTGTAGTGTCAGTTTGTTCAAAAGGCTGACCATCTACACCTAATGGTGACACAAAACACACCTTAAATATTTAGAAAGATCTATAATGGTCTTACCTACAAAGCCTTGTGCTAATTTTTTTTTTAATTTTCAGGCTGAATAATTATCAGAACTTAATTATTAAGGAATAACAGTAACAGCTCAGCTAATATGTAACATTCACTGTGTGCCAGGCATTGCTCCTCTAAGTGCTTATATTTAACTACATTAACTATTTTGCAGCAATAAAAAACACATCTGTCATAATATGACCAAGCTGCTGTTTTCAGAACAAAAAAACTTTCAATAAAAAGTTCATGATTTTAAAAAATTAAGGTAATGTTCATTAAAAATGCTTATACTTTAAAACTCACCGTTTTCTGAAGGTATTTTGCCCAATGTACAAGCAGAGCAGGTTGAAGGCCATGTTTTTCCTGGGCTCTTAGAGTGTTTATTTCATGCTGAACTAGAAGTCTCAATTTTGCCAAGTTTCCAGGTCTAAAAAATAGTTCAATTTACTAAAATTGCTTTCTAAATACACAGTTCAGCGCTTACATACATATATGTTAATGGGTCACATGACAAATTAAATCTTCACACGAGGATTAAATCCCCGGTAAAACCTACGCACTAAGTGAAAGCAATATTTTTGTTTTACTACTTACACTGCTTTTCTGTGAATCAGAGTACAAACCGCATCCCACCAAGATTTTTGTCTTTCTGTACAAAGCTGTTTACACACAGGAAAGGGCAGGCATAACGGCTGATAGGAGCTATGGTGAGAATTACATTTCTCCTTTAATTGTAAGTGGCTGGTATATACTACTCCAAGGAGAAATACCTGTTTCATTTAAGGAAAAGTTAAGTTAGAAAAAAAAATTAAACAAAATTCAGAATATTTAATTTGTTAAAATCTTTGCTTACTTCAAGATCTAAAATACATATTGATTCAGGCGCATTTGTTTCAAGCCTTGAGGTTTCATGGGGCAAACGATGGAAAAGCTGTTTTAGCCATTTTCGGATTCCAGGTAAAGCAGGCAATGAATTCCACTGTAAGCCAAGCCAAGTAAGATGCTGAAGACTACCATTATGTGCTCGAATAGCACCTGAAATAAAATTTAAAAATTGGCTTAAGGGTTTGAAATTTTTCTTTGTGCCATTAGTTTTGCCAACATAAACAATTCACATTATATATATCTTAATTATATAACTGCTTTTCTATATCAAAGCTGGAGGGAATTCTATGTTAGGCAAAATCTCATGTTCTTATTAAATGCATTCTCACTTGATTATTTCTAGAAATTTTAATAAAAATAGTAGTGATGAAGAATGTTTAAGTCCATCTTAAAAAATGACACTGACTAGAACTCAATAAACCAAAATCAACTGACAAAAGCCAAATAAAGAACACCTAACCTAATAAGAAACCCCAAAACAATGGGTTTTGCTTTAAGTCATTAAAGCAATGGAACACCACTATATTAATCCATCGGTACAGTAAAGAAATCTGTTTTTCTACAAGAAAGTCAATATTGAAAATGTTATGCGCAGTCAGGAGTTCGAGACCAGCCTGGCCAGCATGGTGAAACTCCGTCTCTACTAAAAATACAAAAAATTAGCCGAGCACGGTGTCACATGCCTATAGTCCCAGCTACTTGGGAGGCCGAGGCAAGACAATTGCTTGAACCTGGCAGCCGAGATTGCGCCACTGCGCTCCAGCCTGGGTGACAGAGCGAGACTCTGTCTCAAAAACAAGAAAAGAAAAGAAAAGAAAAGAAAAGAAAAGAAAAGGTTATGCGCTTCTGGAAGCATGAAGAGGTATAATCTTTCTGTCATTTTGGCAATTTGCAAGACTTAAAGATGTTCATGTCCTTTGTCTCAGTAATTCTGTTTTTAGGTATCTCTATGGAAATAACTTGCAATGAAGACACTTTTTGTTGAAGTTTTTATCAGAGTATGATTATTAACAGTGGAAAAGTTGAGAAAACTTGGATGCCCAATAACAGAAAGTAGCAAGCAAATTATGACTACTTCATAAAAAAGATTATATTGCCAATAAAAGTGATATTTATAGTTTTAATACACAGACTATGGGAGAGAATTCATGAAGGAAGCAAGATAAATCATACATAAACAACCATTTAGATGAAAAATATGGCCAGATGCAGTGGCTCATGCCTATAATTCCAACACTTTTTGTTTTTGAGACGAAGTCTCGCTCTGTCGCCCAGGCTGTAGTGCAGCAGTGTGATCTTGGCTCACTGCAACCTCCACCTCCCGGGTTGAAGGACTCTCCTGCCTCAGCCTCCTGAGTAGGGACTACAGGCACATGCCACCACCCCCGGATAATTTTTGTATTTTTAGTAGAGACGGGGTTTCACCATGTTGGCCAGGATGGTCTCGAACTCCTGATCTCAGGTGATCTGCCCGCCTCGGCCTCCCAAAGTGCTGGGATTACAGATATGAGCCACTGTGCCGGGCCTAATCCCAACATTTTGGGGGGCTTAAGCAGGAGGATCACTTGAGCCTAGGAGTTGGAGACTAGCCTGGGCAACAAAGGGAGACCCTGTCTCTGCCAATTAAAAAAAAAATTATCTGGGCCGAGTGGCATGTGCCTATGGTACCAGCTACTCAGGAGGCTGAGGCAAGAGAATCCCTTGAGCCCAGAAGTTCAAGGCACCAGTGACCTACGATCATGCCACTACACTGCAGCCCAGGTGACACAGCGAGACCCTGTCTCAAAATACAACAAGGCTGGTCGCAGTGGCTCACACCTGTAATCCCAGCACTTTGGGAGGCCAAGGCAGGTGGATCACCTGAGGTCAGGAGTTTGAGACCAGCCTGACCAACATGATGAAACCCCGTCTCTACTAAAAATACAAAAAATTAGCCGGGCGTGGTGGCGGGCATTTGTAATCCCGCTACTTGGGAGACTGAGGCAGCAGAATCACTTGAACCAGGGAGGCAGAGGTTACAGTGAGCCGAGATCGCACCACTGCACTCCAGCATGGGCGCCAAGAGCAAAACTTGGTCTCAAAAACAACAACAACAACAACAAAAAATACATGCCACCCCCACAGCACCACATTCAAACTCCCCCCAGCCCAACCCACACACAAAAGGAATACAGGAAAATATTAAGTCGTTATTTCTGGGTAATAACATTATGGGCAATTTATAAGAATTAAGACGGAGACCATTTCCTCTGAAACATATAACTTACCAACATCGTATCTAGCCAAATCTTCAAGCTCTGGTTCTTGTACATCAATTTTTCCAATATCATCGCTACCAAGAAAAGATGTATCCTTAGGTGACTGACTAGAAAACAGAGCATCATATAACGCAGACTGCCCAATTTTGTTGGCAAAAGTTTCAACAACCTCTTTTAAGAAATCTTGCTTGCCACGACTTAAGCTTAGCAACATGTGCCCTGAAAAAAAAATTTAAGTTATTTCCATCACTTTAAAAATACAGATTGTATTTGCTCACGTTGTCTCATTTGTATACCCAAAGGGGAAATAACATGATTATTGCAAACCTAACCCTCCAACCCAAAAAATACAGCTGGACAACAAAATGGGTGCTTATGTAGCAAATGAAAAGAGTACAGGTTTAATATTCTCAGTATCTACATAAGACAGCAGAACGGGGAAAAAAGACAGGAATGTGTATGAAAAATGCCAAACATATTTGCACTTTAGATGAAAAGGTCTGGATTTAAGTGGCCATAGGAGAACAGGGACAAGCTCTTATTCTCTGATCTGATACACTGATTTCTGAACCTGGCTGATCAGAATCCTCCTTTAAACAGCTTTTAAGAATTATTTCCAGCTGGGCACGGTGGCTCATGCCTGTAATCCCAGCACTTTGGGAGGCCAAGCTGGGTGGATAATGAGGTCAGGAGATCAAGACCATCCTGGCTAACACAGTGAAACCCCATCTCTACTAAAAATACAAAAAAAAAAAAAAAAATTAGCCGGCCCTGGTGGCGGGTGCCTGTAGTCCCAGCTACTGGGGAGGCTGAGGGAGGAGAATGGCGTGAACCCGGGAGGCGGAGCTTGCAGTGAGCCGAGATCACGCCACTGCACTCCAGCCTGGGCGACAGAGTAAGACTGTCTCAGGAAAAAAAAAAAAAAAAAAGAATTATTTCCAGGCCTTGTTCCCAGAGATTTTTATGCCATAGGTTTACAGTAAGCAATCAAAAAATCATAGTCCTCGGATAAAGTACTGATACATGCTATAACACAGATGAACCTTGAAAACCTTGCTAAATCAAAGAAGCCAGTCACAAAAGACCACATACTATGATTCCATTTATGTGAAATGTTCAGAAGAGGCAAACCTACAGAGACAGATTAGCGGTTGCCAAGGCTGAGAGGTTTGGGTAAAATGGGGAGTAACTGCTAATAGGTAAGGAATTCCTCACGGAGTGATGAAAATCTTCTAAAACTGACTGTGGTGACAGTGGTAATACTCTATGAACATAGTAAAAGCCACTGAACTGTACACTTTAAATGGGTGAAGCGTATGGTATACGAATTATATTTCAATTGAACTTTTTTTAAAAACCCTCCTTCGAGTTAATTCTGCTGGGCAATTAGGTTTGGTTACCACTACACAGTTGTGTCTCAGCACACTTACAGAGGCACCCTCGGAATGCCCAGATCAAAGACATAAAAAAAAGATACAGGCAATTTTTATCTAACTGTGACACCATGCAAAGGCACTTATGAGAGCCCTGCAAGGGTAGAAGGAAAAGAGAAAAGGGAAAAAGTAGAAAGTCACTTTAAGGACTGAAAGCCTAACTCCCACAAAAAAAGTGGGCTATGGAATAAAAGAGCAATGTGAGCTCTGGCCAACAGCCTAACTATACACCAAAGCTTATAATAACTTTGATTTAATATTACATCTTGCTCTTTACAAAATTCATCCAATTTTATATCAAAACTGCTCCTTATAGAAAGCATTATGTTTCTTCAGTTCACTGCTTGATTCAATGGCCATCTAACTACCTTAAAGTTTGTATCTTAGCAAAATCACAGGTAATATGCAACAGACCTTTAGGATTCATCCCAAGCCAAAAATGGGGGAAAAAATCCACAAATTCCAAGAGCCTAATATAAGGTAAGTATATATCTTCTATCTTCCTCACTATGCTCTCAGCTCTTTAAGACAGATCCGTATCTTCTTCATCTTTATATCCCCACAGCAGTGTTTTTAGAATCAGCTGGTGTTAAATGGTTGGCAAATCAATAATTATACTTAGTTCAGGAAGTGACTAAATATTCAGGATAGAGGCTCTAGCAGCCAGATGAAGAAAGAGTTAAGAAATCCTCTCCACATAGGAACAAACAATATCAAATATTCATTTTTTTAAAAGAATGTGCTATTTCTTCGCATCTCTTCCATACCTATTGCTCTTAACTGATACGGCAAAAAGAAATAATTTTGACAAATTATCTCCTGGACAGATGAAGATTTTATCATAAGATATGCCTTAACAGAAATTCCTTTTTCTTTTTAAATTAAATTAGTTTAATATTACTATTACCTGATTGGCTCAGTCGGTCACAGGCCATCATTTCCAGCAGATTTTGTCCAGCTTTACCTTCTCTTAATTTAATCTTTGGTCTTGGAACCTAATAATTTTAGAATCAAAAATCTTAATTTGATGATACCCATACTTCTAATAGTAACATGGTCTTATCTATTACACTGTACTTTTTTTGATAATGAATAAACAGTTAACCATTAATTAAACTGAATTGGAAAAGACTGCAAAAACTGGGAACCAAGGAATTTATATAACCTATGAAAGATAGGCCAGGTACAGGCGTGGTGGCTCACACCTGTAATCCCAACACTCTGGGAGGCCAAGGTGGGCTGATCACTTGAGGTCAGGAGTTCGAGACCAGCCTGGCCAACATGGTGAAACCCAGTCTCTACTAAAAATAATAAAAAAAAAAACAAAGAGCCAGGCGTGGTGGCACACACCTATTAATTCCAGCTACACGGGAGGCTGAGGCACAAGGATAGCTTGAACCTGGGAGGCAGAGGTTGTAGTGCGCCGAGACTGCGCCATTGCACTCCAGCCTGGGTGAAAGAGCGAGACTCCATCGCAAAAAAAAAAAAAAAAAAGAGGGGCCAGACATGTTGGTTCACACCTGTAATCCCAGCACTTTGGGAGGCCGAGGTGGGGGGATCACTTGAGCCCAGAGTTCAAGACCAGCCTGAACAACACGGTGAGACCCTATCTCTAAAAAAAGTTTTTTTTTAATTAGCCAGGCGTGGTGGCACACACCTGTGGTCCCAGCTACTCAGGAGGCTGAGGCAGGAGGATCACTTAAATCCAGGAGGTCAAGGCTGCAGTGAGCCATGATCATGCCACTGTGCTCCAGCTTGGGCGACAGTGTGAGACCCTATCTCCAAAAAAAGAAAAAAAAAAAAAAAGCATACACAGAGCAGCTCTGAGAAATTAGTTTCTACTAAAAGCACATTCATGTTACATTCAGAGAAATGGAAAATTTAATTACATTACTTTTCTACCCTGCATAAATAGGACAACAGCAGATGTTGTCCTATTTGAGTAGATATGACACCCTACTTTAAAAAGCACAGGTGAAATGACACTTGGAAATGCCACATTGTAGATAACACATTTTCAGAGTATGGATAATAGGGGATAGCACTAGAATAAATGGGACAACCAGGAAATTAAAGAGATCCTCATGCAATAACCTATGGAAGAAAAAAAAAGCATGATGAATAGAATGGCGAAGGGAAGACGTGACAGCTGCCTTCAAATATTAAAATTATTTTATAAAAGAAATCATCAAAAGAAGAAACAAGACCAACAGGTAGAAGGCTTGAAGAATATTTTTATTCTATATAAGGAAGTACCAAGAGCCAAACCACCTAAAGATGCACTGGGCTATCTTGAAAAGTAATGAATGTCCATCACTGAAAACGTCCAGTCATAGGCAATGCCCGCTTACTAGAAACATGCCAAAAGTAACTATATGGGTGACTAGAGCATCGGCTTTTAATTCTATCACCACTTTCTTAATTGGTGGTGGAAATGTAATTTGATACAACCTCTTTAGGGTTAGATATTTGGCAACAGCTCTAAAAATTATAAATGCACAGATATACTTTGATACTGCAATTCTTTCAGGAATTCATGGCACAAGTTAATCATTGCTAAATTACTTGAAGTAGCATTTAAAACAAAAGTAAAAGCAAGCTAATGTCCTGGTTTTAGGACCCTGGTTTTAAAAACTCCAAAACTACAGTACATCCATACAATGGAATAATATGCAAGCATCCAAACTAATGAGAATGCCCTTTATATATACTGACATGGAAACATCTCCAAGATACAGTTAATGGAAATAAAGTAAATGCAATGTTCAAATGTTTTCCTCCTTCTTTTAAAGACAGGGGATATATGTGTGTTTACTTGGAGATGCATAAAACATTTCCTGAAGAACACACAAGAAAGCAATAACATTAGTTTCTTTGGGGGTGGAGAAAGTAAATAACTAGGGAACAGAAAGGAGTCTTCATAGCATATTCTTAAGAGCCGCCAGAATTTTAAACCATGTATATATAATTCTTTCCAAACATGCTCATTTTTCAAAATATATGATTTATGAACCTAAAAGCTTCTGATTTTGAATTTTAGAAATATTCGTATCGCCTATCCTTTTACTCACAAGTTTTCTAAACATCATGTCAAAGTTTGTCATCTATATGTTGAAAAGAGCACACAAAGTAAGAAACAAAATGTTGACATCATTCTTTTTGTTTTCAAACTGACCTCAATTCATAAACCCGGCCTCTTTTACAAAATTATTCAACAGTTGAATCTGTGACCAGTTAATTAGTTGTGAATCCACTCAATCAAATCATCTCAATTCACTATTTCCTTTTTTTTTTTTTTGAGATGGAGTCTCGCTCTGTCGCCAGGCTGGAGTGCTGCAGTGGCACGATCTCGGCTCACTGCAACCTCCGCCTCCTGGTTTCAAGCAATTCTCCTGTCTCGGCCTCTCAAGTAGCTGGGACTACAGGCACCCGCCACCATGCGTGGCTAATTTTTGTATTTTTAGTAGAGATGGGGTTTGACCATGTTGGTCAGGATGGTCTCAAACTCCTGACCTTAAGCGATCCGCCCGCCTCAGCCTCCCAAAGTGCTAAGATTATAGGTGTGAGCCACCACGCCTGGCTATTTCCTCATCTTAACTAAAAGGTTTCAAGATACTTTGTTAACTACCTAGCTGCAATGCAGATGCACTTACTAGAACCACAGTATTCCTCTGATTAAGAGTCTGAAAATCTTGCCATAAAAGTTAGCCAATTCTTAAATACCCAAATGCCAGCACATAACCTACATTTTATGCTTATAATCATTTGTTCATTAAGCTTTAAAATAAACTGATCAAATAAAATACAAGCATCTAAGATGTTTCTATTATATATTCATTCTACAGAAATATGTGGTAGTTAATAAAGACTGAGGTAGGTATCTCTGTGCTGAAGTGGAACAATGAAGAAACATTTAGAAAAGCAAGGCATCTGGCAATAGGTAAAGCACACCCACACTGAGGCACAATATTTTTTAAAAGCAGAGAAAGAATGTATTGCACATTTGCATATGCAAAAAATATTTCTGAACACCCAAGAAACTCCTAACAGTAGCTGTCATCTAGGAAAGGAGACCTGAGTGAATGGATTAAGAGGGAAACTAACTTATTATGATTAAAAGTTCACAGTCAGGTGTGGTGGCTCATACCTGTAATCTCAGCACTTTGGGAGGGCAAGGCAGAAAGATCACTTGAAGCCAGGAGTTCAAGACCAACCAGCCTGGGAAACATAGCAAGACCTTGTCTTTACAAAAAATTTAACAATGTAGCCAGGCATGGTGGCAGGCACCTGTAGTCCCAGCTACTGAGCTGAGGCTGAAGCAGGAGAGGATCACTTGAGCCCAGGAGTTCGAGGATGCAGTGAGTTATGATCATGCCACTGCACTCCAGCCAGAGCAAGAGTGAGACTCTGCCTCCCAAAACTACATATCAAAAAATTTTAGGCTGTGCGCAGCAGCTCACACCTATAATCCCAGCACTCTGGGAAGCTCGAGCCCAGTTCAATGTTATGGTGAGCTACGATTACGCAACTGCACTCCAGCCTGGGTGACACAGCAAGACTCTAATAGACACACAGACAGATAAATTTTAAAGTTTCCATTAAAAATAAGAACTATTGGCAGGGTGCGGTGGCTCACACCTGTAATGCCAGCACTTTGGGAGGCCAAGGTGGGCGGATCATGAGGTCAGGAGATCGAGACCATCCTGGCTAACACGGTGAAACCCCATCTCTACTGAAAATACAAAAAAATTAGCCAGGCGTGGTGGTGGGTGCCTGTAGTCCCAGCTACTCGGGAGGCTGAGGCAGGAGAATGGCGTGAACCCAGGAGGCGGAGCTTGCAGTGAGCCGAGGTCGTGCCACTGTGCTCCAGCCTGGGTGACAGAGTGAGACTCCATCTCAAAAAAAAATAAAATAAATAAAAATAAGAACTATCAGTTACTTGAGAATTTCTATAAGAACCTTTTAATGTTTGTATTACCTAGTGAACCTCACTAAATCCATTAATTTTCACTAATCCATTCCTTATGAACACAGAAGTTTCTACTGAGCAAATATTAGCACTTAACATGTGAACTGTCTATCAACGGTGTTTTTAAAAGATTTACAGGCCGGGCTCAATGGCTCATGCCTGTAATCCCAGCACTTTGAGAGGCCGAGTTGGGTGGATCACGAGGTCAGAAGATCGAGACCATCCTGGCTAACATGGTGAAATCCCATCTCTATTAAAAAATACAAAAAATTAGCCAGGCATGGTGGTGTGTGCCTGTAATCCCAGATACGTGACAGGCTGAAGCAGGAGAATCACTTGAACCCAGGAGACACAGGTTGCAGTGAGCTGAGATTGCACCACTGCACTCCAGCCTTGTGACAGAGCGAGACTCCGTCTCAAATAAAAATAAAAAGATTTATATTAGGCAGGGCATGCTGGCTCACTGCCTGTAATCCCAGCACTTTGAGAGGCCGAGACGCGCAGATCACCTGAGTTCAGGAGCTCAAGACCAGCCTGACCAACATGGAGAAACCTCGTCTCTACTAAAAACACAAAATTAGATGGGCGTGGTGGCGTGTGCCTGTAATCCCAGCTACTCGGGAGGCTGAAGCAGGACAATCGCTTGAACCCGGGAGGCAGAGGTTGCAGTGAGCCAGATGGCGCCATTGCACTCCAGCCTGGGCAACAAGAGCAAAACTCCGTCTCAAAAAGAAAAAAAGATTTATATTAGAAGGAGGGGCCTTCTCTAAAAGTAATGAATCCTTTTTTTTCCCTCCCCAAGCAAAAAATCCTTCTCTAAAATTAATCATCTTTCTAAGCCTGGTTTAATGTTTTTTTGGAAGACTGCTTATTTCTTTTCCTTTCGAAAGTTATGCAAGCTCATTAAAAAAAAAAAAAAAAAAAAAAGGCCAGGCATGGTGGCTCATGTCTGTAAATCCCAGCACTTTGGGAGGCCGAGGCAGGTGGATGACTAGGTCAGGAGATTGAGACCATCCTGGCTACCACGGTGAAACCCCGTCTCTACTAAAAGTACAAAAAAAAATTAGCCAGGCATGGTGGCGGGTGCCTGTAGTCCCAGCTACTCAGGAGGCTGAGGCAGGAAAATGGCGTGAACTCGGGAGGTGGAGCTTGCAGTGAGCCGAGATCATGCCACTGCACTCCAGCCTGGGCGACAGAGCGAGACTGCGTCTCAAAAAAAAAAAAAAAAAAAAAAAAAAAAAAAGCCAGGCGCGCCAGGCGCAGTGCCTCGCGCCTGTAATCCCAGCACTTTGGGAGACCAAGGCAGGTAGATCAAGAGGTCAAGAGATTGCGACCATCCTGGCCAACATGGTGAAACCCCATCTCTATTAAAAATACAAAAAATTAGCTGGGCTTGGTAGCATGGGCCTGTAGTCCCAGCTACTCGGGAGGCTGAGGCAGGAGAATCACTCGAACCCAGGAGGTGGAGGCTGCAGTGAGCCGAGATCACGCCACTGCACTCCAGCCTGGCGACAGAGAGAGACTTGGTCTCAAAAAAAATAAAAAAATAAAAAATAAGAAAAGGTTTTATGTTTTCAAAGATTAATAGATATACTGTTACATATACACAATACAGTCATAAATGTTATATACATGTGTTTCAATTAACATGTTAAATTGCAATCATATTCTTCTATCATAGGCTATAAAGCCATTGCCCTACGTCTACTTATTAGGATTTTGTCCAAGTAACACATCTTTTTGAATCAAGCTTTACCCATAATACGAGATTACATCTTTATCATGTTCCCAAAAATGGCAGAGTAAAAAGATCAAACTCTTCAAATTTGTCTACAAACAAATCATGGCAATGCAGGCTTTCGACAAGAGTGCATTCAACATCCCTGTTTCACCAGCCTCACCAGTATTGTGTATGCTTAGTTATTTTCCACTGTATCAAATTGACTATTTCATTTTAACTTTAATTCCACAGGTTTGTTCACATATTGTCATTACATACCAGAGCACACCTTCATTTAAAACACATCAAGACTCCGTGAAATGTCAATTGCTCCTACAAGTGGAAGACTTACCTGAAATGCTATGAGATAGCACAATGCAGCCAGCTCAGAAAGAGCTCGCCATTGAACATTATTACCATGCTGACCCATCTTCAAGAGCAGAGAACCAGCATACATATAGAAATGTCCTTTCATTTCTAAGAAAGTAGCTGACAGTTCATCATTTCCACCCAAAGAAGATTTCGCAGACTGAAGAGCACTATCAAAACTGTAATATGAAAATATCAAACAGATGATACACACTTACTGCACTGTGAATAATCATGGTTGATTTAATTCAAAACAAAATAAAAATTTTATTTCAAGCTTCATCTTCCACATTCAACTTCTAATAATTCTTATTCCCCATGTTATAAATTATGAATCATCTAATGCTTATTTTTATCCTGCATACTTCCTATACTTCATGCTTAACCTCTCAAATGATGTCTTATTCCCAGTTATTTCCAGCCCTCCAATCACAGGATAAATATAAGATTAGTGATTATAGGTGCACATTTCAAAATAAACCAGGATAAAGTTGGGAGACTATTTTGTAGTTTCTTCCTGATCATATAATTTCATTATTTAATTAACAGTTGTAATTTCTCAAATTAGACATACCATTTCCAAATTATAAGTAAATAACTGACAGGTATTTGAGTATCAATACAGCAATTGCTCTTTTTACTATATAGATCATTACAGCGTTAAATAAATTGTCTTTTTTTTTTTTTTTTTGAGACGGAGTCTCTCACTACCGCCTGGGCTGGAGTGCAATGGCACGATCTAAGCTCACTGCAACCTCCACCTCCCAGGTTCAAGTGATTCTCCCGACTCAGCCTCCTGAGTAGCTGGGATTACAGGCACCTGCCACCATGCCCCGCTAAACTTTTTTTATATTTTTAGTAGAGACAGGGTTTCACTATGTTGGCCAGGCTGGTCTCGAACTCCTGACCTCACGATCCGCCCGCCTCAGTTTACCAATGTGCTGGGATTACAGGCATGAGCCACTATGTCTGGCCTACTATTTGTAATCTATATTCTAAATTAGTTCTTCTAAATCCTAATGTTTCTCCAAATCCTCACTTTGGAAGAAAAGTAAAAGCAAAAAGCAAACACTTAAACGTGAAGCATGATTTTAAAGTGGCTTACAATAAAGCAACCAGAGCAAGTGAGGTCTAAAGATCTCTGAGGGTGCTCAAAAACCCCTTCAGGGGATCCATGAAGTTAAAATTACTTTTACAATACCAAAAAAAATTTATATATTACATACTCATTTTCTCATGTATGTAGAGCTGACTTTTTTTGTTTTTGTTTTTGGAGACAGAATCTCACTCTGTCACAAGGCTGGAGTGCAGTGGCACAATCTTGGCTTACTGCAACCTCTGACTCCCAGGTTCAAGCGATTCTTCTGCCTCAGCCTCCCGAGCAGCTGGGACTATAGGCGTGTACCAACATGCCCGGCTAATTTTTTGTATTTTTAGTAGAGACAAGGTTTCACCATTGTTAGCTGGGATGGTCTCGATCTCCTGACTTCGTGATCCACCCGCCTCGGCCTCCCAAAGTGCTGGGATTACAGGCCTGAGCCACCGCGCCCCGCTGAGCTGAGTTTTCTAGAGGCTTCATGACATGTAATAGTTTTACAGACTGAAAGAGGAAGTAAATGAGAATCTAGCTATGTTCTATTAAGCGAGACATTAAAAAGATTTACAACAATGCAAAAACAATGACACTTTTCTGACTACTTTTTTGCTGTTGGGAAATAGTTATTTTTCATAAAAAATGCTATTATTGGCCCTGCGCAGTGGCTCACACATGTAATTCCAGCACTTTGGGAGGCCGAGGCGGGTGGATCACCTGAGGTCAGGAGTTCAAGACCAGCCTAGCCAACATGGTGAAACCCCATCTCTACTAAAAATACAAAAAATTAGCCAGGCGTGGTGGTGGGCACCTGTAATTCCAGCTACTTGGGAGGCTGAGGCAGGAGAATCGCTTGAACCTGGGAAGCAGAGGTTGCAGTGATCCGAGATCACACTGTTGCACTCTAGCCTGGGCAACAAGAGCAAAACTCCGTCTCAAAAAAAAAAAAAAAAAGCTATTATTATTAACACACAATAGGGCTTATTACATTTTTAATGGATTACATTTTTTGTTTTAATTTCTAATGTAATAAACACTGACAGAAATAACCCACATACGGCCGGATGCAGTGGCTCAGACCTGCAATCCCAGCACTTTGGAAGGCCAAGGCAGGCGGATCACGAGGTCAAGAGATTGAGACCTTCCAGTACTTTGGGAGGCCAAGGTAGACGGATCAAGAGGTCAAGAGACCGAGACCAGCCGGGCGTGGTGGCTCATGCCTGTAATCCCAGCACTTTGGGAGGCTGAGGCAGGCGGATCACAAGGTCAGGATATCAAGACCATCCTGGCTAACACGGTGAAACCCCATCTCTACTAAAAATACAAAAAATTAGCTGGGTGTGGTGGCGGGCACCTGTAGGCCCAGCTACTCGGGAGGCTGAGGCAGGAGAATGGCATGAACCCTGGAGACAGAGCTTGCAGTGAGCCGAGATGGCGCCACTGCACTCCAGCCTGGGCAACAGAGCGAGACTCCATCTCAAAAAAAAAAAAGATCGAGACCATCCTGGCCAACATGATGAAACCCTGTTTCTACTAAAAATACAAAAACTAGCCAGGTGTGGGCTGGGCGCGGTGGCTCACCCCTGTAATCCCAACACTTCGGGAGGCCGAGGAGGGCAGATCACGAGGTCAGGAGATCGAGACCATCCTGGCTAACACGGTGACACTCCGTCTCTACTAAAAATACAAAAAAAATTAGCCGAGCGTGGTGGTGGGCGCCTGTAGTCCCAGCTACTCAGGAGGCTGAGGCAGAAGAATGGCATGAACCTGGGAGGTTCACAAGGCGGGTAACAAAGGGCCCATGAGGCCTGATTAACTGATCTGACAAACCATCTGTCACCCACAGCCCTAAGCCACACTGTGAAACTGCCTAGGGTGGCACCAGCTTTTTATCTTCCTCAGGGTCCTCCCCTCAGGCCCCCAAGTCACCCCATCATGGTCCAGATTCTCCCCTGAGTGACTCCATCCCCATGGTCATTTCCCCTCCTGAGCCTCCCCCTCTGAGGGCCAAGGGCTGTCCTCAGGGCCCTCCTGGGGCTTCCTGGTGGGGAACAACCTGAGGCAGGAGGATAAGCTCTTATTCAGAGCATTGAGAGGAAATTGTGAAGCTTGCAGTGAGCCGAGATTGTGCCACTGTACTCCAGGCTGGGTGACAGAGCGAGACTCTGTCTCAAAAAAAAAAAAAAAAAAAAATTAGCCAGGTGTGGTGTCGGGCACATGTAGTCCCACCTATTCAGGAGGCAGAGACAAGAGAATCACTTGAACCCAGGAGGCAGAGGTTGCAGTGAGCCGAGACTGCACCACTGCATGCCAACCTGGCGAGAGCAAGACTCAGTCTCAAAAAAAAAAAAAGAGAGATTGAGACCATCCTGAACCCCGTCTCTACTAAAAATACAAAAATTAGCTGGGCGTAGTGGTGTGTGCCTGTGGTCCCAGCTACTTGGGAGGCTGAGGCAGGAGAATCGCCTGAACCCGGGAGGCGGAGGTTACAGTGAGCCAAGGTCGTGCCACTGCACTCCAGCCTGGTGACAGAGCAAGACTCCATCTCAAAAAAAAAAAAAAAAAAAAAAAGAAAGAAAGAAAAAAAGGAACCCACATACAAAGATCTTTGATGTCCTTAAGAAAAATGTAAAAGGAACTTGTGACCAAAAAATTTGAGTATACAAAGAACACAAAATAAAACATCCTACATGTTTTCTAAAATAATCTTAAAGTTATGTTAGTTCTTTTAGATACTGCTCTTACCCTACCAATTTAGGACACTATGTACTTTTTCAAGAAAATTACCTACTCCCTGCACTCAGTGAAATGAACTTCTTTCCTTATACCAGATGGGGAAATAAATTAACTTCCAAACAAATGGACAGCCTAAATTAGCAATCAGTAAACTTTTTCTACAAAAGGAGGAGATTACTAATCTGGCTTTACAGGCATACAATCTCTGCTGAAACCACTCAACTCCAACCCTGTAGTATGTAAGCAGCCACAGACAATACATAAACAGAGGCAAGCTGCATTCCAATAAATATTAACAAAATTAGGCAGGGGCCATATTTGGCCCACAAGTTCTAATCAACCCCTGCTCTAAACTAACATCTTTATACAAATCCAAGTGATGTTTTTGTTCAATGGAATTTATTTTCAAAATGGAGACACTGGTTTTCAAAATCAAAATTTAGGAAAAAAGGTAAATCACATAGTTGAGTTATTTTGTTTCTTAGCTAAAACAGTATTTTCTGAAATACCAGTGATGCTAAGTGCTTATACTAGTACATGTGAACCTAGCCATCTGATGACAGATGAACTTTAATTTTCACTAAAGATTATACTATTATAAAAAAATAAAATATGAAATAGCAGTTAGAACATTCATTTTAAGCTTGACTATGACAAAACTGAGTAACCATAAGGCTAATTTTAATCAAGCTTGAACTATAAGAGTTCTCTAAAAAGGAAAGTCATATAAAACCAATTAGAACTTCCCTGTAAAAGAAGAAAAATAAGATTGCCTCCTAGCGGTTCACTGTATTAACTATAACTCCTAGGTACATTATAGAAATAATGATTCAGTGAAGAAGTTTAGAGCAATGAACTTACTGCAAAAAGAAAAACTGCAATTTATACTAAAGCATTCTCCTCAAAGTCTACGCACCTTTCCAGTAATTCTCTATTTTCCTGCACATCTCTAGTGGAAAGCGTAAGAAGCATAAGATTAGCATAGGCCAGCAGTAAGTCTGTATTGGTTGCTCGCCAGTCACTTTTATCAGACTCCAAACACTGTAAAGACTCCAGATATTCCTATTTTGTGGAATGAATAGTAAGTTACAAAACTTAATCAAGTGTTAAGTAATTAACCATTTTATGCCTACAAATTCCTTTTCTCACTCCAACCACATTTGTGAAACTACATTGATTTTTACATCAACCTTATAAATGAAAACACCAAAAATATATACATTTATCATAGTTATCTCCCCAATCTTCCCATTATAAATTTAACTGATCCTGGTAAAAATTTCATTTTATAACTGTTCTACATAAATAAAAGAAATTTAAGTCCTGCGGGGCACTGCTGCTTTAGTACAAAAAGATGTATGCTAATTGCCTACATAGAAATGTAAAGACTCAATAGCTTTTATCTACCTTAAGGGTCTGTACAACACACGAATTCCACTCTAAACTTGAACGCAAAGCTATGTTCCTCTCTGCCTCATGGCAGTGGGCCACAGCATCCTTCAATCTTTTAGTTGAGCGATACAACTCCACTAGCCGGATGTTCACATGGACGTCATCAGGTCTTACATAAAGTTCTGACTGAATCAAGTCAAAAAGTTTATTCCATCCATCTTCACCTTCACAATCTAGAAGCTGTTCCTATTTAGAGAGGAAAAAGAAAAATTATTAGAGTAACACTTGTGCAACTTTAAACAAGTCATGCTCCCAAAAAGCACCATTCCACTATGTCTAGTTTTATGATGATGCCACCAAAAACACCATCCTAAATACCTTATTCGTCCCTTCTGAGAGTTGCTTACAACCCAGAAACTAAGCCTCAAGAACTGTATGTGAAGAAAAGCATCTGTGATTACTGCAGTAGCTCATACTCTCTTCAGAGACTACCAGGACTAATGCCACACATTCCTGTCCATCTGAGTCACCACCAGAAGCCTAGACCTCCCCAGTCAATCCTCAGCAACAAGGTCCTTATGTTCAAACTGCTCTGTATCTCCTTAAATCTGATTCAATCCTGCATCCCCTCTCCTCCCACTGTTCTGTTACCTTTATCATCATCTCAAAGCACTGTCATCACCTCCTGACCTTAAATGAAGACAGTATCATCTCAGGATAACCCCCACTACCATGATGGCTTTTTCTCTCTGAACTTACATACGAGGAGAGGAAGTAGGGTTTGTGGCCACTCGCTTCTCATTTGCGATGCTCTTCCATCAGCCTCTCAAGAAGCTAGGACCATAGGCATGCACCACCATGCCCGGCTAATTTTTTTTTAACGTTCTGTAGAGATGGGGTCTTGCCGTGTTGCCCAGGCTGACTACTCAGTTCCTTAATCACCTCATCTCCAGTGATGTTATCCTCTACTCCAACCTCAACCATCCACTTGCCACTGACACAGGTCTTCAAAATCTGCATTTTGGTCATACCACCGAAACCACCATACCACCCTTCTTATTCTTCCACCTCACTGAGGGCCTACATACCCTTACTTTCAGAAATATACTTCTCCACCATATGACAAGTTCCCTTCAAGACAATAACATCATCAAGTTTTAAACACCTGTAAACACATATAAATACACACACTTTCTTCTGTCAGGCAAAAAATGCTATAATCCCTTATATCCATAATTACTGTTTGCTTACAGATCCCTTCAACTAATTCCCTCTTTTCCTCAGAAGAACCCTCCCAACTGGTTTCTGTGTGCTTAGATTTGGGAAATCATAACCCCAAGCTAACTGATTTCATTTGCATTATCTCAACCATCAAACTGGTGCTGCCTAAAACAAAATACCATTTTAGTACTAACAGACTCACTTTCTCCACTCCCTGACACTTCACACCTCCTCCTATTTCCTCAACTTCCCCATACCTTCCTTTGACCCTCACTTTCAACTTATAACCTAGATTCATCCTTCACTGAGAAACCTGATGCTATCACATATAAATTCCATTTTACCTTACCTACTTAAACTCGTCTTTCCCCAACTCTCAAGACCAAGCCGCCCATTAGTACTCTGTATTTCATTCCCCTCTCTCCTTTATCAATTTCTCCTCTTCTGGATGAGATGGATGAAACCCTGGCCTCTCCCTATTGCAAAAGCCCTAGTCTTTGACTCTATGTTAAACATTTTTTTAAAAACCACTATGAGTGCTTTTAAAAAGTTCTATCTCATACTTGAGAGAAAAAGCCTTCTCAACAGTAATACTCTCATTCATTAAACAAATGTCAGAAACTGTTTACCTTAGCAAGCCTTAAATTTTAGGAGAAATGGAATTACTTTGCATGACAGTTATAAATCTCATGGATTTCAATTCCAAAAAAAAAAAATCTGATACAGGAAAGGTGTAACAGTGCCTTCAAGTTATTAAAGAAAATCTTTAAAGAGTGCTTCAAAGTATCTAACTTGTTACACTGCAAGAAAAGAATCTCCTGCCATTACATATGTTCTTTAACACTACTGACACCAGATTAACTGGATTGCCACGCCCAATATGGGAGTTATGTTTGAGGCATAACACCTAAGAGAGTAAAGAAATCTGCACAATTAGACCTCACGCTTTAGACTAACATTTAAAATCCAGCTGCTTATTACTGGGGAGAAAAACTTATCAGTAATATTTATCTTTGGAAGCATCTTCAATGCTTTTTCAGCTTCAAAAATCTGTACATGATTGTTCATAGCAGTTGAACAATAGCCAAAACCTAGAAATAACCAAAATGCCCCTCAAAAGTGAATGGTTAAGGCTGGGCACAGTGGCTCACACCTGTAATCCCAGCACTTTGGGAGGCCAAAGTGGGTGGATCACCTGAGAACCTGGGAGGCAGAAGTTGCAGTGAGCCGAGGTAGCACCACTGCACTCCAGCATGGGCAACAGAGCAAGACTCTGTCTCAAAAAAAAAAAAAAAAAAAAAAAAAAAAGTGAATGGTTAAATTGTGGACCATGAAATACTACTCAGAAGTAAAGGAACCAACTATGGATATACAAAACTTAATATGGATCACAAATGGTATTATGCTGACTGAACAAGCCAACCTCAAAAGGTCACATGCTTGGCTGGCCGCGGTGGCTCACGCCTGTAATCCTAGCACTTTGGGAGGCTGGGGTGGGCAGATCACAGGAGGTCAGGAGTTCGAGACCAGCCAGTTTCTACTAAAAATACAAAAATAAGCGGGACATGGTAACATGTGCCTGTAGTCCCAGCTACCCGGAAGGCCGAGGCAGGAGAATCGCTTGAACCTGGGAGGCGGAGGTGGCAGTGAGCCGAGATTGCGCCAGTGAACTCCAACCTGGGCAACAGAGCGAGACTCCGTCTCAAAAACAATGAAAAAAGAAAAAAAAAGTCACACATTTCATGATGACATTTACATAACATTTTGAAATCACCAAAGTATAAAGATGGAGAACAGATTAATGGTTGCCAGAGGTCAGGCATAGTGAAGAGAAGTAAATAGCATGACTACAAAAGGGGCAGCATGAGGAAGATCTCTGTGGTAACAGAGTAGTTCTGTATCTTGACGGCAGTGGTGGTATGAATCTACACGTGATAAAATGAAAGAAAACTATACATACACATTGTACCAATGTCAAAATTCCTGATTTTGATACTGTGCTTTGGTCAGGTTAAACAGGTTGAGTATCCCTTATCCAAAATGCTTGAGACCAGAAGTATTTCAGATTTTGAACTTTTTCAGACTTTGGAATATTTGCAGGATACTTAGCAGATAGAGCATCCCAAATCTGAAAATCTGAAATCCAAAATTTTCCAATGAGCATTTCTTTGAGCATCATGTCAGTGCTCAAAAAATTTCAGATTTTGGAGCATTTAGGATTTCGGATTTTAAATGCTCAACCTGTATAAGCATTGGGGAAAAATGAAGTAGCATATAGGATCTTTCTGTGCAAACTTTGCAACTTCCTGTGCAAAAAAATCTATAATTATTTCAAAATTAAAATTTTTTAAATTTCTATCAGAAACATATATGATGGGGGTAGGAGGAAGCTAAAGGCAAATATACATTTATAATTTTATATTGTACACACACAATAAAGTATACATTAATATATAAAACATTACAATATACATTTTAAATGTTTGCCAAACATATTTGTGTAGATTTCTCCAGAACAGTTACTTAGTAAACTATATTTTACTCTATAAAGAATATCAGGACCAGTCAACACACTAGCAAGAACTTCCTACCATTTTTAGTAATTACGTCTTATATACTACAGAAACCACCTTTTATCTTTTGCTTGAAAACCTTACTATCTCAAAATACAATCCCTTCTACTTTCAGACAATAGTTATCAGAAAACTCTTCTTTAAAATATCCCTAAATTGTCATCCTGTAGGTAATTTTCACTTAATGAAGCAAAAATTGTATATCAGACAGAACTTAATGTAAATCTTAGCTCTACTTAGTTTACAGCTACTAAACTGTAAAATCCCTAAAATATTAATTATTCCAGAAGGGTAAATGAGATGTCACTTATAAAGTATAACAATGCCTAATAAGACAGTAGATGCTCAGAAAGGTTTTAATACACTTTTTAAAAGAAAAATGTTAAAGGAAACACAAACACCTGAGCTTAAGGTTTGCTATTGAAAAGTAATTTAAACTCCAAATATTAGAAATGGTTATGTCTTAAGTTTTCTCCCTTTATGTTTTGTTTGTTTACCTTTAGTTTATAAATTGCAGGACTTCCTGGGAAAAGTTTTGCTGCTCTTTCGACCCAGTATTTTGCTCTTCCATCAGTAACATCATTTTTACAAAGCAATTCTGCAATCTTCAACACAAGATCTTTTTGTGTTGGGTTTAATTCCACTGAACGCTAATATCAGAAAAGAAATTAAAGATTAGTAAATAAATTGTATGTATGTATGTAGGAGTATATATACTTATACATAAAGGTTAAAAATTATCACTCCAACCCTTAAAAAATTCTACTTCTAGAGAAAACATGTTACTTTAAAGGTGTTAAAATAAAAGTGTCTTGGAATTTTCTAGAAATGAATCAAATAAAAATTATATTTGTGTCATTTGAATGCAAAAAACACAAAAGAACACCATTTCTGACCGTGTTAGACTTACAATTTATAGGTGTTAAACAATTCTAAATCTGTTCCAAGCTGTGTCACATAATTGTACTATGATACCAATGCCTGTTTTATGATATTTATAAAATATATTTGACTTACTTATATAAATTTCTCTGGGCATCATGTGTTTGGCTATGCAAAGGCTATATTTGAATCCTATAACTTACCCTGTAACATTCAACGGCTTTCTCTGTGTTTTCTTCCAATTCATAAAGAAGACCCAGAAATCTGTGAGCTTTGGGATCCCTCTCTTGCACATTAATGTAAGTACATATGTATCTGTTTTTTAAAAGTAATACAAAAGTAAATTAAACTTAGAACTGTACTTTTAAATGCTAACCGAAGAATACATCTTAAACCAAAGCAACCACTAAACTCGTTTATATTGTTACTCAAAACTACCACTATTTATGCAGATAACTCAAAAGTATTCATAGAAAGAAATGGGTAATACTTAAAAACACGTACATAGAGTTGACCACATACTCATTTTACCATTAAATGTCACATTTACCAAATTTTTCTCCAGTGTTAACCACACATAAGAAATGAACATATAGATTGCTTTTTCTTCCTGATCACATTTTAATAAAGCACTAACAGTTTTGCCAATAAATTAGAAGTGATTATAATAAACATTTTTAAAGTTATCATAATGCAAAATACTAAACAGCAACAATTTCCCAAACAACAAAGGGAAATACATTTACCCTTTAAGCAAGAAAGTAATTTCTAACAGTACTATATCCAGCTAAAATCGAACAGAAGAAAAATTACTAATTACAGTACCAAATACAGGAAATTTCCATTTCTCAAATCAAGTAACAACTAAAATAAGTAAATATCCTCTAGGTTCCTTGACAGTATTACGATCAGAGAAATTAGGCCAGACCTAAACTAAGGGATTAAAGTCTCACAGTAAAAAGGTACAAGAGTTAACAGTCACAGTGCTGCTAGTTACATAATTTATGTACCACCATTTTCCTTTCTTACCAGCATTTCCATCTTCCTTTGGATGCCTTTAAAAGCCTGCCTCCCAGCTGGGAGCAGTAACACACACCTGTAGTCCCAACACTATGGGAGGCCGAGGCAGGCAGACTGCTGTGCTCAGAAGTTCAAGACTAGCCTGGGCAACATAGTGACACCTGTCTCTACCAAAAAATGCAAACCTTAGCCAGGTCCACGTGGTGGTGCGCATCTGTATCCCCAGCTACTTGGGGCGCTGAGGTGGGAAGATCGCTTGAGCCCAGAAGGCAGAGGTTACAGTGAGCAAAGATGGAGCCAGCTGCTGCACTCCAGCCGGAGCAAGAGAGACAGATACTGCCTAAAAAAAAAAAAAAGCCTGCCTCCCTCTTAATTTCCTGCTTTAATCCACTCCCAGCCAGGAAATCAGAATCACCAAGCTTCTTATCCCTAGGATAGAGCCTTACAGCATCACATATTGTGTCAATTAAAGATCTTTTATACAAGCTATTCTCCTGCCTTACAATTACAGTTTAGTTTTTTATTCATTGCTATTTTCCATCTGATTAAGGTATCAGATATCTAACCAAAAACAAATTAAGATATAGGCATGGTCCTCTTTTACTCCAACAGAAGACAATTTTTAGAAAAAGTGTTTTAAGCCAAACAATTTCTTGCCCTTGGTATAAAGCAGCAGCATGCAGAAAACACTAATTGCAGTTTCAATCTCAATGGAATCTAGGCTGGTCCTTAGCATCAGTCTGAGTGATAAATCCCTTATTCCAGAATACACTTAGGAAGAACTACTAAGAACATATTTTTACCTATTTCAAAGAAGAAAATGAGAAAAGGCATTGATTTTAAAAAAAAGAATACATGTTACGGTTTGTACTTACTTTTTAGCAAGATCATATTCTTTAGCTTCATAATACAGCTTTGCAAAATAGAATCCTTTCATTGACTTCTAAAAAAAAATTAAAAGTTGTTTTATGTTTCATACAGAAATATTTTCCAACATTTTTTCAAAAGTAGTTAAAGCCTGACAAATGCATAATTCCATGTTTTATAATTTCCTACCACAAAACAAAAAATAGAGCTGGGTGCAGCGGCTCATGCCTGTAATCCCAGCACTTTGGGAGGCCGAAGTGGGCGGATCACCTGAGGTCAGGAGTTTGAGACCAGCCTGGCTAACATGGTGAAACCCCGTCTCTACAAAAATAGAAAAATTAGCCAGGCATGATGGCGGGTGCCTGTAATCCCAGCTACTCAGGAGGCTAAGGCACAAAAATCAGTTGAACCCAGGAGGTGGAGGTTGCAGTGAGCCAGAGGTTGCAGTCAGCTGAGATCGTGCCATTGCACTCCAGCCTGGGCGACAGAGACTCCATCTCCCAAACATCATCATCATCATCATCATCATCATCATCATAAATAAGCTGGGTGCAGTTGGTCACACCTTTAATTCTATTTAATTCTAGCACTTTCAGAGACCAAGGTGGGAGGCTAGCTTTGAGGCCAAGAGTTTGAAACCAGCCTGTGCAACACAACAAGATCCTGTCTCCAGGGGGAAAAAAATAGCCAGGCATAGTGGAGCATGCCTGTGTTCCTAGCTACTCAGGAGGCCAAGGAAGGAGAATCACTTGAGCCCAGGAGGTTGACACTGCCGTGAGTTATGACTGTGACACTGCACTCCAGCCTGGGTGACACAGGGAGATCCTCTCTCTAAATAATAAATACATAACATACAAAAAATAAATTCAAGAAAGCAAGACAAGCAGACAACAGAAGTTAAGAATTTTCATCAGCCTTGGAAATCTCGGAAACCCTGTGGTACCACTCTCTCACTTAACAAACAAAAGAAACCAGCTTTCTTTGGGGAGGAAAGGTATTCCAGAAATCTCTTCTCCTACCATGTGTAAGCCTCTATGGGAAAGAATAAATAAGTACTTAGGATCTATTAAGGCACTGAGGATTCCCGGGTCCATGTACTGTTCTCTCTACAGATCAGATCAGTATTTTACAGTCAAGGAGTCAAAAAGGCAGAAATAAATATTGAATTCTTCAAGTAATAAACGAGGTCCACAGCCTGGATCCTTGGTTACATAAACTCCAAAGTCCAAAATGCTGATGCACACCAGGCTGGGTGCGGTGGCTCACACCTGTAATCCCAGCACTTTCGGAGACTGAGGCGGGTGGATCACTTGAAGCCAAGAGTTCGAGACCAGCCTGGCCAACATACAGAAACCTCCTTTCTACTAAAAATACAAAAATTAGCTGGGCATGGTGGCACACGCCTGTAATCCCCGCTGCTTGGGAGGCTGAGGCAAAGAATCACTTGAACCCGGGAGGCAGAGGCTGCAGTGGGCCAAGATCGCACCACTGAACTCCAACCTGGGCAACAGAATGATTCCATCTCAAAAAAAAAAAAAAAAAAATGCTGATACAACCAGAGTATGTTCCATCCATGTGATAGAGTATACAGCTACTCAAACATCTTATTTTTGAAATTCCAAGACCCCAGTGAATGTCCAAAACGATGAATAGTACCAAACCAGGTTGCCATCAATCGAAACATGTTTCCTGTTTGTGTCCTCCACCCACAAATTTAATGTCTTGTCCATCTCAACTAAGCACTTATCACACACTGTGGCTGTAACTTTTGCAGTTTGGGGTGTCACAACAAAACTAGCACAAATTTCTTTTTCCTTCTTCACAATTTCATGGACAAAAGATTTGTTCTTACCATAGATCTCAGCAACCCCAGTATATGATCTTTTTTCTTTCCTAAGTCAAAAACTCACCTCTTCACTTAAAGGAAGCACTATATGGCTTCTCTCTGGCATATGTGAACTGCCAGCATCGCTATTCTTGCTCTTTGGTGCCATTTTAAATAAAATAAAGGTCACTTGAACACAAGCACTGCAATACTCCAACAACTGATCTGATAACTGAGGTGGCTAGTATGTAACTAGCGGGTGGGGAGCACATACAGCATGAATATGTTGGACAAAGGGATGATTCGTGTCCTGGGTAGGACGGAGCAGGAGGCCGTGAGATTTTTATCATGTTATTCAGACCTGTTTGCAATTTAAAACTCATGAAATGTTTATTTATATAATCTTCCATTCAATATTTTTGGACCACGGGTGACGCAGGTAAGTAAAACCACGTAAGGCAATACTGTGGATAAGAAGGGACTACTGTACCAGCAACGAACAATCAGAAAATGAAATTAAGAAAGCAATTCCATTTACAATCGCATCTAAAAGAAAAAAATGCCTGGGAATAAATGTAAACAAGGAGGTGAGAGACTTGTATGCTTAAATTACAAAACCTTGCTCAATGCCAGGCTAACACCTGCAATCCCAGCACTGGCGACAGAGCAAGACTCCGTCTCAAAAAAAAAAAGAACTATAGCAATCTTAACAAAAATAATACACAACAGTCAGGACAGCACATAAAGGAACAAGTCCTGTTCCCCCCTTCCTTTTTTTTTTTTTTTTTGAGATGGAGTCTTGCTCTGTCGCCAGGCTGGAGTGCGGTGGCTCGATCTCAGCTCACTGCAACCTCTGCGTCCCGGGTACAAGCTGGGACTACAGGCGCACGCCACCATGCCCAGCTAATTTTTGTATTTTCAGTAGAGATGGGGTTTCACCATGTTGGCCAAGATGGTGTCGATCTCTCGACCTTGTGATCTGACTTCTTCCGCCTCCCAAAGTGCTGGGATTACAGGCATCAGCCACCGAGCCCGGCCAGTTCCCCCTTTTCAAAATGAAGAAATAGATTCAAGGTACAATGCCAAAACATAATAGAAAAATAATTCCATTACCTTCTTTGCTTCCAACTATGTTAAAACATAATAGAAAAATAATTCCATTACCTTCTTTGCTTCCAACTATGTTATTAAAGTAGACAATCTTAAGATAATTAAACAACTTTACAAATTATTCTTCTATATGATCTTTTGCCTCTAACCTGCTCACTTTACAAGGGAACTGAAGCTCAAGCAGACAAATGCCTTGTTTAAAGATATACAGCTAGAAAGGAGCACAGCCCATGTTATGTAAACAGGACAATATCTGATGCAAGCAGTACTTCTTTACATGACAGCAGATGTCACTATAAGCAAATACCTGAATTCACTTAAGCTGCCAAATATCAAGAACTGATGCAGGGCTGAAAACAGGAACAGTAAGACCCTAAGAGATGCCACATCATCGCTATCTTGCACAGTAAGATAGAGATGTAATTGTAATTGTCCAAAACTTAATATTTGTGGCCTACTTTTTCATTATGCAGTTCTAAATTTCTCTCTTTTTTTTTTAATTCAAACGGAGTCTCACCCTGTCGCCCATCTTGCACAGTCAAATGAATCTCCCTCCCCCTAAAATCCTCCAAAAAAGCTGCTGTTCTCAACAAACCCATCTGATCAGCTCCAAATCTGTGGAGTCCCAACAAGGGTGAAGGCCGTGATTATACAGGACAATGAGGAAAAGTCTAGATACTGAACCATGAGTTCCCCAATCTTCTTCCCCTGGAACATAAGGGTAAGGAAATCTCTCAAAAGGCAGAACAAACAAAAGAGGAGAATAAGAGAAAAATTAGAGAAACTCCAGCTTTCAGGTAAACATCATTAAAAAAAAGGGTAAGAAATGGTCAAAGAAATAATACAAGAAATGCTACAGAACTGAAAGAAATGAGTTTCCCAATTGAAAGGACACTTCCAGAAAACCTTTAAGTTACCAAGAACAAGAATCTCATGGGACTCCTAACAACAGAACTTCTAGAAAATGGAGCAATGCTTTCAAAATTGCAAAAAAAATTATTTGAAACTCAGAATTCGATAACCAAATGATCAACTAAATTAAGTAAAGATGTTTTAAAGACATACCATTAGTTTCTAGACCAGCCTGACCAGTATGGTGAAATCCCATCTCTACTAAAAATAGAAAAAATTAGCCGGGCATGGTGGCGCACACCTGTAATCCCGCTACTCGGGAGGCTGAGGCAGGAGAATCACTTGAACCTGGGAGGCGGAGGTTGCGGTGAGCTGAGACCATGCCACTGCACTCCAGCCTGGGCAACAGAGCAAGACTCTGTCCCATAACAAAAACAAACAAAAAAACCTCTCATCCACTTTTCCTCAAAGCAAGTGAGACTATGCTACACCAAAACAAAGAAAGTAAATGAAGAGGACATGAGATACAAGAAACAAAGGGTCTAACTCAGAAAAAAGATGAAGGGAATTCTCAAACTGGTGATAAAGGGAAGTCCCAAGAGCACAGCTGTGTAGCAAAGAGGAAGAAAAACCAATCCGGGTTGGAGAAGTTGGTTAGTAAGGGTATTCCAGGTAGACAGACAATCAATCAATCAATCAATGTTTTAAGCTGAAATTGATGGGATTATGTGACCAGTTTGACCACATTTGAGGGTTTAAATTGCTGAGTTTAAGTAAGCAAGTAGTAACACAACATACAAGCAAACCAAAAAATAAAGCAATTATTCAGTCCAGGAAAACGTGGGTGCAGCACACCAGCATGGCACATGTATACATATGTAACTAACCTGCACAATGTGCACATGTACCCTAAAACTTAAAGTATAATAAAAAAAACAACAAAAAACTGCACAACAAGGGCAATTCAAATGCAAAAATATTTACCTTCTATTTATATAAATGTTAACTATTCATTTAAACAAAAACTGCAGTAACAGTACTGAAAGAATGAGGGGCAAACCAAAGTGTCTGAGGACAGTTTTGGAGGAGCATAATAGCCAGTACAGAATGTCTAAAATGGGGCCGGGCGCGGTGGCTCACGCCTGTAATCCCAGCACTTTGGGAGGCTGAGGCGGGCGGATCATGAGGTCAGGAGATTGAGACTATCCTGGCTAACACGGTGAAACTCCGTCTCTACTAAAAATGCTAAAAAATTAGCCGAGTGTTGTGGCGGGTGCCTGTAGTCCCAGCTACAGGCTGGGGCAGGAGAATGGCGTGAACCCCGGAGGCAGAGTTTGCAGTGAGCCGAGATCGCGACACTGCACTCCAGCCTGGACGATAGAGCCAGACTCCGTCTCAAAAAAAAAAAAAAAAAAAAAAGAAAAGAAAAGAAAATGTCTAAAATGGGAGAAAGGGAATTAAAAATAACAAAAGTATATATGTGTGTTACTCAGAAGTATGAAGTATAGATGTAAAGGGCAGAAAAAACAACTAACAGCTGTCAAAGGTGCCTGCCTGTAGTCCTAAGTACTCAGGAAACAGAGGTAGGAGGATCATTTACGCCCAAAAATTTGATGAGCAACACAGCAAGACCCTATTCTAAAAAACAAATAAATAAAAATAAGAGCTGTCAAGTAGACTTTGAGAAGTAGGAATCAGCTGCAGAATAAGAAATCGACTTGACAGAACATAGAAAAACTAAACAGAAGCCATCGGGAAAAAGAAAAACTAGAGAAAGAATTATATTTTTTTCCTTTTTTCTTTTTTGGAGACAGAGTCTCGCTCTGTCACACAGGCTGGAGTGCAGTGGCGCAATCTCTGCTCACCACAACCTCTGCCTCCAGGGTTCAAGCAATTCTCCTGTCTCAGCCTACCGAGTAGGTGGGACTACAGGCGCTGCCACCACGCCCGGCTCATTTTTGTATTTTTAATAGAGACAGATTTTCACCATATTGGTCAGGCTGGTCTCTCGGCCTCCCAAAGTGCTCGGATTACAGACGAAGAATATTTTTAAGAAGGGCAAAAGCACATGTGAGGGAGTAGAAAAATGGCAAAACAAGAGAAGACTAACAAATGAAAGCACAATGGAAGACTAGAAAGATATGATATACAGACGCATCATCACACACCAAAACTCCGACATTCTAGAAGGCATGGGCAGTTCACAGATGGCCAGCCTCTGCCAAACTGGGGGAGAATACTAACCTCTTCATATTCTTCACAGCCACTGCCTCTTCTCCCTCCATTCTTTACCTTCTATCCAAAGCACCCTGTTTTGTCATTTCACTCAAACCTAACTTTACAGAATAGCTTCACATGTTCCAGTTACTCACTAGTTAATCCATATTCCGCTGAAATCCCCAGGTTCTAATGTAAATGACTTTAAATTTGGGGGGGAAAAAAAGACTCTAAGTGTAAGAGAGGTGGTCATAATAACCAATCGTCAAAATGTTGCTACCACTCCACTTTATTTAATGGAGAAGTTATGTAGTTGAAAGAACATTCTGACTTCTGTCTAGACCAGTGGTTTTTAATCTTTTGGAAGCCAAGGTCCCCACTAAGAATCTCAGAAAGGCTCTAAGGTTGCTTTTTTTTTTTTTTAAGCTTGTTTAAAAAAAAAATCAGGCTGAGCAGAGTGGCTCACACCTGTAATCTCAGCACTTGGGGCCAAGGCGGGAGGATCACTTGAGCCCAGGAGTTGGAGACCAGCCTGGGTAACATGGTAAGACCCCGTCTCTACATTAAAGAAAAAAGCCGGGCATGGTGGCGCATGCCTGTAGTCTCAGCTACCCAGGAGGCTAAGGTGGGAGGACGGATTGAGCCCAGGACGTCAACGCTGCAGTGAGCCACGATCCCGCCACAGCACTCCAGCCTGGGAGACAGAAAGAGACCTTGTCTCAAAAACAAAATAATGGCCGGTGCAGTGGCTCACGCCTATAATCCCAACACTTTGGGAAGTGGAGGCGGGGAAATCACTTGAGCCCAGGAGTTCAAGAACAGCCTGGGCAACATGGTGAAACCCAGTCTCTACCAAAAATACAAAACAAAACAAAACAGCGGGTGTGGTGGGTACACCTGTGGTCCCAACTACTCGGGAGACTGAGGTGGGAGGATCGCTTGAGCTGGGGAGGCGGAAGCTGCAGTGAGTCGAGATAGTGCCACTGCATCCAGCTGGGTGACAGAGTGAGACCCCACCTCAAAAAAAATAAAATAACACAAAAATTAAAGTCTTTAATTTCAGGAGTTACAGGAACCCTCAATTAAGGTCTGTTTTAGACTCTTACCATCACATTCATATTTATACTATGCTAGCAGTTTGAAATTACAACGTACAAGTAGATATCTATCCTTCTCTGGAGGAATAGACTGTAACTTACTGCACTGTTCCCAAGAGAAACTAAATCAGACCCACTGCCAAAATTCTGCTGCACTACCCATTTGACCCTGAACAAGTATCTTAAATCTCTACAGGTCTCAATATCCACAGGGTTGCTGGAAGCGCAAAATAAGATAACCTATGCTTAGTTATGATAAGAGACACAATTATGCTACTATTATAATCATGGTCATCCGTGAGTTTCTGGTTTTTTTTTTTTTTTTCTGGAGTCTCCCTCTGTCGCCCAGGCTGGAGTGCAGTAGCGCGATCTCGGCTCACTAGAACCTCCGCCTCCCGGGTTCAAGCGACTCTCCTGCCTCAGCCTCCCAGGTAGCTGGGACTACAGGCGTGCGCCACCACGTCCGGCTAACTTTATTTGTATTTTTAGTAGAGACAAGGTTTCAACATGTTAGCCAGGCTGGTCTCGAACTCCTGACCTCAGGCAATCCGCCCTCCTCGGCCTCCCAAAGTGGTGGGATTACAGGCGTGAGCCACTGCGCCCGGCCAATATCCTTTTAACATCAACAATAAAAAGTGACTTGTAGCTAACATTTAGTGCTATGTGTCAAGCAATAACCTAAATGTTTAAAATGGATCATCCTATCAAATTCTATCAATGTTACAACTCCATCTATGGATGAAAAGTGTAAGTGGCCCCAAATACCCAGCTTATAAACGACAGTGCTGTGATTATTCAAGCCAAAGCAAACTGACTCAAGATTCTGCGCACATCCACCTTTAATAGCTTCTTCCGTCACTCTTTAGATCCAATGACTAAAGTCTTATTGAATCCAAAATAGATCACATTATTTACCTGTAAAGAGGAAAAATACCCTAAAAACACTTGTGGAAAAGGTTAAAAATTGTAAGCCATACTAACGATTTGTAAGAACTTTAGAATTTTTTTTTTTTAAGCAAAGGCAGCTACCAAAGTGTTCCGGGCGGGGAGGGGGGCGAGGGAGGTGAGTATGAGGAGTGGAGTGGAGCTGGACCCTTACAAAGGGACAGCGACAAACACCTCATACTCAAAACAAGGGGACTTTCCGTGTCATTTGTGCCATCGGGCCATTGCAAATGTCCACGCTGAGATGCCTACCTTGTCACTCGACGCAGCCGCCAAAGCTCACCCGGAGCTGCGTCAGTCCCCACTGGGTTCCTCCAGGCCAAGGAGGTACGACCTCCGCCGCGGCATATAAAGTAAATGTCCAGGACATGGGAAGAAACCCGCCGATACAGCACCCGGGTGCCCAAGCCCCCGAGAACTAGGCCGCGCGGGTACTACGGGGCCAGAAAGCCCGGGCCAGGGCGAGCCCACGAGCGAGCACCGTCGGGAACAAACCGGGAGAAAGAGGAAGAGCCGGCGCCAAAGGTCTCCCGCCCGCCGCGGTCCCCCCAGGACTCTTCCTGCGCTTGCAAGCGCCACGCCGCCCACAGGACTGCGCTAGCCGGCCTCCGCCTCAACAGAGCGCGCCAGGGAGCAGCGCCCTCGGGAGCCATGACCCCTGACCCATCGAGGCCGCCGCCGGGCCGGGTCGAGGCCGCCGCCTCAACAGAGCGCGCCAGGGAGCAGCGCCCTCGGGAGCCATGACCCCTGACCCATCGAGGCCGCCCCCGGGCCGGGTCGAGGCCGCCGCCTCAACAGAGCGCGCCAGGGAGCAGCGCCCTCGGGAGCCATGACCCCTGACCCATCGAGGCCGCCGCCGGGCCGGGTCGAGGCCGCCGCCTCAACAGAGCGCGCCAGGGAGCAGCGCCCGTCGGGAGCCATGACCCCTGACCCATCGAGGCCGCCGCCGGGCCGGGTGGAGGCCGCCGCCTCAACAGAGCGCGCCAGGGAGCAGCGCCCGTCGGGAGCCATGACCCCTGACCCATCGAGGCCGCCGCCGGGCCGGGTCGAGGCCGCCGCCGCCCGGCCGGGTCGAGGCCGCCGCTCTCTTCCAGACCCACTCACCTGTCGAGGCGACGGGGTGAGACCCAGCACCGAGGCGACGTACCGCTCCACATCGGCCTTGCTGCGCCTCATCGCGCCGCCAACCTGGCTCCCGAGACGCGTGCGAGCACCGCTCAGCCCCGCAGCAGTCGCCACTTCCAAGAGGAAAGTGCCTGCAAGCCACTGAAGCAGCGGCGTAGCCGGCGGAGGCCCACTGTGACGAGCGTGCGGCGCCGCCCACGGAGGCCCACTGTGACGAACCTGCGTTCTGCCTCAGCACTGTGTATCCTCGGGGACGTCGGCGCTCCAGCTGCACTCGGCCGGGCTGGTGGCGCCGCCCTGTGGTCTGAGGGTGTCTTGACATGATCTTATCTATAGAAAACCTTAATGAAAGCTCAAAAAAAAAAAAAAAAAGACAAACCATCAGTGATAATAAATGAGTTCAAAGAGATTGTACCATACGAGGTCAACTAAAAAAAATGAGATGTCTACTTATACACCAGCAAGGAACAATTCAAGTAAAATTAAGTAAACAATTCCATTTATAATATTATCAAAAATAATAAAATAATTATGAATAAATTTAACCCAAAAGTGTAAGACTTGTAGACTGGAAACTACAGAACACTGTTGAAAGAAAAGCAAGTGATTCATCCCCCGGTGCCAAACAGCAGACGCAGGTGTTACCAGTCTGGTGGGGCGCCCGAGCTGGGGACCTGGGGTCCTCTGGGAGGGGCAAGAAGGCAGCGATGCTGGCCCCCGCCTCCATCTGCCCATCCCATCTGCATCCACACACCGCCCTGCGGTAGCTGCTTGCAGCCCTTCTCTGTCAGTTTCTCCATTATCTTCTGGTTTGGTGATAAATGAGAGTTCCCATCGGGGGTGCCACCCTCTGTGTGACGGGGAGCAGAGAAGACCCTGCATCTGAGTCCTTCTGGGGGAAGAGCGAAAATGCTGGGACCAGCCCCAGCTGTCAGGGGGTCTCCAATCCCAGCAGGGAGGCCCCACGCATGGCTAGGATGCCCCAGACCCCAGGGACTGCACGAAGTGGAAAGGAGGGCCCCCGGTCCTAACTAAGGGTTCAGACCCCCGCAACACACATCCAGGCACACCCCCACCCCCTAGGCCTGGTTCTAGGTCTGCCAGCTCCGAGAAGGCCCCTAACAATGGTGCAGTCGCAGGGGCTGTGTCCCAGGCCGGGCTCACGCCCAGTCCCGCTGCCCCGGGGGTAGATGGGGCCCCTGGCCCGCGCGCTGTGGAGCCCTGGAGTGTCTGTGCGCCCCTTCCTTGGAGGGCAGCCGCTGAGGGGCTGCTGCGGGACTGGGGAGCCTCCTGGCAGCAAGCGCTCCCAATGCGTAGCGGGACGCTGTGATGGGGACAAGATCCTGGCTTTGAAGAAAGCCCTTTCCACCCTGTCCATGTGGGGGTCTCCCGGTGCCCCTGAGCCAGCGGCCCCCTCCTGCAGGCTCCGGAGGACTCCCCTGCCTGCATCTGGTCTCGCATTTCCTCCGTGACCTCCAAGCTCCCACTGGGGGCACACGGCTGCCCTGCTGACCCCAACTCTGGCCCTGTGCCGGTGGTGGGCAGCATCTGGCACGGGGGAGGCGCCGTTTCTTCCACACTCGCGCGTCCTCAGCCCAGATCATCCGGTGAAGTTTCCCCAGCAAGTGGCTCCCCCTGCCCCCTCCACCCTGCCAAGTGTGGTCCCTGGGCCCCCGCCTTCCCTTCTCGGCCTCTGCCCCTGGGTCTGGGGCCTGCATCCAGCCATCCACGCTCAGGGAGGCCACCTCCTCCCTCGCTCTCGACCACCACAAAGCTGCCCGGGACCTTGTTCTATCCTTTCCAAAAGTCCTCAGGACCTGCCTGTCTACGGAGCTCCCAAAACGCCCTGTGAGCTCTCCCGGGCCCCTCCTCTCCTTGCTAATAATGTCCCACACGGTGCTGCCTGCCTGGCCCCAAAAGAAAAGGACCCTGGAGTGAGTTCTGAACACAAACTCGATGAAAGTGGCCCCCTGCTCCACCTGCCGAGTCGGCCCCTCCTCAGACTCTCCCCTTGGGCAGGGAAACCTGCCGGGGCCTGACTGTTTCTTCCTGAAACAGCCTCAGGCTGGAAGGAGAGGGATCCACCCTTGGCCATTGAAGCATTCAGCAGGAATCAGCCCTCGGGGACCAAGACCCTGTGACCAGCCCCGCCCCACAGGCGCCGGTCCTGGGCAGCCTCCCTTGCTCAGGCCACGCTGCTCCCAAGAAGCCAGGATGAGCAGCTCGCAATAGGCCCCCCAACACGCAGAGTGCCACGCGGAGGACGGGGGCACCCCAGAAAACTGCAGACACTGCATGTCCTCTGGGAGCCCCGGCCCTGGGAGACGATGTGCAGTGGCTCCAGCTCTGACCTCATGAGCCCAAGCTCCGCTACACACTGGGTCCTGACCTGACCTGGGTCCCTGGGGCTCTCCGGCCAGGCCTCTCCCGGTGCCTCCCGCCCCTGAGGCCGCCACCCAGCATCCAGGCCCCTGTGTAGTCATCCCCTCTTCAGGAATCTGGGTCATGGCTGCAGGATAGGGGCTACCCAGAGCAGGATGTGGAGGGAGGGGCCGCAAAAGCTGGAGAGAATCTACAAGGCACTATTTAGCCACCTGCCCTTGATTCTAATTCTCAGTGACGAGATTCTTTGCTTGGCCAAACTCTATCAGGCCCTTGAACCTTCTAGGCCACCTGCACACTTCCTTGCAAAATCCGGTTTTAGCAAGAACACTGCTAAGTGACTTCAGCCAGAACTGCCCCGCCCCGTATCTGATCATCCTCGTCAGGGCAGCCTGCTCGTCCTCGGGCACCCAGGTGATGACGAATGACCCTGCCTCCCTTCAGCCAGAACCCCCCACCCCTGCTGTTTGTTCTTAGTGATGTTCCATCCGAGGACCCCACTCTGCTCCTGGGCTATCAAATCCCACTTGCTGGAGCCATATTCAGAGTGGAGCCTAAATCTCTCTCCACCACTGCAAAATCCCACTGCCCTGGTCCCAGCACCCACCGCACTGGTCCTGAGTAGTCCGCTTCCAGTCTTTAGCAAACATCATTGAATAAATCTCCTTTCATGTCAGGCACACCCTTAAATGCAGACACGTGTGTCCTGGGAGGATTACCAACACTCCCCCGGCCCTGCACATCAGCTGTGGAAGGTGAGATTGGGAAGTGCTGGCCTCCTCGCCAAGGCTTCAGCCTCCATTTCTGCTTTTCAGGTCATGTTCGAACACTGGGGGTCCCAGGAGACCCACCCAGACCAGGCCCCTCTCAGGGTGGGAAGAGCGTGGAGCAAGAGGAGGAGGCTCGGCCCAGAACGTTGGCCACAGGCTGACCCGTGCAGGGGGCAAGGGCTTAAGACGGCCCCATCTTCCACTCCAAGTGTGGTCTCAATCTTGTTGGCCAGTTTATGAAAGTCAAGCCTATTGACTCAGTCAGGGTCTTGGCAGGAAGGAGGCCAGGGCGCAGACAGAGATAGGGATCGCTCCAGGGGTGTGTGGCCCCGGGCTGTGGGGTAGTCCTGGAGCACCTCCACCCCAGCCTGCAGAACACCCAGGCGGAGCAGGAGCAGAGCTGGGCTGTGTAGGGGTTAGGGGACACGGCCAGCCCGCAACCCCAGCTCCCCTCCATCTGCCTCCAGTTTCCAGCCAGGGCCCCCTCTGCCAAACCTGGCCCAAGGCAGGGGCCAGGGCTCTGTCTACTGGGGCCACAGGGAGGGTGGGGAGGGGGCCGGAGCTTCCAGGGCAAGGGAAGGGGCCACCCCCACCCCGTCACGCGCATAGAGGAGGAGGAGGAGCCCACACTGCCCCAGTGTCCACCCCACGCCTACACCAGCCCCACATGAGCTCGGGGGTCTCTGGGGGTCAGTGTCTGTAGCTACAGATGTGAGCATGCATGCGGGTGTGCAGGACCTTTGACCGCAGCCTCCCATGCACCCCTGGAAAGGTGCCTTGCCTCTCTCCCTCACTCGCCATGTGCAGGGCAGTGGGCGAGTCCCAGCCAGCATGGGCACCCCGCATTTCTCTGCTTCTGCAGCCCCGACTGACCAAGGCCCCCCAAGTGGGCTCCAGCCCTCCAGGCACCTCCCCGTGCCGTGGTGCCCGCCACAGGGCCTGGTCTCAGGGCTCCTCCAGGACTGGCCAAGTCCCCAGGCTCCTCCCCCGCCCACGGGGGGCGAGGTGCACAGCACTGACGGGCCCCTGGGCCACTCATCTGAACTCTTGAGTCCTCCTAGAGCGGTGATCCCAGCCGGGCAGTTAGCTTGAGCAAGCCGAGTACTTACAGAACGTCACCAAACACAAGGTCCCAGCCCACATTCCATGACCTCAGCACTGCTGACGACGTCCTCCTGAGTCCATGAACTTCTTGACGGTTCTCATGGCCTCCTCTGGGAAGTCAGGCAGGGTTCTATGCAGGAGCCGACCCTCACAGGGCTACCACAGGCCTGTGCGGACCCCAAGAGCCAGGAAGCCGCCTGCCGATGGTCCCTCTTAGGGACTGGATCGCGGGCAGCTCAGACGGCACAGAGTGCTTTCCTCCTTTGGAAATTAAAGACAGCACATGCTCATTTATCTCACACTCTTTTGTAAGAATTACAAATTAACTCGTATTAATACTAAGAGTATTAATTATCGCTAATTAGAAATAAGCTGAGAAAGATAAAGTACTATACAAATGTTGGCCGCTGAATGGCTACAGGGACACATGAAGTCAAAACAGTATCAGGTCTTTCTATGTCTGCGGCAGAATGCCAAAGCCCTGACACACACCCTTTTAGCAGCTTTAAGTCACTTCTGCAAGTGAGTACTAGGAGATCGTCCCTTACTCCTGATCTCTGCTCTCAGGGGGCCACTTCAGCATAAGCCTTCCACCCTCCACAGATAACCTCAGGTTCTCCTCAAGCCTCTAGATCTTATTTGACATTTTATTACAGGTAGCAACTTCTCGTGGCCTGTTCTTCCTCTTCAAAGCACATTACTCTGACCTCTGTTTCCATCCTCACATTCCTTTCTCCTCTTTCTGATCCTCCTACATCCCTCTTATAAGGACGATTGTGACTCCCTCGGGCCCCCAGATCATCCAGGATCATCTCCCATCTAAAGGTTCTTAACCATATTTGCAAAGTCCGTTTGCCATGTAAGTAACATATTCACAGGTTTTGGGGATTAGGATCTGGACATATTTGGGGGCCATTATTCAGCCCACCACATGTCCTTCTTACACGCCTCCATCCTTTCTTTTCCTTCTGGTGCTACAAGATGTTCCAGCCTTATTTTGTGTATTCCTGGCTCCAGACCTAGAATTTCTCAGGCGTTTCTCCAGAAATACTGGGGTGTCACTGCTTCTAGGGCTTCTCAGAAGACAGAGCGAAAAAATATAGCTAAACACAGATTAGTGTATTATACATGTGTATACATAGACACGCACACATTCATACTGATACCTCCCACTCTACTCCACAGGGCTTATTCTAACTTCCCCCCTTGCTTATTTGTAACTTTTTTCTCTGAGAGTGAGACTCCGACTTTCATTATCTACAACATATTTATGTATTTATTATACTTGTAGTTTCAAAATTACTGAGAAACAAATTTACTACCTAGAATACTGTGTTAATATACAATTTTCTTTAGTTTTACAGTATCCAGTCAAAAGGCTGTCTTCCAAAGTTGCTTAGGTCAGCTCCTTCTCCATGCAACTCTTTCAGTGAGGCTGTATCATGCGTTTGTAATATTGTTAGATTCATTTGTTATAGCCTGCTTTCTCCACAGGACTTCCTAACAGCCTATTTCTTTTCTTTTTTTTTTTTTTTTGAGATGGAGTCTTGCTCTGTCACCAGGCTGGAGTGCAATGGCACTATCTTGGCTCACTTGCAGCCTCCGCCTCCTGGGTTCAAGCGATTCTCCTGCCTCAGCCTCCGGAGTAGCTGGGACTACAGGCGCCCGCCACCACGCCCAGCTAATTTTTGTATTTTTAGTAGAGATGGGGTTTCACCATGCTGGCCAGGCTGGTCTTGAACTCCCGACCTCAGGCGATCCACCTGCCTCCGCCTCCCAAAATGCTGAGTTTACAGGCATGAGCCACCCGTCCGGCCAGCCTGGTTCATTTTTCAAATTTGCGTGCACTAAAGTCCACTCTTTGTGGTGTACAGATCCATGTGTAGTTGTGTGTTTCTGGGCTTTTTATTCTGTTCCAGTGGTCAATCTGTCTCTTCATATGACAGTATCACACACTTTCCTAAAAGAGGATCTAGAAGTGTTTTTAATACCTGACAAGCTATTCTCTCGCTCTCCATAGCTTTTTATTCCAGGGTTCTCCTAGTTGTTCTTATGTTTAATTTTTTTCATATGGACTTTGGTATCAACTTTTCAAACTCCATTTAAAAAAGAAAGCTTGTGGAATTTTTATAGGATTGCACTAAATTGATGGTGTTGCTAAGATTCAAACATAGGCAGTTTGCTCCAACACCTACATGAAGTTTTGGGCGAAAAAGAAAAAAGTAACATTTTTGTAGTGGTATTCAGTTTTTATTAATAGAGTTCGGTTTTGTTGTTATAACTAGGCTACTTTGTATTAACCCTGGAATTGAAACTTATTATGAAAATAATTTGCATGTAGGTTTACTAATAAAGAATCAGGCTCAAATGCACTAAAAGACAGACATGAAAATTGTGTTTAGACTACTCTGAAAATTCTTATCCCTATAATAGAAAATAATTCATCTGTGAAATGAAATAATAATCTAGAAACCCTCTGATGGCACGTAGAACTTGTTCTCAGTGGAAAACTCAGTCAACTAATTCTCAAATGTTTGCATACTTAAATTATACCCCAAGTAATAAATAACAACTTATTAAATAAATTTGCTTTGTGTCTTTGTGTCTTATTAATTTTTTTCTCATCTGACTTCTTTCCAAAAGCACTTAAAAAGATTATAATAAGTCTCTAGTTACACTTTCCTTCTTCTGCAAATTTGTCAGAGTGAAAATTTATTGTGTTCTTTGAAAGAATTACCTTTTGACCGCTTGCACGAAGTCTTCACAAGCTTTCGCCAATTCCTCAGCCATCTTCTCCAACGAGGCAAATACTTCATTCTCCACTTCTTTCCTCTCCATTGAGATGAGCAGATGGCAAAGCTGAACGATCATTGGTGAGATGATTCTCTCAATGCCTTTGTTCTGTATCACAGAGCTGATGTCATCCAAGAGGAAAGACTCCATCTCTCTTAGTCTGTGAACAGAAGTTACAACACAGTTTAACTCACACTGACTGACATGTAAACCTACTTCTCTTTGACTTGATGTTCATCTAATTTTACTTCTATCATGAGAAAGAAATCTGCAAAATATCAAAGGGATAAGTTGGGGGAGATATTTTTAGGACCTCACAAGTATGGGATAGGTTGTGGCTTAGCAGAAACATTAAAAAATGGGACAAAGGCACAATGAGATAGATTCAGAGGTTCAAACAATGGCGAATGGACTCACAAACTATATGAAATAGAGGCAGTTTAAGAAATGGTTAATTGACAAAGAAACATTGAACTTAAATAGGACTTTACAGACATTTACAGAACACTCTACCAAACAACTGCAGAATATACATTCTTCTCATCAGCACGTGGAATATTCTCCAACACAAACCTCTATCAAGCCACAAAACAAATTTTTCTTTTTTTTTTTTTTTTGAGACAAAGTCTCGCTCTTGCCTCCCAGGCTGGAGTGCAATGGCGCGATCTCAGCTCACTGCAACCTCCACCTCCCAGGTTCAAGCGATTCTCCTGCCTCAGCCTCCTGAGTAGCTGGGATTACAGGCACCTGCCACCACGCCTGGCTAATTTTTGTATTTTTAGTAGAGACAGGGTTTCACCGTGTTGGCCAAGCTGGTCTCAAACTCCTGACTACAGGTGATCCACCCGCCTCAGACTCCCAAAGTGCAGGGATTACAGGCGTGAGCCACAGTGCCCGGTCAAAACAAATTTTTAAAAATTAAAATCACATCAAGTTCTTCTCAGACCACAGTGGAATTAAAACTAGAAATAAATACCAAGAGGAACTTTGGAAACTATACAAATACATGGAAATTAAGCTACATGCTCCTGAATGATCATTGCATCAAGAAATTAAGATAGAAATGTAAAAAAAATTTTTTTAATTTTTTTGAGACGGATTTTTGCTCTTGTTGCCCAGGATGGAGTGCAATGGCACGGTCTTGGCTCACCGCAACTGCTGCCTTCCAGGTTCAAGCACTCCCGCTGCCTCAGCCTCCCAAGCAGCTGGGATTACAGTCATGTGCCATCACAATGGCTAATTCTGTATTTTTAGTAGAGACAGGGTTTCTTCATGTTGGTCAGGCTGGTCTCGAACTCCTGACCTCAGGTGATCCACCCGCCTCGGCCTCCCAGACCACGGGGATTACAGGCATGAGCCAACATGCCCAGCTGGAAATTTAAAAATTTTTTGAAACAAATAAAAATGAAAACAAAACATACCAAAACCTTTGGGATACAGCAAAAGCAGTGCTGAGTAAAGTTTATAGTATTAAATGCCTACATCAAAAAAAAGAAAGATTACAAGTTAACAACCTAACATCACACATCAAGAAGCTATAAAAGCAAGAACAAACCAAATGGAAAGTTAGCAGAAGAAAAGAAGTAACAAAGATCAGAGCAGAGCTAAATGAAATACAGATAAAAAAATACAAAGGATCAATGAAATGAAAAGTTTGTTTTTCAAAAAGATAAACAGATTAATAAGCCACTAGCTAGACTAACCAAGAAAAGAGAAAATCTGAATAAACAAAATCAGAAAAGATAAAGGAGACATTACAACTGATAACATGGAAATACAAGAGATCATCAGAGACTATTATGAACAACTATAAGCTTACAAACCAGAAAACTTAGAGGAAGTGAATAAATTCCTAGAAACATGCAACCTCCCAATATTGAACCAGGAAGAAACAGTAAACCTAAGCAGATGAATAATGAATAGCTAGATTAAATCAGTAATAAAAGATCTCCCAAGAAAGAAAAGCCCAGGACCAGATGGATTCATAGTTGAATTTTATCAAATGTACAAAGAAGAACTAATACAAGTCCTCCTGAAACTGTTTCAAAAAAAATTTGAGGAGAAATGAGTCCTCTCTAACTCATACTATGAGACCAGTAATACCTTATACCAAAATCAGAGAGACCATGACACATAAGGAAAGAAAACTCCACACCAATATCCCTGATCAACATAGATGCAAAAATTTTCAAAAAATACTAGCAAACCAAATCCAACAGCACATCAAAAAGTAATACCCCATGGTCAAGTGGGATTCATCCCAGGGTTGCAAAGGATGCTTCAACATATGCAAATCAATAAATAAATTTGATTCATCTTATCAACAGAATTAGAGACAATAAACCATATGATCATCTCAATAAATGCAGAGAAAGCATTTGGTAAAATTCAGCATCTCTTCATGATAAAAACCTTCAATAAACTAGGTATAGAAGGAACATACTCTGAATTAATAAAAACCATATATAACAAACCCACTGCCAACATCATACTGAATGGGGAAAAGCTGAAAGCATTCTAAGTACTGAAACAAAACAAGGTTGCCTACTTTCACCACTCCTATTCAACATATTAATTAGTACTGGAAGTCCTAGCCAGAGCAATCAGGCAAGAGAAAGAAATAAAAGGCATCCAAATTGTAAAAGAAGTCAAAATATTCCTGTTCACTGATGATATGATTCTATATCTAGCAAAACCTAAAGACTCCACCAAAAAACTCTTAGACTTGATAAATGAATTCAGTAACACTTAAGAATACAAAATCAATGTATAAAAATCAGTAGTGTTTCTATACACCAATGAGGATCTAGCTGAGAACAAAATCAAGAAGGCAATCTCATATATAATAGCTTCAAAAATAAAATAAAATAAAATACCAAGTAACCAAGGAGGTGAAAGATCTAAACAAGGAAAACTACATAACTCTGATGAAAGAAACTGTAGATGACACAACCAAATAGAAAGATATCCCATGCTCATTGGTCAGATTTAATATCATTAAAATGATCATACTGCCCCATGCAATCTACATATTCAATGGGATCTCTATCAAAATACCAATGTCATTTTTCAAAGAATTAGAAAAAACATGCTAAAATTAACATGTAACCAAAAAAGAGCCGGAATAGCCAAAGCAATTATAAAACAACAACAACAAAGCTAAAGCTGTCACATTACCAGACTTCAAATTATAATACAAGGCTGTAGTAACCAAAACAGTATGATACTCGTACAAAAATAGACACATAGATCAATGGAATAGAAAAGAGAATCCAGAAATAAAGCCACATATTACAGCCAACTGATATTTGACAAAATCAACAAGAACATACAGTGGAGAAAGGACACCCTTTTCAATAAATGATGCTGGGATAATTGGATTGGCATCTGCAGACGAAAGAAACTGGACCACCATCTTTTACCATATAAAAAAATCAACTCAAGATGGATTAAAGATTTAAATGTAAGATCCGAAACTACAAAAACACTAGAAGAAAATCTGGGGAAAACTCTTCTGGACATTGATCTAGGCAAAAAATTGATGACAAAGACCTCAAAAGCACAGACAACAAAAACAAAAATAGGCAAATGGGACTTAATTAAACTAAAAGGCTTCTGCACAGCAAAAGAAATAATCATCAGAGTGAACAGACAACCTGGAGAATGGGAGAAAATATTTACAAACTATGTATGACAGGGGACTAATGTCCAGAATTTACAAGGAACTCAAACAATGCAACAACAACAACAACAAAATAGAAAACAATCCCATTAAACAATAGGCAAAGGACATGAATAGACACTTTTGAAAGAAGACATACAAATGGCCAAGAGGCATATGAAAAAATGCTTAACATCACAAATCACCAGAGAAATGCTAATTAAAACCACAATGAGATATCATTATACATCAGTCAGAATGACTATTATTAAAAAGACAAAAATAACAAATGTTGGCAAGAGTATAGAGAAAAGGTCATACACTTTTGGTGAGAATGTAAATTAGTACAACCTCTATGGAAATCAGTATGGAGATTTCTCGGAGAACTGAAAATAGAACTACCATTCAATCTAGCAATACCACAACTGGGCATCTACCCAAAGGAAAAGAAATCATTATATCAAAAAGATAACTGCACTCATATGTTTATCACAGCATTATTCACAATAGCAAAGATATGGAATCAGCCAGGTGCTGTGGCTTACACCTGTAATCCCAGTACTTTGAGAGGCTGAGGCAGGTGGATCACTTGAGGCCAGGAGTTGAGACCAGCCTGGCCAACATGGTGAAAACCCATCTCTACTAAACATACAAAAAAAAAAAAAAAATCAGCCAGGCGTGGTGGTGCATGCCTGTAATCCCAGCTACTCTGATGGCTGAGGCACAAGAATAGCTTGAACCCAGAAGGGGGAGGTTACAGTGAGCCAAGATCACGCCATTGCACCCCAGCCTGGGCGACAGAACAAGACTCTGTCAAAAAAAAAAAAAAAAAAGATAGGGAATTAACCTATGTATCCATCAACAGATGATTGGATAAAGAAAATGTGGTACATATACACAATGGAATTCTATTCAGTCATAAAAAGAGAATGAAGTCATGTCTTTGGCAGCAACATGAATGAAACTGGAAGCCATTATCTTAAGTGAAAAAAGTCAGACATAGACAAATTCTGCATGTTCTCACTTACAGGTGGGAGCTAAATAATGTGTACACATGGACATAGAGTGTGGAGTGATAGACAGTGTTGACTTGGAAGAGTGAGGGGGTGGGAGGGGAGTTGATGGTGAGAAATTACTTAATAGGTAAAAATGTGTGTTATTCAGATGATGTATACCCAACAAAGCCCTGACAAGGATTTTGAAGCAGATGTCATGAACATACTTCAACAAGTAATTGAACACACTTAAATTTTGAAAATTACAATTCAAGAAAAAAAAGACATAGAAGGAAAAAATTTGAAATTTTAGAACTGAAAATATAATTAAAATAAATTCATTGAATGGGCTCAATAGCAGAATGGAGATGACAGAGGAAAGTCAATTAATTTGAAGATAGATTATTACAAGTTTCTCAAACTGAACGACAAAAAGAAAATAGCTGGAAAAGAAATGAACAGAGATCCAGGAACTTGTGGGACAATAAGAAAATAGCTAACATTTTCAAGGGCTAAAATAAAAGAACTGTTCATCCTAATTCTATACCCAGCGAACTATACTGCAGGAATGAAGGGGAAATAAAAACATTTCTTGTCAAAATATAAACAAAAGTTACCCAGAAGAAACACAAAGCCTGAATGAATTATTAGCTATAGAGAGAGTGAAATAATAAAGGCCTATATTTTAAAAGGTCATAGATCCAGAAGATTTTAATCCCTGAATTCTTTCTGGCCTTTAAAGAAGGAACAATTCTTACAATGTCTAAACAATTTCAGTACTTGGAAAAAGTGCAAAGCTTCATTGTTTATCTTATAAGGCTAACATTGCTTTAATTTTTAAAACTAGTAAGAAATATCAAAAAATTAGAGTATATACCATTTTTATAAAGGGATACAGACACAAAAATTATAATCAAATTATTAGAATATGAAATCCAATGATATGGAAAAAGAATAGTACTCCTTAACTAATCAGGGTTTGAGGAATGAGAGGGTGCTTCAACATTACAAACTCAACTGACCAGGATTCCTTGGACAAATGGCTGATTCAAGGACTGCAGCAGGAATAGAGAAGGTAAGCACAGAATCTCTTGAAATGACAGGAAATAAAGAAGTGCTCCCAAACAAAACCAAACGCACTTTGATGGAGGTTTGTCAAAGGCACACAGGAGCAAGTGAAAGAACTTCCAGTGGCCAAAGGAGGCATGATTGGAGCAACACCATAAAGTAACACTGGATTCTAACCCAAAGTATGAAATAAGTATCTATGAACAATGATTGAGAAAATAAATAAATAGGGGAGACAAACCTCCCATGCAGAGGAATTCTAAATGATTGATGTCGATATTTCACCCTCAAACAGTGGAGAGCATAACTCTCCCATCCTTAAGTGTGGGCTGGAAAGGGATCGGGATCCCGATCCACACCCTAAGAGAGGATTCTTGAATCTTGCACAAGAAAGAATTCAGGATGAATCTGCAGTGCAAAGCAAAAGCAAGTTTATTAAAGAAAGTAAAGTAGTGAAAGCACAGCTACTCCACAGACAGAGCAGGGCGTTCCTGAAAGCAAAAGGAGGAACGCTTCCACCGTAGATACAATGTTGGTATACACACACACACACACACACACACACACACACACACACACGATAAATACATACATATATGTATATATGAGCTAAATACATACATATATGTATATATGAGATAAATACATACATATATGTATATATGAGATAAATACATACATATATGTATATATGAGATACATACATATATGTATATATGAGATACATACATATATGTATATGAGATAAATACATACATATATGTATATATGAGATAAATACATACATATATGTATATATGAGATAAATACATACATATGTGTATATATATACACACACATATGTATATATATATGATAAAAAAAGATATTGGGGAGATGTGCTCTGCTACAGGGGTTTGTGATAAAGCATTAATTGTCCTAATTACTGTATTTTGCAAGAATCGATATGTTTAAAGCAAAATTAGGAATGCCCTTGTTCTCCAGATATTGGGATATCTGGACACTCCCGAGTCTGCATCTGTTTAGTAAACATTATTAATCTGTTCCCTTAACCATAAACATCTAGGGGCTAGGAATTCCTCACTTTCTGGGAATGCAGCCCAGGAAGCCTCAGACACATTTTCCTAGCCCTCACTCAAAATGGAGTCACTCCAGTTCAAACACCTCTGACATAAGGACTTCCTTCCAAAGAGTACAGTAAGGAAAGGGAAAGAAAGAGGGACTTTTCTGTGGAGAAACGTAATGGACACCGTCTCAGCCAGGTGATCAAGGTCAGCATCAACAGGAATAAATCTCACCAGTATCCCCAAAACTGTCAAGGTCATCAGAAACAAGAAAAGTCTTAGAAACTGTCACAGCCAAGCGGAGCGTAAGGACACATGACAACTAAATGTAATGTGGTGTCCTGGATGAGATCCTCGAACAGAAAATAATATTAGGCAAAAACTAAGGAGATCTGGATAAAATATTCACACTAGCTAATAATAACAAATCAATATTAGTTGAGTAATTGTTGCAAATACACCATACTCATGTAAGATGTTGGTTATAGGAGACAATTGAGTACAGGGCATATAGGTGCTCTTTGTACGAATTTCTTAATTTTTCTGTAAGTACAAAACTGTCCAAAAAGTTAAGACTATTTTAAAAAAATATTCAACTATCACAATATATTAAATCAACAATTTAAACTAGGATAATACAATTAAGTCAATAAATACTAAAAAGCTTGTTTCTGATCTTTTTTCAAAGTTTCCAAGTAAAATGATTAAATATGATTCGTCATCAAGAGAAAGCTTTATACTAAACAGTAAAACACAGAGCCAATTTTATCCATCAGTTTCAAGCTGGAAATATCAGCTGGCACCATTATTAAACATATTTTTTCAAAATTCTACTGAATATAATTAGATCAAAAATTGAAATAATTGGGGCCGGGCATGGTGGCTCATGCCTGGAATCCCAGCACTTTGGGAGGCCGAGGTGGGTAGATCACTTGAGGTCAGGAGTTCGAGACCAGCCTGGTCAACATGGTGAAACCCCGTTTCTACTAAAAATCCAAAAAGAAAATTAGCCAGGCATGGTGGCGTGCACCTGTAATCCCAGCTACTCGGGAAGCTGAGACAGGAGAATCACTTGAACCCGGGAGGCAGAGGTTGCAGTGAGCCGAGATCACGAGACTGCACTCCAGCCTGGGTGACAGAGGGAGACTCCGTCTCAAAAAAAAAAAAAAAAAAAAAAAGAAATAATCAATTTAAATGTTGGAAAGTAGGCAAAACCATCCAAGATATTTTAGAAAAGAAACAAAAACAGGCCGGGCGCAGTGGCTCACGCCTGTAATCCCAGCACTTTGGGAGGCTGAAGTGGGCAGATCATGAAGTCAGGAGACCGAGACCATCCTAGCCAACATGGTGAAACCCCGTCTCTATTAAAAATACAAAAAATTAGCCGGGTGTGGTGGCGGGTGCCTGTAGTCCCAGCTACTCGGGAGGCTGAGGCAGGAGAATGGCGTGAACCCGGGAGGCAGAGCTTGCAGTGAGCAGAGATCGCACCACTGCACTCTAGCCTGGGTGACAGAGCAAGACTCTGTCTCGAAAAAAAAAAAAGGAACAAAAACAATCTTAAACGAATAAGTAAATTTGGTTAAATAGTTGCACATGTTTTCTCTATGAACAGAAATCAGAAATGGAAATGGAAAACCATGTCATTGAATAGCAACTAAATTCAAAGTGAAATAAAAATAACATCAGGGACATGAGTTTAACTTGAATAAAATTTTGTAGTGGACGTTAAAACTAAGTACATTGAGAGACACCGTATCTGAATGGGGAGACTCGCTATCATAGGAATAAAAATCCTCCCAACATTAATAATGTATGGATATTGCTGCAGTTCTTACACAATATGTTTGAGCTAGCTAAAAGGATTTCAAAAATTACATGGAAAAATAAATGCTTCAGAATCACCAAGACACTAAGTCAAAGAATAATGAGAGGGAATTGCCTTTATATCCACTATATAGTGGAGAATGCTAAACGCTGCCTGCATTAGTTACCTATTTCTATGTATATACAATCTAATGTTAAAATCTCAGAGAGACCAAAGGATCACAGTCATATTCAGTCACACAAAGGTCCCTTTAAAGAGATTAAAGGTGTTGCTCTCAGATTGTCTCAAACAATTAAACCTCTAGGGAGCTTAAGAGTATTTTTCCTCAGCCTCTCAGCAGAAGCTCAAGATAGTGAAGGGTTTATCCAGAGAGATTTGTAGGGTTTCGTCTAATGTAGTTAACACATTATGCAAGCAAACAAAAAGACCCACAAATTTCCTGAGAAATCTGTGTGTCAGTTTGGAGTGGAAAAGGCAGACCCAGTACAACATAAAAAGGAATTGTTGGACCTCCAAAATTCTAGCAGGAAGCAGGCTGAGAAAACAGATGCTACCTTTTCTTTAAAAAAAAAAAAAAAAAGTCCGGGCACAGTGGCTCACACCTGTAATCCCAGCACTTTGGGAGGCTGAAGAGGGCAGATCGCTTGAGGTCAAGAGCTCAAGACCAGCCTGGCCAACATGGTGAAACCCCGTCTCTACTAAAAATACAAAAATCACCCAGGCATGGTGGTGGGAGCCTGTAGTCCCAGCTACTCGGGATGCTGAGGCAGGAGAATCACTCGAACCCGGGAGGTGGAGGTTGCAGTGAGCCCGAGATTGCGCCACTACACTCCAGCCTGGGTGACAGAGTGAGACTGTGTCTCCAAAAAAAAAGGATGATTCAGAGGGCAAAAATAAGGAGTCCAGAGGATGGAGCCAAGAGCCATGGAGAATTATTTTTAGCAGGAATGAGACTGAGTTCTAAAATTTGGATTTCAGAATTGCTATGGACCAGTAACACCTGTGTGCCTCCTATTTGCCCCTTTTTTGTGTGTAGAGATTATCTTGTGCCTGTCCCACCATCGTATATTGGGTGATATGGTTTGGCTATTTTCCCAAGCAAATCTTGTCTTGAATTGTAGCTCCCGTAATACCTATATGTTGTGAGAGGGACCCAGTGGGAGATAATTGAATCATGGGGGCAATTTCCCCTATGCTGTTCTGGTGGTAGTGAATAAGTCACATGAGATCTGACGGTTTTATAACGGGTTTCCCCTTTCACTTGGCTCTCATTCTCTCTTTGTCTGTCACCATTTAAGACGTGGATTTACTCCCCCCGCTTGCCTTCCACCATGATTGTAAGGCCTCCCCAGCCCTGTGGAACTGTGAGTCAATTAAACGTCTTTCCTTTGTAAATTACCCAGTCTCAGGTATGTCTTTATTAGCAGCATGAGAACAGACTAATACATTGGGTGTGGGAGGTGGGCAGGTATCTCGTCTCTTTAGCTTCAGAAATCCACAGATCAATTGGAACTGTGCTTAAGGAGCTGTACTTGGGGAACTACACCTGATGTATCTCAACCATACCTGGACCTGATTTAGATGATGGGATTCTGGACTTAGAGCTGATGTTATGAGGTGAGGCTCTGGGGACTCTTGGAGAGTTGTAGATGTATTTGCCATGAGGGAGGGATGTGAATCACTGGGGACCAGAGAGCAGACTATGGTAGGCAGCTTCCTAGGATGGTCTCCAGTGATCTCCACTTCCTGGTATTCAACCTCTTGTGTAATCCCCTCCCCTTAAGTGTGGCCTGGACCTGTTGCTTGCTTTTCATGAATAGAATATGGAAAAAGTGATGGAATATTATTACTGGAAAGGGGTCCCGATCCAGACCCCAAGAGAAGGTTCTTGGATCTCACACAAAAAAAGAGTTCAAAGTGAATTCATAGAGTAAAGTGACAGCAAGCTTATTAAGAAAGTAAAGGAATAAAAGAATGGCTACTCCATAGGCAGAGCAGTGGTGTGGGCTGCTCGACTAAGAACACTTACGGTTCTTTCTTGATTATATGCTAAACAAGGGGTGGATTATTCATGAGTTTTCCAGGAAAGGGGAGGACAATTCCCAGAACTGAGGTTTCCTCCCCTTTTTAGACCATGCAGGGTAACTTCCAGACATTGCTAAGGCATTTGTAAACTGTCATGGCACTGATGGGAATGTCTTCTAGCATGCTAACGCATTATAATTCGTGGATAACGAGCAGTGAGAATGACCAGAGGTCACTTTCATTGCCATCTTGGGTTTGGTAGGTTTTGGCTGGCTTCTTTACTGCAAACTGTTTTATCAGCAAGGTCTTTGTACTTTGTGCTGATCTCCTATGTCATCCTATGACTAAGAATGCCTAACCTCCTGGGAATGCACCCCAATAGGTCTCAGCCTAATTTTACCCAGCCCCTATTCAATATGGAGTCGCTCTGGTTCAAACACCTCTGACAATATTACTTCAAAGATTAAGTTACAAAAGACTGTGGCTTTTTTCTTGCTTACCATCTCTTACCCTCTTTCTTGCTCACTGTAGTGAGGCCAGCAGGCATGTTGTAAACTGCCCAATGGAAAAGCCTATGTAGTAAGGAACCAAGAGAGGCTTCCAGCCAACAGCTTTTGAGGAATTGAAGCTTTAGTCTAATAACCCATGTAGAAACTGGCCAACAACCATGTGAGAGTGCTTGGAAGCTGATCTATCCCTAATCAAGCCTGAAGGTAACTGCAGCCCTGCTGACACCTTGACTGCAACCAGAGCCCAAGGATCCAGCTACGTTATGTCCAGATTCCTGACTCAAAGAATCTATGAGCTAATAAACGTAGGGGTTTTAAGCCACTAAGCTCTGGAGCAATTCGTTATGCAGCAACAGAGTGTGTAATAATTACCCTCAAACATAGCAGCTTAAAATAACAAGCATTTATTACCTCAGTTTCTGAGGATCAGGAATCCACCTGCAGCTTAGCTGGGTGGTTCTGGCTCAGAGTGTCTCACGAGGGTGTAGTCAAGCTATCCGCCTGAGCTGCAACATCTCAAGGCCTGACTGAGGCTGGAGAATCCACTTCCAAGCTCACTGTATGGTTGTTGGGAGGCCAGACACTCAGTTCTTTCCATATAGGTTTCTCCACAGGGCTACCTCACAACATAGCAACTGGCTTCCCCCAGAGCAAGTGGTCAGAGAGAGATCTCAAGACTGGCTGTCGTCTTTTTGTAATCTATTCTCAGACGTGACATGCTATCACTCTTGCCTATGATGTTGGACACACAGATTAAACTTAGTGTAACATGGGAGGGGACTACACAAGATTGTAAATACTAGGTGTCAGGGATTATTGGGGGCCATCTTGAAGGCTCATTACCAACTTCCTGTGTCCATTTCTCTTCTTCCCATTAGTTTTATCTAAGAATAGGCCAACCTGTCAGAGATTACGTTCTCTGGACTCCTTTTTAGCTAGATTGGTAGTGTGACTACATTCTGACTAAAGGCACACATATGGAATAAAGTCATGTGACTTTGGGGTTATGCCCTTAAAAAGGATTTTGTTTCTCTCCCCCATTTTTCTCTCATACCATGGGCTGGAACATAGGTATAGTGAGACTATGCAGGTAACACCCTAAGGGATGGCTACGAAAACAAAAAAGAATTTGGCTCCTTGAATTAACTCATAGGTTGCAGCAGCCTACATCACTTGGACATCCTGCCAGCTTTGGATTTTCAGAGAAATAAACCTATCTTATGTAAGTTCCTATACTTAATCATTTTTAGGTAGTTGAATCTCCTAAAAAAAACACTACAATCAGCCCACTATTGAACTGACCCAAGGATATTCAGACTACAGAATCCAGAGATAAATCAAGCACATTTCAGAATTTAATGTAAGACAATGGCACAGTATTTCAATTTAATGAGAAAATGATAGCTTATTAAATAAATTATCATGTTGATATTACCAGACAAGTTTACATAAACAAGAGACATCTTTCTGACTGTGATTCCAACCTTGCTGTCTAGTACAGTAATGATGCTCACCTTCCTCCTGACATTTAGGAGCTGTCATATGGCCCTTACTGTGCTGGGATCCTATGCTCCCCATTGCTAACAGGAAGTCCAGTTCTGTAACAGCATCCCCACCATTCTTCTTGACCTTCAGAAGACATTTGCTACCGTGCCTCTCATTGATGCTGCTGCCCTCCCACCAGTGCCTTCTTAGCTCTGATAAATGGAGTGTCTTTTTGAACTCTTTGTCCATAGTTCTGGCATCTCTGCTTCATTTAATGTGGGCCATTGATTTTTCCAAGCTTCTGAAGCTTTGCAGCGGTATATTAGAGCTTTCTTGTGGGGCTCATTGCAGGTGTTAAATCTTGTGTTATGTAAAAGATGCCCCCACCTTGAGAAGGCTTCTGTATTGGAGTTCTCCAGAGGGGGAGAACAAATAGGATGTATAGGATATACGGATATATCCTATATATATCCTATACATCCTATCAAATAGGATGTATAGGATATATAGATACATAGATATATATCTATGTATCCTAGGATATATCTATATATCTATATATATGTATCTATATATCTATATATCCTAGGATACATAGATATATCCTATATATTTGTATAGGATATATAGGATGTATAGGATATATAGATGTATAGGATGTATAGGATATATAGATATATCCTATATGATATATGTGATATATCATATATCACATATATGTATGTGTGTGTATATATATCTCTCTCCTATATCTATATCTCTATCTATCTATCTATCTACAGGAGTTTATTAGGGAAAACTGCCTCACATGATTACAAGGTGACTGTCTGCAAGCTGGGGAAAGAGAGAATCAGTAGTGGCTCAGTCCAAGTCAGAAGGCCTCAAAACCAGGGAAGCCAACAATGCAGCTTCAGTCTGAGGCCAAAGGCCTAAGAGCTCTCAGGAAGCCACTGGAGTCTGAGGTCCAAGGGCAGGAAGAGTGGAAGCCAGTGGCCGGCATGGGAAGAAGAAAGAAAGCCAGAAGACTCAACAAGCAAACTTATCCTATTTTCTGCCTTCTTCATTCTAGCCTGGCAGCTAGATTGGATGGTGCCCACCCACACTGAGGGTGGGTCTTCCTCTCCCAAACCAACAACTCAAATGTCAGTCTCCTCTGGCAATACCCTCACAGACACACCCAGAAACAATGCCAGCTATCTAGGTGTCCTTCAATCCAATCAAGTTGACACCTAATATGAACAGCTTCCTTATGCAGCCTCACCTTCTACCCAACCTTGACTCCTAGCCATTAAGATCTATTCCTAGGTACACACTACCAGTTCTCTTAATCCCTGTTATTCAGGCCCTGCTGCTCCTTTACATATAACATCTCCCTCCCTCAGCAGGGCAAGCATATCCTGAGGTAGATCAGGCTTTGAAATTCCACTCTAGTTAATGACCTTGTAGCCAGGCTGATCTTGAACTCCTGGGCTCAAGCAATTCTCCTGCCACAGCCTCTCACAGTGCTGGGATTATAGATGTGAGCAAAACATCCAGCCAATCCTTTAGAAAAGGGGTGCACCTATGATTATCAGCAGGTAAGCCTCACAGCAGCTGGGCATGGATGCACTGACCTGGTGAAGGGATGTGGGTAGAGAAAGAGCACTAGCCTCAGGGAGAGAACATGCTGACTGGCTAGGTATCTTCTATGTGCCCAGCCCTGCATCCAGCATTGGGTGTGGTCCCACTAACCATAACTGCTAAAAGTCAGGGAGGATGATTCTACACTGAAAATCAGGGCTTTGTTGCAGAAGGAGGGTACCAAGCAGACAAAACAACAGACCTTATTACAATAGAATTCTAGGTGCCAGATAATTTATTATATATAGTATGTTTGAGATGACACACAAAATCAGAGGGTCTACTATTTAAAATAATTTTGTCATCTTTCTCTAGAGAAAGAAAAAAATAAATTCTGCAAATTTTTAACTCCCTAATCATATTAATTAGCCAGAACAAACTAATAAAAAACTCTTTAGCTAAGCAGCAACGTCATTGACTTTACATCTCAGAAGCATCACAAATAAAGGGACTGCTCTCCAAAAAGTAAAAGATAATCAGTCTCAAGACATCACTGGCTGAAGTGAGCACAGATTTATGACCACGTCTTGGTTAGTTCTGCCTCCAAGGCAAAAAGCAGTCCCCCAAGATCAGCTTCCAATCTCACACACCTCCAATCACCTCATTAGCCCAGTGCAACTTCCCTTCGTTTGGATGATACACACCCAAAAATGAACCTCTCATCCAGGCTATTCATGAACTCTTATCAGGGAAACTTTCCCATCCTGGTTTGGTAAACTGCTATTCAACTGACTTTTTTAGCTATCTGATTCCAACTGTGTGGCCTTAAAACATACACACGCATATAATGCAAGGGATTGTGAGTCTCCATTACTGGAGTAGCTGGTTTCAGCCTTCTGTATGTTCTTTGATTTCATGTGTTTGTGTGTGTATTTCAATTTCTCAGTAGAGATCCAAGATCAAAGAGCCACCCTGAAACTGCACGCACAACCTTAGCCAATATCATATATCAAGAACAATAGTGCATCCCGGGGGTAATGACGAAGATGAGTGCCATCCTCAAAAACAAAAGATCCGGCCAGGCGTGGTGGCTCACGCCTGTAATCCCAGCACTTTGGGAGGCCGAGGCAGGCAGATCATGAGGTCAGTAGATCGAGACCATCCTGACTAACACGGTGAAACCCCATATCTACTAAAAACACAAAAAAATTAGCCGGGCATGGTGGCCGGTGCCTGTACTCCCAGCTACTCAGGAGGCTGAGGCAGGAGAATAGCATGAACCCGGGAGGTGGAGCTTGCAGTGAGCTGAGATCGGGCCACTGCACTCCAGCCCGGGCGACACGGCGAGACTCCGTCTCAAAAAAAAAAAAAAAAAAAAAATCCATCACTGGTGGTTCCTATTATGTTCCCAAGTAGTTTACCAGATTGACTCCTGCACACCTGGATTTAAGGTGTATCACAGTGGCCAGCTACAACATTAACCAAGTAATAACCTCAAATGGAGCTACTATAACAATGTAGTATCCCTACTACTAAAGCACGTTAACACAGCCGCTAGTAATCTAGTATGTGGCTAGAGATCTGGCAAAGGAGGTTTTATCCTACTCAACAGGAAGAAGGATCAGAAATAGGTCACATTCACAGCATTCATTCACGTTCTTGCCCAGGGGCTATGTTTGTTCGTTTGTTTGTTTGTCGCCCAGGCTGGAGTGCAGTGGCACGATCTCGGCTCACTGCAAGCTCCACCTCCCGGGTTCACGCCATTCTCCTGCCTCAGCTTCCTGAGTAGCTGGGACTACAGGCACCCGCCACCATGCCCGGCTAATTTTTTTGTGTTTTTAGTAGAGATGGGGTTTCACCATGTTAGCCAAGATGGTCTTGATCTCCTGACCTCGTGATCCGCCGGTCTCGGCCTCCCAAAGTGCTGGGATTACAGGCGTGAGCCACCATGTCCGGCCACCCAGGAGCTATGTTAATTCTCCTGATCTCTGTCTCAGTATAACCAAAAGAGAGCTGGACCATCTGGGACATTCCTCCAAATGTCACATTGGTCCACTTTATTGATGACAACACATTAATTGGACCTGATGAGCATGAACTGGCAAGTACTCAGGATGCCTTTGTGAAAATACGCACTTAATGAGGATGGGAAGTAAGTCCCGTAAAGATTCAGAGGTTTGCACAGTGATGACAATTTTAGGAGTCCAAAAGTGTGGAACATGTCAGGATGGGCCCTCCAAAGCAGGAACAAGTTTTTCACCTTGAACATCTTACTACTAAAGAAAGAGGCACAGTGCTTGGGAGACCCCTTCTGGTTTTGAAGGTAGACTATGTCACACTTGGGAATATCATTCCAACCCATTTATTGGATATTAGTAACAAGCTGTTAATTTTGATAGAGGCTCCGAGCAGAAAAGGGCACTGCAGCATATTTGGGCTATAGTACAGACAGAACTGCTGCCTGGGCCAAGTGAATGGACATACCTCATGGATTAGAATTAGAAAGTGATACCATGTGGAACCCCAATAGGAGAATCTCAGCATAGACATACAGGGTTCTGCAGCAAGTTATGTATCTGCAGCAGAGAACTAGACATCATTTAAAAAACAGCCCCTCACATGCTACCAGGGTGTGGTGAGACGCTGCCTCTGACTATGGGCCATCAAGTGATCATGTGGTCAGAACTGCCCATCATGAACTGCATGCTGTGAGACCCAGAGTCATAAGGTTTAGCAGAGCCTGCAGCAATCCATTGAAAGGTGGAAATGGCACATCCAAGATCATGTCCAAGCAGATCCAGAGCAAATAACTAAGCTGCATGAGCAAAGAGCCAGACACCCACATGATCCACTTTTTCTCAGCTCATCTCACATAGCAACATGGGTCAATTACCAACAGATGACAGAAGGACAAATGGTCTGAGTGTGATTCAGGGATGGGTTGGCCCAGTATATTGGTACCCGCTGAAAAGGCACTGCTATTGCATGGTTGACCCACTCAGAGATAAGAGTGATGAGGAGAATCCCTCCAGGGGGCAGACATTCAGGCTATGCAATTGGTCATACACTTTGGGTGGAGAGAGAAGTAACCTGGATTAGTCCATTCTCACGCTGCTATAAAGAACTGCCCAAGACCGGGTAATTTATTAAGGTAAGAGGTTTAATTGACTCACAGTTTCACATGGCTGGGGAGGCCTCAGGAAACTTACAATCACAGAGGAAGGGGAAGCAAACACATTCTTCTTTAAATGATGGCAGGAAGGAGAAGTGCCAAGCAAAAGCCCCTTATGAAACCATCAGATCTCGTGAGAACTCAGTCACTATCACGAGAACAGCATGGAGGTAACTGCCACCATGATTCAATCACCTCCAACTGGGTCCCTCCCATGACACATAGGGATTATGGGAACTACAATTCAAGATGAGATTTGGGTGGGGACACAGCCAAACCATATCATAACCCAAAGTAAGAATATACATCCACTCACAGGCAGTGATGAATGACTTGACTGGTGGATTAGGGGATTGGAAGGAGCAGCATAGTAAGATCAAGGGACAAGGAGGTCTGGGGAAGAGGTATATTGTTGGACCTATGGGAGTGGACATCAAGTATCAGGGTCTTTGTAGCACATGTTAATGCTCATAAGGGACCATCCATTGCGCATGAGATATTAAGCCAATGCATAGATTGAGTGACTCAACTAATTGATGCCCACCAGCCTCTACCCTCAGCCATCCTGGTGCTTCCATCATGGCCTCAGGAAGGAAATAGCCAGGAAGGCATAGATGGAGGCTACGCAGAGGCCCAAGAACACAGGCTCCTCTCACCAAGAGTGGTGTAATTTTCCAGCCTGTCAGCAACAGAGATGGATGCTGAGCCACCTGTACATTCCCTTGTGGCAACCAGCCAGCAACTTGGTGACAAGTTTATTACAATGAATCCTTGCTACTCTGGAAAGGGCAGCCACTCATCCTGACTGGAACTGATACAAGTTCTGGGTAAGGGTTTGGCTTTCCTGCCTGCAGAGCCAGAGCCAGCACCACTATTTGAGAACTCACAGTGGGAGTGATTTACCAATATGAGATTCCACAAAGCCTAGCTTCAAACAAGGGACCCACTTGATGACAAAGGAGGTGCAGCCATGGGCCCATGACCACAGGATCCACTGTTCCTAACATGTACTGCATCCTCCAGAACCTTCCAGCCTGACACAGCAGTGGAATGGCCTCTTAAAGATGCAGTTGAGGTGCTGACCTGGAGACGACGCCCTGTGAGGATGGAATGCTATTCTTCAAGATGCAACACACTCCTTAAACCAACAGCCATTAGATATGTGGTGTTCCTGAAAGGTAGAATTCATCGAAATGGGGACTAAATGGTGGAGAGGGGAATGGCCTTTCTCAACATCTCTCTTGGGGAATTTGTGTTTCTGTTCCTCACCAACTTTAGATTCTGTGGGACTAGAAGCTGTGGATTCCGAATAAAGCATGCTTTATCAGGGGGTATAGGAAGAGTCCCACTAAACTTAAAGTAGTAGATGCCATGGTGCCCACTCAGGTCCCTTCACCAGCCCGTGCACCTAATGCTGCAATGTAAGCTGCTAACAGCTCACATCTGCCCCCTCTCCAGGGAATTGCCCTGAGATGATATAGCTACTTTTCCTGGGGAGTGATCTTTCCTCTAGGTACAGACTACAGCCAATGACCAAATGAAATAGATTATAAAAGGTAAGCCCCTTGCCTCTAGGGGAGACCAACTATGATGTAGTTTGTCCTCAATGCTTTCATCTTGTGGATCAGACCAGGCTAGATCTGACCTGACACCACATCCTTGCTTAGTTCCTTCCCCTGCCCTCTCCTGTTTCTCCCCTTCCCCTATAGGTTTTTCCTGAAGGGCATTTCTTCAATACGTCATGTGACCCCAAACCACTGTCTCAGGCTCTGCTTCCAGGGAAGCTGAGCTAAGACCCTTCCCCTGGCTACATGGATTGCTTCAGGTAAGACAGATAATCTCAGCTTGTCCAATTATGATTGACCCCAAAAATCTGTTGAGAGCCAGGTTATGTGCCTGGAGGTGCTGACAGCCACTGTGCCCCCATGATGGGGGCCTGCTTGTGGATAGAACCAGCACTGAGGAGAGTGTAGTGAGAGACCGAGAGAGTGAGACCAAGTCCTGAGGACATTGCTTACGCTCCTAGATTCAGGCAAGCCTTTGTCCTTCAACACATACTTTTTTGTTCTACTTAAACTATTTTGAATATGTTTGGGAGGCCCAACTGGCACACCTGCACCATTCCCCCACAACCCACAATATCTCTGGGACATTCCTTTCTGCACATCTACAGATCTTCGACATGAAGTGCTTATAGAGCTGGAAGGAGGACATGTAGAATCCTAACACACCTAAATTATCCAAAAACAGAGGTGGTTGTATTGTATCTAGTACTGTTTTTGTTTACTTTAGTAGATCTTCTCTTTCGTTTTTAAATGGCTAACTCACACAATGTTTTTTAGCATGAACTCTGTTAATGAAACATATTAAGACACCAAAATGTATTATAAAATAAATGATCCCAGTTAACAAACAGCTTAACACATAGGGAAAAGAGGAATGTGATTATTCCTGTTTCTGAATACATCTAGAGATCAGCCAACACCATCACATTCAGAGCATAACTTGTAGAAATCCCATAATCCACTTTTGATTGACAATCACGAGAGAGTAGCCAACCATAGAGAATCAACAAGGAGAAAAACATGGACAGATTGACTTACCTTGTTGGGAAGACACTTTTCACCCTCCAAAGGAAAGAACAAATAATTGGATTCACCCTAAATGTAAGAAATCCAGATGGTTTACCAAGCCACAGAAATCTATGTCCATCTATAGTAGAGTTCCAGACTGTGGCACCTGCCAGCAACTGTTAGCTGACTCTGCTGCTGATGTTACAGAGAGTATTGCTAACAAGCAGACATCATAATTTATGCATGGAGCTAAGAGAGGTTTGCTGTTTCTGCTGTACTGACGGTCCTGCTTATTCATGGAAATAAGAACTGGACTAGAGTCTGTAAAAGAAGCTAAAAGTTTTAATCAATTCAGGCATAAAAATAAGGTTCAACTGTGAGTCTTCAAAAAGTCCTGTTGTGGGAAACTGAAAGGAAATTAGGCCCTGGAACTAATGAAACCAAATGATGAATTGCCGAACACTTTAATTTGACTTTTTCTTTCCAGTTATCTCCTGTGTGGATTTTCATAAGAATTTGATTCCTGAGTGAATATTCAGTCTGCTAGTTCAATAATTCAGGCTGCTGAAACAAGAAAAGGAATGGGTGCTTAAATTGGAGAGAAAATGGATTTAAAGACATATTTGATATGTATTGTGTCTCAAGTGTTTTCCACACATCATCTCATTTATTCCTCAGAATGATTTCATTAGGTAAGTATTTTTTTATTTCTTTTTTAAATTGACAGGTAAAAATTGTATATATTCATGGTGTGCAACATGGTGTTTTTGTGTTTTTTGTTTTGTTTTTGTTTTTGTTTTGAGACGGAGTTTCACTCTTGTGGCCCAGGCTGGAGTGCAATGGTGTGATCTCAGCTCACCGCAACTTCCGCCTCCCGAGTTCAAGCGATTCTCCTGCCTCAGCCTCCTAAGTAGCTGGGATTACTGGCATGGGCCACCACACCTGGCTAATTTTGTATTTTTAGTAAAGACAGGGTTTCACCATGTTGTCTAGGCTGGTCTTGAACTCCCAACCTCCAGTGATCCACCCGCCTTGGCCTCCCAACGTGCTGGGATTACAGGTATGAGCCACCACACCCGGCCACGTAGTGTTTTAATATACGTATACACTGTGGAATGACTAGGCCATTTAGCATGTGCATTATTAGATAAATATTATTAACTTCACTCTACAGATGAGGAAACCAAAGCTCATGGAGGCTCAAAATTGTGCCCACAATTTCAGAGCCGATAAGTAGATCAAGACTGGATTCAAATCTATACCAATGTGATACCAAACTCTGGTATTTTGTGTGTATGTGTGAGGGTGAGGAACATCAGGGCATATGAATGGTGCCAAACCTTTGAGGATTATTTCCTATTCAATTATCATCCATTCCTTGACTTGCAGTACGTTTCTAAATATTATGGTGTTTGAGTTGTGTCTGGTCAGGAAATCAGAAACCACCACTCAAGTTATTTGAAACAGGAAATTTGATTCAAGGAATTAATTACAAAAGTATTAGGAGGGATAGTGATTCAGGCAGAACTTCTAGCTGTGGTCGAGTGAGGAAATCATCAAATCATCTTCCTTAAAAGCAGCTATAAAGATGGACAAAATTGAAAAAAAAAAAAAAGAGCTGTTTTAGCAAATTTGAAAGTGACCACAGGAAAACGACAATCTGAGAAGTGTTTATGCTTGAGCCCCTGCTAATCTTTGTGGAGATCTGAGGAATAAGTCCCAGTTATTCCAGTCATACTGCCCCCACTCCCAGCTTGATCAACATAGGGGTTCTGCCAGGGAGGGCAGCCCACGAGGACCAGCAGCTTCTCGACTGCCATTGAAGGAGACTCTCTCCATTAGGAGCACTGGATGACACCCACAGTCAGGATCAGTCAGTGAAACTGATTTCTCAGAGGCAGGAGAGTGGGGGGAGCCAAGGTCAAATTTCTACTGGCCTGCGGTTGAGCTTGCAACTGGGGTAAGCATATTCCTGTATGATGCTGTGCGCATGTGTGGCAGAGACTGAGAATCCTCCAGCTATTCACACACTCCTAGCTGACACTAAGGCTTTGTGTGAGCGTAGAAGACTCAAAAGGTGGCATCAGAAAGCAAAACACTAAGAAGACCTGAGAACAGCCTAATTTTTTTTTTTTTAAGAGGAGTCTCCCTCTGTCCCCTAGGCTGAAGTGCAGTGGCAGGATCTTGGCTAACTGCAACCTCCGCCTCCTGGGTTCAAGTGATTCTCCTGCCTCAGCCTCCTGAGGAGCTTGGGTTACAGGCGCGTGCCACCATGCCTGGCTAATTTTTGTATTTTTCGTGGAGATGCGGTTTCACCATGTTGGACAGGCTGGTCCCGAACTCTTGACCTCAAGTAATCCACCTGCTTCAGCTTCCCAATGTGCTGAGATTACCGGCCTGGCCCCAACAGCCTAAATTTTTAATGTGGTCCCCTATCCATGTTCAAATGCATCAGCAGATGATGCAAACCTTACTGGTTTGAGGTATTTGAACACAATCTTTATCTAATAATCGACTGAACACTAAGCTATGCATAGCAGTTGAAGACCAGCCAGGGCAAGATGTTGAGACTTCCATCTCTACAAAAAAGATTTAAAAATTAGCCAGGCGTCGTGGTGCTTGCCTGTGGTCCCAGTTACTCAGGAGGCTGAGGCAGGGTGATCTCTTGAGTCCAAGAATTTGAGGTGGCAGTGAGCTGTGATAGTGCCACCACACTCCAGCCTGGGTGACAAAGCAAGATTCTCTCTTTAAAAAATATATAAAAAATGAAAATGTGTTGTTGAAGAGTACAATAATCAAAGTAAAGAATTCATTAGAGGAGTTCAACAAAAGATTTAAGATGGAAGAAGAATGAATCAGTGAACTTGAAGATAGATCAAGAGGACATCTTAGACAACAAAGAGAGAAAAGACTGCAGAAAAGTGAACACAGCCTTGAAGACCTGCCGTATATCAAGTGTACCTATATATACTTAATGGGCATTTCAGATGAGAGAGGAAGAAAGAGCAGAAAAACATATTTGAATAAACAATGGCCAAATGCTCCTCAAATTAAATGAAAAGCATTAATCTACAGATCCAAGAAATTCAGCAAACTTCAAATAGAAGAACCACACCTAGACACATTATAGTCAAACTGTTGAAAGCCAAAGACTCTTTTATCACTGAAAGTAGAATATACAGGGAACACTAATACAATTAACAGCTACTTCTCCTCAAAAATAAGGCTAGAAGGTAGTTGTATAAAAATATTCAAAGTGCTGGGGGAAATGCCAACAATTATCCAAGAATTCTATATCCAGAATTTAAAAGTATCTTTCAAAAATGCAGGTGTAGAGCCAGGTGCAGTGATGCATGCCTGTAGTCCCAGCTACTTGGGAGGGTGAGGTGAAAGGATTGATTTTCAGCAAAGTTGCCAAGAAAATTTAACAAGGAGAGGATAATATTTTAACAAATAGTCTGGGACAACTGCATATTGACTTAAAAAAAATGACCTTAGACCCTGTCCTTTACACAAAAATTCACTAAATGGATTATATACCTAAATGTACAAGCTAGAATTACAAAACTTCTAGAAAAAAAATAGGAGAAAAATTTCATAACCTTGAGTTGGGCAAGGAGTTCTTAAATATGACACCAAAAGAATGATCTATAAAAGAAAAAATAAGTAAATTACAATTCATCAAAATCTAAAATTTTTGCACTATAAAAGATACCATAAAGAAGATAGTTTTTAAAAGCCACAGACTGGGATAAGTGTTTACCAGACATATATCTGATAACGGGCTTGTATCCAAAATATATAAAGAACTCATACAACTCAACAACAAGAAGTCAAGCCAATTAAAAATGAGCATAAGATTTAATAGACATTTCACCAAAGAAAGAATACAGATGGCTGAAAAGCAAATAGCCATGAAAACATACTCAACAGCAACATAATCATCAGTGAAATGCAAATTAAAGCCACTGGATACCACTACACAGATACTCGTCAACTATAATAAAAAAGACAGACAGTACCAAGTCTTGTCAAAGATGCAGAGAAACTGTACCACTTGTGCATTGCTGGTGGGAATATAAAATGGTAGATCCACTGTGGAAAATAGTTTGGCAGGGTCTTTCAAAGTTAAACATAAATTTACCATACAACACAGCAATTCCATTCCCAGGAATTTACCCCAAAGAAATGAAAATGTATGTCCACATACAGACATATCTGTGAATTATTTCTTATAGCCAAAAACTGGAAACACAAAGACCCATCAACTGATGAGCAGGCAAACAAATTGTAGTATTTTCAAATAATGGGATACTGTGCCACAATTAAAAGGCACACACTACTGATATGCACTAACACATGGATGAACTTCAAAAACATTATGCTAAGTGATAGAGACCAGACACAAAAGACAACACTTTGTAAATTCAATTTATATAAAATATTCAGAAAAAAAGAAATGTATACAGGCAGAAAGCAGGACTGTGGTTCCAGGGGGCTGGAGGTGAGAGTGGGAATTAACCATAAACAGACACGAGGAAATTTTGGGGGGTGATGAAATGTCCTAAAGCTAAGTTATAGTGATGGTCACATGAATTTGCCAAAATTTTTGCAGTTACTTATGATGGATGAACTTTGCTGTATGTAAATTATATCTCAAAGTGTTTTTAAAAAATGTTGGGGCCGGGCACAGTGGCTCATGCCTGTAATCCCAGCACTTTGGGAGGCCGAGGAGGGCAGCCTGAGGTCGGGAGTTCGAGACCAGGCTGACCAACATGGAGAAACCCCGTCTCTAGTAAAAACACAAAAAAATTAACCAGGCGGGGTGGCACATGCCTGTAATCCCAGCTACTCCAGAGGGTGAGGCAGGAGAATTGCTTGAACCCGGGAGGTGGAGGTTGGGACGAGCCGAGATCACACCATTGCACTCCAGCCTGGGCAACAACAGCGAAACTCCATTGCAAAAAAAAAAAAAAAAAAATGTTGGAAGGGCTGAAGGATTGGAAAGGGGAAATGAGATTACCCAAAGATCAGTAATTGCAGGGTGCTACCATCCACCTAACCTGGAGAAAGAAAAGGAAAGGTGTTTTCCAGGACCCACAATCACCAGGCTACTGAGGCTACTGGGATACACTGTTGCCTCAAGAATAAAAGAAGTCTGTGGCTTTGATCATCTTCCAATTTACTGCCAGTGACTCCTACTGGCAGAACCTAAAATCAACTGAAAAGAGAGTCTAGGAAATGTGGTTTGCAGGCTTCCAGCCGCCCTGTGATACAGAGACGCATGCAAGGGGTGCGAATGGAGTTAAGAGCCAGTAGACAACTGATTGGCACACTTGGGAAATAGTTATACCCCTGACCAAAAAAAAAAAACAAACAAACAAAAAACCTTTTAATTTTGAAATAGTTATACATTTGCAGAAAATTGCAAAAAAAAAAAAAAAAAAAAAAAAAGGACCAGAAGGTCACATATACCCTTTTCTCAATTTTCCCCAATGGTAACATCTTGCATAGCTATTGTACAATATCAAAACTAGCAATTGACCTTGGAGGCAGATGAGCATTAGGGAAAAACTAGGTAAAAGAGATGCTGATGCCTTTGACTTTTCCTTGGGTCAATACATGTTGGAACCAGCTCAGATGATATTTTCAGTTGCCTTCCATTCTAAATCTGGATCAAAACCCATTTCTTCTAAGAAATTTTTCCTGATTATTCCCCTTGCCCCACATTCCTATTTCCTTAGCACCTCTAGTCATTATCGCTTAAGGGAGTGGGGAGGGCAAATTATCTCAAATTTGTATTTTCATTTGTAATTTTTCTCTAATTGTTCCCTTTGTGCATGCTTCATCTCACTCACTAAATTGTAAATTGCTTGGGTTCTGAGATTTTTGTTCTTTGTTGCTACTATTGCCCTAGCACACTGAGAGTGGTTAGGAGCATGGACTTTGGAGTCAAAAGAGATTAGGACCAACTTCTGAGCAAGTTACTTCACTTCTTGAGGCCTCATTTTCTCCTTTGTAATATGTACAGAATAATAATGGTATTAACCTCATGGGTCGATAGTAAGGATTCATTGGAAAAGTATTTGTAAGGTGCCTAGCACAGTGCCTGGCATATATTAGCTACTGAATAATAACAAAATATTATTGTAATTATTACAACATGGCATCTGATTTCCCCAGAGAGAGTTATGACAGAGGGGGAGGGAGATGGAGGAGAGAGAGAGACAGAGAGAGGGAAATAGGGCCCACAGTGTATTTTCTAACCTAATCTTGGAAGTGACCTATCTCAGTTCGCCATATTCTATCTATCACAAACACTAATATGCTTATAATGTGGAAGGGGACACAAAGGTGTGAATACTAGGAGATGGAATCTCTGAGGCCAACTTAAAGGCTGGCTGCCCCAACCCCCATGAAACTGGGCTGCTCTTGGTTGGTGACTTGTGCTTGGTACAAGGTTGGCCTCTCTGGCCCTCTTTGTCTGGCACCATGCCCAGCTGTGGCAAATCAGCAACATTGTGGCATATATGTTATTCTTTCTCTTTAATGAGATGGATTTACCTTTTCCACAGGTTAAGAACAGTTTGAGGCCAGGCTTGGGAGCCCATGCCTGTAATCCTAGCATTTCGGGAGGCCAAGATGGGTGGGTTGCTTGAGCCCAGGAGTTCGAGAATAGCCTGAGCAACATGGGAAAACCCTGCCTTTTCAAAAAAACAAAAATTAATCAGACATGGTGGTGTGTGCCTGTGGTCCCAGCTACTCAGAAGCCTGAGGTGGGAGGATCACTTGAGCCCAGGGACAGAGGCTGCAGTGAGCTGAGATCTTGCTACTGCACTCCAGCCTGGGCAACAGAGACCCTGACTCAAACATACATACACACACACACACACACACACACACACACGCCAGTCTGGATCAACAAACCTTTAGCTAGACTGAGAAAAAAAGACAGAATAAATAAATTCAGAAACAAAAAAAGGGGATATACCAACTGAGACCACAGAAATACAAAGAATCATTAAAGACTATTACAGGCAACTATACACCAACAAATGGGACACCACAGAAGGAATGGATAAAGTCCTGGCCACGTACAGTCTACCAAGATTGAACCATGAAGAAGTAGAAAATGTCAACAAACCAAAGATGAATGTAAAAGAATCAAAGCTGTAATAAAAAGTCTCCCACCAAAGTAAAGTCCAAGACCTAATGGCTTCACTGCTGAATTCTACCAAACATTTAAAGAAGAACAAATACCAATTCTACTCAAACTCTTTTTAAAAATTGAAGAGGAGGGAGTACTTCCAAAATCATTCTACCAGGCCAGCATCATCCTGATACCAAAACCAGACAAGGACACACAACAACAACAACAAAAAGCTACAGGCCAATATCACTAATGAACATAGATGCAACAATCCTTAACAAAATACCAGCTAACTGAATTAAACAACACATTAAAAAGATCATTTACCATGATCAAGTGGGATTCATGCCAGAGATCCAAGGATGGTTCAACATCAAAATTTGTGGTTTGTATCACAAATCAACAAATGTGGTACATCACATTGACAGAACAAAGGATAAAAACCATATGAACATATCAACAGATGCTAAAAAAAGCATTCAATAGAATTTAACAACACTTTATGATAAAAAAAACTTCAACAAACTGGGTATAGAAGGAACATACCTCAAAATAATAAAGGCCATATATGACAAACCCACAACCAATATCATACTGATTAGGGAAAAATTGAAAACCTTTCTCTAAGATCTGGAACACGACAAAGATGCCCACTTTTATCCAACATAATACTGGAAATTCTGACCAGAGCAATTAGGCAAGAGAAAGAAATAAAGGGCATTCACAATTGGAAAGGAAGAAGTCAAATTAGCTTCATGCATAGACAACATAGTCTTATACTCAGAAAAACCTAAAGACACCACCAAAAAAATTCTTAGAACTGATAAATGAATTCAGTAAAATGCAGGCTACAAAATCAACAAATAAAAATTGGTAGCATTTATATACACCAACAGCAAACAATCTGAAAAAGAAATCAAGAAAGCAAACCCATGCAATAGCTACAAAGAATGTAAAATACCTAGGAATCAGTTTAACAAAAGATATAAAAGATCAATATAAGAAAAACTATAAAACACTGATGAAAGAAATTGAAGAGGACATCAAAAATTGGCAGAATATTCCAATCCATGGATTGGAAGAATTAATCATGTTAAAATGATAATTCTATTCAAGGCAATGTATAGATTTAGTGCAATCCCTATCAAGATACCAATTACATTCTCCACAGAAATAAAAACAAATCCTAAAATTTATATGGGACCACAGAAGACACCAAACAGCCAAAGCAATCCTGAGCAAAAAGAACAAAGCTAAAGGCATCACACTGACTTCAAAATATACAACAAAGCTATAGTATCCAAATCAGCATGGTACTGGCATAAAAACAGACACATAGACCAACCAATGGAATAGAATAGAGAACCAAGAAACAAATTCACACATTTGCAGCCAACTCATTTTTGATAAAGGCACCAAGAACATATAATAGGGAAAGGACACTTTCCTCAATAAACCGTGCTGGGAAAACTGGATATTCACATGCAGAAGAATGAAGCTAGACCCCTATCTTTCACCATACAGAAAACTCAAGTCAAAATGGATTAAAGACTTAAATCTAAGACTGGAAACTATGAAACTACTAGAAGAAGACATTGGACAAACACTTCAGGACATTGGTCTGGTCAAAGATTTTTTGTGTAAGACTTCAAAAGTACAGGCAAAATAAAGTAAAAATAGGCAAATGGGATTACGCCAAGCTACAAAGCTTCTGCACAGCAAAGGAAACCATCAAAAAGTGGACAGACAATCCACAGAATGGGAGAACATATTTGCAAACTATTCATCTGACAAGGGACTAACAACCAGAATACACAAGGAGCTCAAACAATTCAATAACAAAAAAGAGAAATAATCCGACTTAAAAATGGGCAAAATATCTGAACAGAGTTTTCATAAAATACGGCCAACAGGTAAATGAAAACGTATTCAACATCACTAATCATCAGATAAATACAAATCAAAACCGCAATGAGATATCAACTTACCTCAAGGAGATATCAACTTACCCTAGTTAGAATGGCTTTTACAAAAAAGACAGGGAATAGCGGATCCTGGTGAGACTGTGGAGAAAGGAGGACTCTCAAACAACGTTCGTGGAAATATAAACTAGTACAGCCACTATGGAAAATAGTATGGAGGTGCCTAAAAAAAAAAAAAAAAACTAAACTGAAAATAGAACTACAACGTGATTCAGTAATTTCCACTACTGGGTATACATCCAAAAGAAAGGAGATCAATATATCAAAGAAATAGCTGCACAACCATGTTCATTTGCAGCACTATTCACAATAGCCAAAACAGGGAACCAAACTAAGTGTCCATCAATGGATGAATGGATAAAGAAAATGTAGTATATATACATAATGAAATATTATTCAACCATAAAAAAGAATGAAGTCTTGTCGTTTGCAGCAACAGGGATAGAATTGGAGGTCATATTGGTAAGTGAAATAAGCCAAGCACAGAAAGACAAATATTACATGTTCTCCCTCATATGTGGGAGCTAAGAAAAAGTAGAACTCATAAAGCTAGAGAGTAGACTGGTGGTTATCAGAGGCTGGGAAGAGTACTGGGGGAAAGAGGATGAAGAGAGGCTGATTAATGGGTACAAATATATACTTAGAAGACATATGACTTGGTGTTCTATAAGTCAGTAAGGTGACTATAGTTAACATTAATTGTTCGTACATTTTAAAATAGCTAGAAGATAATAAAAAAAGTGTAAAGAAACGATAAAGATATAAGGTGATGGATATCCCAATTAAACAAAGAGAGCAGTCTGGCATATTCTTACCTAAAACTCTGTGTAGGCCGGGCGCGGTGGCTCACGCCTGAATCCCAGCACTCTGGGAGGCCGAGGAAGGCAGATCACGAGGTCAGGAGATCGAGACCACGGTGAAATCCCGTCTCTACTAAAAATACAAAAAATTAGCCGGGCGTGGTGGTGGGCGCCTGTAGTCCCAGCTACTCGGGAGGCTGAGGCAGGAGAATAGCGTGAACCCTGGAGGCGGAGCTTGCAGTGAGCTGAGATCGCACCACTGCACTCCAGCCTGGGTGACAGAGCGAGACTCCGTCTCAAAAACAGCAACAACAACTACAACTCTGTGTATATGCCGTCTTATGGTTTAGGCTTTCTCCCCTTGAAACCTGGAAGCCTAAGTCTTACCTGGAATGCTGAGTGGCTACTTCCTGGAAGTGTTTGTTTGAAAAGATGCCACCAACTTCTAATTAAGTTGGGTTTTCACAGGCCTGTTACATTGTGTGTAGACCCTGAGCAGGCATCACTTTGCAGCAAGCACGACCCCGGCAAAAGGAGAGTGTGGGGCTTTGCCAGAGGCCTCTGGATGGGAGGCATGGGTGTCACCTGACAGTCACTAGCACCCTGTGACTCCAGGAGGTCTGGGCATTATCCTTTGAATGCAGTCCACTGAGTTACTTTCCTATTTCCTTTACATTTGAACCATTGCATCCACTCTAGAAAGAACGGGAAATAAGAGGAAAAAATGACTCAGGTCACACATGGACATAAGCAACTTTCTCCTGCATAGTGAGATGTGAGGGTTTTCAAGAGGCATTCCTGTTTCCACAACCATCACCCCAAACCAGAATTCCAGCAGCCAAGACTGTGGGAATATGTGCTCCCCCAATTAAAAATTCCTCTGTCTAGGCCGGGCACGGTGGCTCTTGGCTGTAATCCCAGCACTTTGGGAAGCTGAGGTGGGCAGATCACCTGAGGTCAGGAGTTCGAGACCAGCCTGGCTAACACAGTGAAACCCCGTCTCTACTAAAAATACAAAAATAACCCAGTCGTGGTGCCACGTGCATGTAGTCCCAGCTACTCAGGAGGCTGAGGTAGGAAAATCGCTTGAACCCAGGAGGCGGAGGTTGCAGTGAGCCGAGATCACGCCATTGTGCTCCAGCCTGAGCGACACTATAAGACTCCGTCTCAAAAAAAAAAAAAAAAATTCCTCTATCTGGCATGCACTAAAATCATAAGCTATGTGAGGACAAGGACTTTGTCTTAATCCTCCACGCCTACAACACTGTCTGGAACAAGTACATGTTAAATGTTGAATGAATGATGCATGCCTTAAGAGTAAGTCATTCCAAAAGTCTCTGTTGACAATCCTTACTGCTAGGAAAAATAATGCACCCATCACTGAACCTCAGCATTAATAAGTTCACTCAAATGGAAAATCTTTTTGTCCTAGTTTTGAGAAATACTTGGAGGGACATAAAGTCAAGGCACCTGCCTCAAGGGACCTTACAACCTAGTACACCTATGTGGTGTCTGTTGGCTTCCTGAGTGAGCTGGCTGAGAGCAGTGAAGAAGGGTGACAGATTGGTTCAGTAAATATTTATACATTATGTAACATATTATATATATTAAGCAGCAGAGACATCTTGGCATCTGTCTCAACGTAAAGTACAAAGAAACAACCCTAATCCCTGCATTATCAACCATTGATAAACTTTGTGGCTTCCTCCAATCCTTCTGTTCCATAGACATGATTGAAACACACCACCCCAAGCCTTCCTGTTCCCATTTCCATTGCTCTGTATGATCCTTTCCACAGTTGGAAGTAAGTATCTTCCTTGTCCATGTTCATGGGTCACGACCTGCATACTCATCTCACTCTCAGAGTCAGGTGTAATCTGATGGGGAGAAGCTGTCTTGTGCAGAGCTTGCCTGGCTGTCTTAAAAGGACAGCACCTGGGACATGCAGTGGGGCCTTGGTGATGTGGGATAGGTGAGAGAAAGTGTTAAAAGATGTGTAAAGGCTGGGTGCAGTGGCTCACGCCTATAATCCCAGCACTTTGGGAGACTGAGGCGGGTAAATTGCTTGAGCCCAAGAGTTTGAGACCAGTCTGGGCAACATGGTGAAATCCCATCTCTACAAAAAAATTAGCCAGGCTTGGTGGTGCATGCCTGTCCCAGCTACTTAGGAGGCTGAGGTAGTATTACCTGAGGCCAGGGAGGTCGAGGCTGCAGTGAAAGTGAGCCACGATTTCACCACTGCATTCCAGTCTGGATGACAGAATTAGACCCTGTCTCAAAAAAAAAAAAAAAAAAGTAAGTGTGTGTGTGTATATATATATATGTGTGTGTGTGTGTGTGTGTGTGTGTGTGTCTGTGTGTGTGTCTGTGTGTAGTTGAATTTCACCAATTTAACTATGTGCCTGGGGGCAGTCCCTTTTGCATAGAAAACGAAAATGTTCCTGCTCACCAGCAGGGACATCCCCACTCCACAGGCTGCTTTCCTCCTAACAGAAAGGTATTTTTGGTCTATTATATAAGTGCAGCATCTAAACTTGGTAACTTCTTATTTACAGACAGTTTATTATATGCCAGGCGTGTACTAGGCATTTTACATGTCATTTCATCCTCACAATTGTGACATCATTAGTCCATTCCTGAAAGACAGAATTTGAGGCCCAGAGTGGTCAAGAAACCTATTTTGAGTCACACAGAGAGTAACTGCAGATATGGGATGTTAGAGTAACTGCAGATATGGGATGTTAGGCCTGGTTGGCCCCAGAGCACCACTGTCTTCATCGCTCTGTCACACGGCCTGTGCAGAATTACAAGTCCAGACACAGTTACTTTCCAACTAAAGTGGCTACAAGCTCCATCGTCCCCTTGGAAACCTCAGTCCTCATGATTTCTGATTGACACCATCCCAAAACCCAGGTCCTGGTTCTGGAGTTTAAAGCCTCCTTCCATGTCTCGAGCTCTGGGTGGCCTGGAATATACTCTTGAGAAATTCCAGCCCCTCTTTGGGGAATTTTAAATGATGAGAGAGCAAAGAGGGGAACAGTTTGCTTGAGCTGAGAAAACTGTCTCCAGAGGGGTTGAAATCTTTGGTAGAGGTGCATGTGGGTGTTTGTGGAGGGGTGCAGAGCTCCCCCATTCTCCCTCTGGGATGTCCATATTCAGGTGTACTCCCATTCCACACACCATTGATAACCTGGCTGTGTCTCTTCCCTGACACTTCACTGGAAGAAGTGTATTCCAGGAACTGCATACAGAACCACCCTTCCTTCCAGGGCCTTTCCCTGCTGGACAAGCTCAAGCTGTCATTAAAGGGCCCAAATCCACTCTTGTGGAAGAATGGGCATAGCTGGGATTTACAGGCTGAATAAGGAGAGCTCATGCAGAAACTTTGTATTAAAAAGACACTCATTATCCATAAACACTTGTGCAGCAAGATATCCAAGGGGACCAGGCGCGGTGGCTCACGCCTGTAATCCCAGCACTTTGGGAAGCCGAGGTGGGCAGATCACCTGAGGCCAGGAATTTGAGACCAGACTGGCCAACATGGTGAAACACCATCTCCACTAAAAGTACAAAATTTAGCTGGGCGTGGTGGCGGGTGCATGTAATCCCAGCTACTTGGGAGGCTGAAGAGGAAGAATTGCTTGAACCTGGGAGGCGGAGGTTGCAGTGAGCCAAGATCACGCCATTGCACTCTGGCCTGGGTGACAGAGCAAGACTCTGTCCCAAAAAAACAAAAGTGCTTAAGAGCAACCAAGCTCTCAGGCTGAAGAAATAATAAATGTTTTATACGGTGTGACTGTGAGATAGAAAATGTTGGCTAATTAAAGGTTTGGATGAATAGAGATTTTTATGATCCATCTAGTAGGTGGATCATTTTGGAAGGGTTAATACACATTCAACATTAAAACTCCACTGACAAACTGTTATTTGACCTTGATGATGATCAGGGCATTTCAATTTGGTTGAGGGAATGTGGTAGATGTGGCAGGAAAGATACAGTGGAAAGGCCTAATGAAAAGCCATGAATTCGGGCAGACGCGGTGGCTCACGCCTGTACTCCCAGCTCTTTGGGAGGCCAAGGTGGGTGGATCATCTGAGGTCAGGAGTTCGAGACCAGCCTGGCCAACATTGTAAAACCCTGTCTCTACTAAAAATACAAAAATTAGCCTGGGATGGTTGTACACACCTGTGATCCCAGCTACTTGGGAGGCTGAGGCAGGAGAATTGCTTGACCCCAGTAGGCAGAGGTTGCAGTGAGCCAAGATCACGCCACTGCACTCCAGCCTGGGTGACAGAGCAAGACTCCATCTCAAAAAAAAAAAAAAAAAGCCATGAATTTATGAATTTGAAACGGGGTTCTGGCTTCAATGAGCCCCTGCAGTATTTGATGTGTGGACAGACTGGATGAATGCTGTGCTTTAGAAAGATTAATTTGGTGGTAGTGTTCAGGGAAGGTGGGAGAGGTGGAGGGGCTAGAACAAGAAGAGTAGCTATGAAGTAGTTACAGTAAGCAAGGCATGGAGTGATTGTGGTGGCGGTAGGGGTGAGGGAAAACCCATTTTAAGTTGTTTTGGGGTCCAAGTATAGGATACAAAGAAGAGAGATGGAGGGAGGAGTAGTTCAGGATTTTGAGGCTTGCTTCCTAGGAGCACCACTCTTAGGCCCGTGTAAGAAAGCTCTAGAGGCTGTCACTCCAGCTCTGCTCTAGCCACATTCTTCCCTACAGATGAGACATTCTTGAGGTCAAGGCGCTATGGCCGCCTGGAGACTGTTACCCTCACACTTTCTAGGCTATGCCAGATACCTGGGAACCAGAATTCACTGTCCAAAGATCAAAGCCTATTTCCTGGCCCTGTGCAGGCTTCCTCCCTGGGCCCATGTCCCAGGTATCAGTGGCAATGCTGGTGTGTGCACCCCTAGGCCTGGGAAGTGGCCAAAGGGTGACTGTTTGTGGGGGATGATGTATGGGTGGAGCTTGGACTTTCTCACTGTGGTGAGGAAGAGGCCATGCATGCATGCACAGCCTCTGTGGTGCAGGCTGGAGTCAGGGATGGGAAGAAACGGGGCTGAGCTATGGTCAGGGGCCAAGGCCATCTCTCCCAGTATTACCAGGCTCTGACGTGGAACTCTTATGAGTCTGAGAATTCTAAAAATCCTGCCCTTGCAGGTCATCCTTATAAAAGTATGATTGTAAAGTAGCAAGAAGACATTCTATTTAGCAGCTTATTGGCTTGGTCTGTAACTTTTAAATACTCAGATATACGGTAGACACTGAGACATGTGGCTCCCATGTGTATACAACTATTAGATGTGGGCCTGCTTTTTAGCCAAACATATCCCTTATTGACTTTCTCAGTATGACTCTTCTCCAAATCTTCTCTTTGCTCAGGGCTTACTTCTTAGGTTGTCTCTTATGAATATTCAACTCAGTTCTTTTGTTCATTGGCTTACCAGTTTTTAATTCTTAATTTGTAATCCCTTTTATATCCCAGATATGAGTCCTTTGTCATACATATAGGTATGTACATACACACACACACACACACACACACACACACACACACACACATATATCCTATTCTATGGCTTTCCTATTTATTCTCTTGATGGTGTCTTTTGATGAATGAGACTTGTTAATTTTAAGACTGACCATTCATATTTTTTTACTTTATTCATAGAGATTTTTGCGTCCTCTTAAGAAATATTTACCTAGTGTAAGATCATAAAGATTTTCTCCTGTTTTCTTCTAAAAGTCCTTTTTTTTTAAGATGAGGTCTTGCTCTGTCGCCCAGGCTGGAGTGCAGTGGCACGATCAGAATTCACTGTAGCCTTGAACTTTTGGGCTTAAGCGATCCTAACACCTGACCTCCCAAAGTGCTGGGATTATAGGCATGGGTCACTTTGCCCACCCAGCAAGCTTTATTGCTTTACCTTCCACTTTTAAATGTATTCCATCATAACGCATTTGCAATTGATTTTTGAGTATAGCATGTGATAGGAGTCAAGGTTTATTTAGTTTTCCATATGGATATCCTTGACCCAGCTCCATCTGTAAGCCCATCTCTGCCCCTACTCATCTGCAATGTCACCTTTGATATAAATCAGGTTGTTTATAACATACATACAATGCAATTGTGAGTTCCAGGGCCACCTTTTTGAGGAACTCAAGCGAGGACACTGCTCTTCACAGCTGAGCATCCATTCCTCCTCACCCACAAACAGCCGCCCCTTGGCCACTGCCCAGGCCTATGGGTGCCTACACCAGCAGTGCCACTGACCCTTGGGACATGGGCCCGGGGAGGAAGCCTGAGCAGGGCCAGGAAATAGGCTTTGATCTCTGGACAGTGAATTCTGGTTCCCGGATATCTGGCACATCCTAGAAACTGGGAGGGTGACAGTCTCCTGGTGGCCATTAACTCCTTGACCTCACAAACGTCTCATCTGTAGGGAAGAATGTGGCTAGAGCAGGGCCGGAGTGAGAGCCTCTAAAGTTTTCTTACGTGGGCTTAAGAGTGGTGCTCCTAAAAAGCAAGCCTCAAAATCCTGAACTACTCCTCCCTTCATGTCTTTTCTTTGTGTCCTATACTTAGACCCCCAAACAACTTAAAATGGGTTTTCCCTACATGGGTTACATTGGTCTGTTTATTACATTGGTTAATTTTTCCCTTCTTATGCTAAAACCATGCTTCCTTAATTGCTACAGCTTTGTACTTACATACTATAACTTTGATAGTCAGGTCTTGATACCTGGTAGTGTAAATCCTCCAACTTTCTTAAAGATTACCTTTGCTATTCTTTTTTTTTTTTCTTTTTGAGTCAGAGTTTCTTTTTCTTTTTTCTTTTTTTTCTTTTTGAGTTGGAGTCTCACTCTGTCGCCCAGGCTGGAGTGCAATGGCGCAATCTTCAGCTCATTGCAACCTCTACCTCCCCAGTTCAAGTAATTCTCCTGCCTCAGCCTCCCGAGTAGCTGGGATTACAGGTGCATGCCACCATGGAATCTTAAAATCTTAAAAATCTTAAAAATCATGCCACCATGAAAATCTTTAAAAAGATTTTCAGTCTTTTTTAAAAAACATATGGCCGGCTAATTTTTTTGTACTTTTAGTAGAACTGGGGTTTCACCATGTTGCCTAGACTGGTCTCGAACTCCTAACCTCGGGCAATTTGCCCGCCTCGGCCTCTCAAAGTGCTGGGATTACAGGCATGAGCCACCGCGCCCAGCCAGTCCCTTGCATTTCTATATAAATTTTTGAATTACCTTGTCAATTTCCATGAATGGCTCTGCAGAGATTTTGTTTGGGATTGTATTGAATCTATAGATCAATTTGACACCTTAACAATTTTGAGTCTTTCAGTCATGAACATGGTACATCCTTTCATTTATTTTATGCTTTTAAATTTTCTCTCGATTATGCTTTGTAATTTTCAGTGTAGAGGCAATGCACAGCTTTCATTAGATACTCCTAATTATTTCACATTTATATTGATGCTACTGTAAATCGTATCTTTTAAAAATTTTTTTTCTATTTCTTTGTTGTTGACATACAGAAATACAATTTATATCTGTATATATACCTTGTATCTAGTGACTTTACAATGTTCAGTTATTCATTCAATTAGTATAGGTTCTTCAGGATCCACTATGTATAGAACCATATCATATGGGAAAAGTGACAGTTTTATTTTTTTCAAATTTTCCCTTAATAAACGGGTTATTTGATGGTACTATAAATGAAATTGTTTTCTTAATTTTTTCTTGGATTATTTTGGGCTGTTCCAAAAGTTTGCTGAATTTGTTTATTAATTCTATTAATTCTAATTTGTTTATTAATTCTAACATTTCGTGGGTATGTATGTGTGGGTAGTCCTTAAGGGTTTTTTTGGTAGAATTTTCTACATATATGTTATCTGCGAATAGAATCAATCTCTTTAATAGGTGTGAAATTATTCAGATTTTGTATTTCTGTGTCATTTTTGGTAAACTGGATTTTTCAAGGAAGTAGTCTATTTTGTCCACACGTCAAATTCATTTGCAAAAATTGATCATAGGATCTTCTTTCTTTCTTTCTTTTTTTGAGACGGAGTTTCGCTCTTGTTGCTCAGGCTGGAGTGCAGTGGCGCGATCTTGGCTCACGGCAACCTCCGCCTCCCGGGTTCAAGACCGTCTCCTGCCTCAGCCTCCCGAGTAGCTGGGATTACAGGCGTGCGCCACCACGCCCAGCTGATTTTTTGTATTTTTAGTAGAGGCAGGGTTTCTCCATGTTGGTCAAGCCGATCTCAAACTCCCGACCTCTGGTGATCCACCCGCCTCGGCCTCCCAAAGTGCTGGGATGACAGGCGTGAGCCACCGCGCCTGGCCGGATCTTATTGTTTTTAATACCTTCAGGATCTCTAGTGATGTTTCTTTTTTCATTAAAAAATTTGTTTAAAAATATTTTTAAATCTTCTTGCATCTGACCTTTTTCATTTTAACTTTGATTGTTCTTCCTTTCATTTGTTGGTCTTGAATGCTTAACAATTTTAAATTTTTTAAAATATATCCCCTTTGCCTTTGATTTCTTTATTGTACATTTATTTTCTACTTCCTTGATTTCTTCCCTTAGGATTTATTTCCTTTTACTTACTTTGGGTTTTGCTTATTATTCTTTTTCTAGTTTCATGAGATGGAAGCTTAATTGATTTTCAGTCTTCTTTTAAAAACATACGTACTTGGCCCACGCCTGTAATCCCAGCACTTTGGGAGGCCGAGGCGGGCGGATCACGAGGTCAGGAGATCGAGACCATCGTGGCTAACACGGTGAAACCCCGTCTCTACTAAAAAAAAAAAAAAAAAAAAGAATACAAAAAATTAGTCGGGCGTAGTGGCGGGCGCCTGTAGTCCCAGCTACTCGGGAGGCTGAGGCAGGAGAATGGCGTGAACCCGGGAGGCAGAGCTTGCAGTGAGCCGAGATCACACCACTGCACTCCAGCCTGGGCCACAGAGCCAGACTCCGTCTCAAAAACAAAACAAAACAAAAAAAAACACATATGTACTTTAGACTGTAATTTTTTTATTAAAAACAGCTTTAGCTGTATCCTACCAGTTTTGCTATGCCATATCTTTATTCTCATTCAGTTAGAAAATACTTTCTCATATTGTGATTTCTTCACGGATTCATGGGTTATTTAGCAGTGTACAATATCACTTAATCTCCATGCAACTTAATTCCACTATTGTCAGAAAAGTGTTCAGAATTATTTCAATCTTTTGAAATTGCTGGAGTTTACTTTATAATCCAGGGTACTGCCAGTTTTGGCAAATTCCTTACATTCTTTGTTCCAATATTGCTGCTGACTGTACGTACTGTCTCCAGAAGAAGAGGGCACATCCAAATTCTAAGGTCTAAGCTAGGAAGTGATACATATCACCTGCTCACATTCTACTGGCAAGAGTATATTCACATATCCACATTTAATGCTTACTGCTAGGGGCTTAATGCTAGGGTGGAGGCAAAGCTGAATTTTCGGAACAGATTCTCCCCCTATAAGACAGCAAGACAGTGGCAAGCTGTCCCACACAGATAGTGTTCCATCAGATTGGTCTGATTTGGACCAGTTTCCTACGTTTTACCAGTCGCTGTGGCAAAAGGGATAGAGAGTAATCCTGTTGGACCAAGCCTGGATATTCATTTCCTTTATCAATAACAGACACTGTTAATCCCACAAGAGCCACAAAAAATGGGTTCCAAGGGGGTCAGGCGCTGCGGCTCATGCCTGTAATCCCAGCACTTTGGGAGACCAAGGCGGGCAGATCACTTGAGGTCAGGAGTTGGGAGATCAGTCTGGCCAATATGGTGAAACCCTGTCTCTACCAAAAATATAAAAAGTAGCCAGGCATAGTGGCCTGTGCCTGTAGTCCCAGCTACTCAGGAGGGTGAGGCAGGAGAATCTCTTGAAACCCGGAGGTGGAAGTTGCCGTGAGCTGAGATCACGCCATTGCACTCCAGCCTGGGCGACAGTGCAAGACTCCCTAACAGACACACACACACACACACACACACACACACACACACGTTCCAAGGAGGAAAGATGAGTTACCTTACAAAGAAAAGGGAATAAGCTGGGTGTGGTGGCTCACGCCTGTAATCCCAACAGTTTGGGAGGCTGAGGTGGGAGGATGGCTTGAGTTGAGGAGTTCGAGACCAGCCTGGGCAATATGGTGAGACCCTGTCTCAAAAAAAAGTGGGGTGGGGAATAAGTAGTACCGTACAGAACCTACAGCTAAAAGAAACAAAAATGGTGCTCGCTACAAAAAGTGAGAAAAAGGAAAAAGGTAGCTTCTGGATTTGGAAATTCAAAGGTCACTGGTGTTCCTAATGAGATCCACGGTTGTGGAGTGGCAGAGAGAAGCCACCTGTGGCACAGGAGTCGTCAGTAGGAGTCGCAGGAGGAATTGATGCAGCATGGTGGGAGTGGACGTCACTTTCAAGGTGATCAGCCGTGAAGAGCGGCAAACACAGCGTCTTGGCTCGAGTTCCCCCAAACGGTGCCCCCTGGAACAAGAATTTGAGCACGAGTACAGTAGTTTTTTTGGGAGGTGATCCCAGGAAACATCGGTAGTCAGGGAAAGGAAGGAAGCCAACAGAAGATGCCCTGATGAGCAAGTTGCAGCTGTGGACAACCGCAGCCGTGGCCTACAGAGGACCACCGCAATACGCCTAGGACACACGCCTCCCCGCAGGGCACGTGCGGAGGGCGAGAGGGCCAGGGCATTCTCGACCAACTCTATCCCTCGTGGAGGGAGAGCAGCTGGGAAGGAGTGCAAGCACCCAGCACCTCTAAGTCTGCCCCATTTCTGCTCTGAGCGGGCTCTCCACAGCCAGCGGTTGCCTGCAGGTGGAGCCGGTGCGCAAGACAGGCGAGTGAGCGCCTGGCGGCCCCGTGGAATCTGGGCAACGATGGGAAGGAGAAGGGCGCTTTTACAATGTGCTCGGGTAGATACCGTGAGCATCGGGGGACAGGAAGGGGAGAGGCCCCAGGGTGTTCTTTATCTACAGGAGAGTAAAAGATGCAAGGCGCAGGGCTGATGTGGGTAATTTATGAGGGACTGTAGGAAGTTTGGGGGAGCTCTGATGATCATTGCCTTCTCTTTGTATCTCAAATGCAGCAGCACAGTCTTCAGAGTGGGCTATCAGAACCGAAGGGACTTTTAAGAGCCACTCTCCGCCGCTCATAAGGGGAAATCGAGGTCCGGAGAAGGGAAAGCAAGTGGCTGAATGCCGGTAAAAGGCAGGAAAAGAGCGGAGCCCAGGGCTCCAGGGGGTCGGTTTGGGACCTGCTTCCACCAGCAGAGTCTAAGGTCATCCCCTTGGCCGTGCGCCACCCTGGGCTCAGCCGAAGGAAGGAGCACTCGACACAAACAAAACCGACGCTCCGGGTCTCCGTAGTCGTTAAGCAAAGAGGAAGAGGAAGCGCTTCTTCATTAGGCCACAGGACCGGGCCTTAGAACTTTTGGGTTTTATCCATTAAAGGTCCTTTGGCAATAGAAGAAAAACCCAGATCGAGCCCTGCAAACTGGGATCTTCCGCCGGCACCGCCCCCCGGCTGCGACCCGGGGCTCGGAAAGAACCACCCCAGGCCCGGGCTCCGGTTCCACCGCACAGTCCGCCCGCTGCGGTAAAGCCGCGCCCACCGCCGCGGGTCTCCAACCCTGCGCCGCCGCCGCCCCCGGGGGAGGGTACGGAAAGGGCGCGGCGCCGCCGCCCACGGGCTCCTCCAGAGCGCGGCGGGGCCGGGCCGCGCGGAATCACGGGACAGAGGCGGGGCCGCGCCGGCGGGGGCGGGCGTGCGAGCGGCGCTTTCCTCTCCGGCACCCGGCGGGCGCCCGGGCGCGGCGCCGCCGGCACCCGAGAGGCGCGGTAGCCGGCGCGGGCGGCGGGGGCCGGGCCGCGGCGGGCGCCCGGGCGGGGTCCGCGCTGAGCCGCCTTCTCGGCCGCCTGGTCCCTGCGGCGGCTGCCCGGCGGCCCGGGCGCGCGGCGCTTCGCCATGTACACCTTCGTGGTACGCGATGAGAACAGCAGCGTCTACGCCGAGGTCTCCCGGCTGCTCCTCGCCACCGGCCACTGGAAGAGGCTGCGGCGAGACAACCCCAGATTCAACCTGATGCTGGGAGAGAGGAATCGGCTGCCCTTCGGGAGACTGGGTGAGCCCCTCCCCGATTCCCGTCTGCCCTCCTCGGAGCGGCCCTGCGCGCCTCCCGCGGCCCGTTAGAACCGGCGCTTTTGTTTTTAAAGGTCATACATTTTCTCCTCTGTCGCTTGTCGGGCACATCAGAAACGGATTCGGAAAGATCGAAACCTGTCGTTTTTAATGCTTTCTTGTCTCCTAACTTGGATTTAGAGTCGGAGTCGCGGTGCGGCCACTCGGGGCCGCAGCTACCTCCCGACGGTGACCGGTCCCTGCAGCCCGGGAGACGCTGGCCGCCGGGGCTGGGACCTGAGGCGCGAGTCTAGCGGCTCCCCCGGGCCGAAGCCCCCAGATTTGGCGGGTCCGCCGCGCTGGGCGCGGCTCCGCAGAGCGGGCGGCTGGAGTCATCTTTTGCAGCTCGTCTGCACTGAGGATTTCTCCCTGCTTGGCGTGGGCGCGGGCGGGGGAGCCGTAGGTGTTGAAACCCCTGAGGCTTCTGCCCCCCGAAGGCGCGGAGGAGCGATCAGAGGATTTGGAAAAGACCCCCGGATTCCAAAAGCAGGAGCTGCAGAAGAGACCCTAGCCCAGGGAAGTGTGGAGGGATGTCTGATTATAAACCTTTCCTTAGTTTCACCAAATAATGTGTTTTCGCAGTTCTGCATTGGATTAAGATCTTACACGAGGCTGCGTTCGCCCTCCCTGTCTTCCCTGCTCTCCCCGAGGGAATTACCTTCATCCACATGGTTGAAGCTGGCTGGGCACCACCATACCCACATGTCCACGGGTAGGAAAGCGCAGGAGATAGGAGGGGACTAGCGGCTCCTTTGTAAGTGATGTCATCCAGAAGTTGCCCAGATCGGTTCAACTCACATCCTATTGACCTGAGCATAGTCTCATGGCCTCCCTCTCTGCACAGTCATCTGGGAATTGCATCTTCTCTCCGGGGAGCCATGTTCCTTGCCAGAATTCACCAGAGGTGGGGGCCAATTGTATTCCAAAGACAAGGGGAGAATCGATACGGAGGAAGAGTCACCTCTACCTTGGAGGGCAACCCAGAGAGAGCAATGTTCTATGTCCAGGAGAGAAAACAGTTTTTAGAAATAGGTGTGGTCAGAATTCAAATGGGTAAAAACTGAATACGGGCCATTTGGAATTGACTGGTCATTTATGAGCTTCCATAGACAGAGCCTTTGGGAGGGGGCTGTGTAAAACTCAAATCGTTGGAGGAATGAAGAGCTGCAGTGTAAAGTTGCTGGATTTTCTTCTTTTGAATAGTACCTGGGACAACTTTTCATTGGTATACAAGTTTATGATGTAGAATGGTGACTCCATGGAAGGACCCATTTGAACACCCAGAAATCTTAGAATATGGAGACTGTGCCTGGAGGCTCCCTTTGGTTAACCGGTGTCAGGAAGACCCTAGCAAAGAGAATTCATGATCTGAAAGGAGAGGAAGAATTGCTTATAGTTGAGAACAATTATTTGTTCCTTGCATTGTCCACTTCCCCTTCCAGACTTCCTGACTTCCCTCTATATTCTTGGCAGTGCCTAGCTGTGAAAGCTTAGGTGGAATCATAACATTAAAAACAACAAACATGGCTCCGCCCAGGCAGAGGTAGGAGTGACTGGCATTACCCTGGTGCTTAAGCCTAGGAGTGAGAAGCAGAAGCCTCCAGAATTTGAATCCTGAACAGATACCACAAATTCAGGAGATGATCAGTAAACGTTTGAGCTTTTTGTTTGTATGTGTTTTTTTTTTTTTTTGTAGTTTTGTTTTTTGTTTGTCTGTTTGTTTTGCGACAGAGTCTCACTCTGTCGCCCAGGCTGGAGTGCAGTGGTGCAATTTTGGCTCACTGCAACCTCTCCCTCCTGGGTTCAAGCAATTCTCCTGCCTCAGCCTCCCAAGTAGCTGGGATTACAGGCGCGCATCACCATGCCCAGCTAATTTTTTGTATTTTTGGTAGAGACAAGGTTTTGCCGTGTTGGTCAGGCTGGTCTCGAACTCCTGACCTCAGGTGATCCGCCCACTTCGTCCTCCCAAAGTGCTGGGATTACAGGCATGAACCACCGTGCCCGGCCAACATTTGGTTTTTATGGGAAAGAAAACAGCATCCTACAACAAAATTGGTTATATGCCATCACTGTTAAGGGATATTTACCTTTTGCTTAAAGTGTACTACATGAAAGCCAAGGAGAAGATTTATAGAGCTAGGTAAAGGCTCAGGAAGGCAGGTGCCCTGTGGATAAGAATGTAGGCAGTTCAGGTGGGAATCAGGTCTGTCTGCTCAGGGAGACCAGTGAGAGCCAGCTAATGCCTGCCTGAAACTTTTGATTTGACTGTATGCCATTCTCAGAGAAATTATTCTTTCTTCTGGCATTTTCAACTGAAAATTCCTTTGGTCTTACTTTGATTTTGTTACTGGAAATACAGTGTGTTTTATTAAGATTTGAAACAAAACATTTTTTATTTTATTTTATTTTTGAGATGAAGTCTTGCTCTGTCGCCCAGGCTGGAGTGCAGTGGTGGGATCTTGGCTCACTGCAACCTCTGCCTCCCAGGTTCAAGTGATTCTCATGCCTCAGCCTCCCAAGTAGCTAGAATTACCGGTGTGCGCCACCACGCCCAGCTAGTTTTTGTGTTTTTAGTAGAGATGGGGTTTTGCCATGTTGGCCAAGCTGGTCTTGAACTCCTGATCTCAGGTGACTTACCCACCTCAGCCTCCCAGAGTGCTGGGATAACAGGCATGAGCCACTGTGTCTGGCTGAAAACACTTTTTATTTTTAATAAAAATTGTTTTTCTTTGTGTCCTTTCTGCTCTAATTCTATAAAAAAAAGCCACATGTAATAAGAGCTGTTGAAAATGAGTTTCCCCATGGAATGCGGCACAGAAGAAAGCTCTCAGGGCTTCTGATTTTGTAGACATGGCCTCTCCACTACCTTCCTTCACCTAGAAGCTTGCAGAGATAGACTTGCTTGAGACCAGCATCATTCTAGTTCTCCTTCCTTCCTTGGTATGGAAAGCCAGGTTACGGATGTGGAAAGCGTGACTGTTAAAGTAGCCTTATTGTACAGAGTGACAAGTCTATATGTGTTAAGCCAGGAGCGGAATGCAGTGTGCAGTCAGGGAGAGGTGAAATGAAAAAATACCCTCAATACCCTCTACCCTAACAAGAAAAAACAGACAAAGGTAGCAGCAGTTTTGGCAAACCTACGATGTTGATATAATATCCACTGTGGGGAGAATGAAGGTTGCCAGCGGAATACTGAGAGAAAGAGGGTCCCTGGGGACAGAGAAACAAAATTGTTCCATTTTCCATTTTCTAACAGCCAATCCTGAGATGAGAGAGAGAAAAGCTGGGCATGACACAGCTGTCCTCTCTCCTGCTTGCTGTGTCCTGTGTCCCTTCTGAGCCTCCTCTTTCCTTCCTAGGTCACGAGCCCGGGCTGGTACAGTTGGTGAATTACTACAGGGGTGCTGACAAACTGTGTCGCAAAGCTTCTTTAGTGAAGTAAGTGTTAAGACCGCTGTTTTCCATTTTTTACCTAAATGAAGCACTTAGGCAAAAATGTGGGGTTGTTTAAAGGACAAACATACTTTTATTTTAAAAGCCAACAAATATCAGTTCAGAAGCTTCCTCTAAGCCGCTTTGGTTGCGGTCCAAAACATGGTGCTTGATAAAGCCTGTCTGCCTCTGAGGTGAGGCTCCTAGAAGCAGAGCCTGACTCAGGGTCTCCTGTGTAAGTGATTTCCTGGGGTAGGATTCTTAAGAGACAGCCATCGGGAAGCAAGGACAGGGCAGGGCAGGGGGAGAACCAAGTAAAGAGGTGGTTTCAGCTGAAGTCTTGCCTCTCCTGACTCCAAGGAGCACCAGAGTGAATGGCACCTCAGAGTTGTCACATTTTGAGCAAGGACCAGGCCTCTATGCTCCAGTATCAGTCAGCCATTGGCTGTGGGAAGAGATGGAGGGCTTAGCTTCGCAGGCATTTCTGGGCAGGGGCTGGTCCCCAGAGAAGGGCATATATAGCCCGTAGCATCCTTCTCTCATGGCTGTAAGGGGTCCCTCAGAAAGGATATCTGGGCAGGGTATAAGAGCATTCACTGCACTGCCCATCTCTGAGCAGTTGGATTATGGCTAGGTATCACAAAGTGGAAGGAGACGGTGTTAGACAACGATTAAGATCTAGGGTGAAAAGTGTAAGTGTTCACCCCAGCTCCTTCTCTCACTAGCTTGGGCAGATCTCCTCATCCCTCTAAGCCTCAGTGCCTCCCTCGTAAGGCTATTATGAGAATTAAATAAGGTGATGCATGTAAAGTTTATATAGCACAGTGGCCTGGTACATAATGAGAATTTGACACTATCTTAATTTTCTTGGCTGTAAAATGGGGAAATAATAATAACTACCTAAGGTTGTTATGAGGATTAATTGAGCTAATTTAGCTACGGGCTTTGAATTGTGCCCGTCTTGTTGTTCCTACTGTATAAGTGAAAGCATTCCTTATTATTGCTATTAGTATAGTTGTCATTGCTATTACTGTTGTTTCAGTAGGAAACACTGGGTCGGGCCACTAAAATCAGGGCTGTCGTGGGCCTCCAGTATTCTTTCCATGATGACTGGTGAACATGTGTGTGTAGCCAGGTACTGGAAGATATGACTCAATGCAAAATGCTCTTTTCCCACTAACGTTTCTTTCTGGGCTCTAGATATTTACTAGGTTGGGTGCTCACAGGAACATTTCTGCTTTTTGTTCACTCATTGGCCCTGGTAACTTATGTACCCACTCCTCTCTGTGATGGGTTTATCATGATTCATCCCACTCCTGAAGGAGAGTGAGGCTTCCTGAAGTCATTTTGTGACATGTTTGTATATTTAGAATGCAAATGACTGTTACATGGAATCAGGAATAGAAGTGGGACATGCTTGTTTATTCAAATTATTCACTTAGAAATTCTTATTAAATATTTATTAAACCTCTTCTGCTACGATTTTTCCCCTAAAGATAAAGTAGGAAGCAGAGGACTCAGTAAAAAAATAATGGTTTCCATGTTTGTATATTTTGCAGTTATAGTGAAGCAGAGTGAGTACAGGGCTGGAGTCGTGACCAACTGTGATAAATATCTGTGACCTTGGAGAGCACCACTCAGAATCCCCGTGTCTCATCTGTAAAATGGGGATGGATGGTGGTGACAGTACCTGCCCCTTGCCCCTCGGAGGCATGCAGTGTGATCTGTGATAGCACCTTGTAATGGTGACATGACCTATGCAGGCTGGAGGTTGCATCATCCTCATCAGCTTCCATCTTTGTCTCAGTTGTCCTGTGAGGGGCTTGCAGTAATTCCAGGATATGATGCTTCCCTTTATCCATTTGTCTCTCTCCCATGATTTTGTATGGCTTGAAAGGGCTCCAGAGAGTTAGAAATAAAGTCTCCTTGATTTTATAGGACAAAGTGGCAGTTCAGAGAGGACAGCCAGGTTGCCCATGGCCATAGTAGCTCCTGTTAAACCAGGACAGTTTTAATCTGCACAAATGGGACCCCTGGCCATTGTGACTGTGCACCCTTGGGAGGCTTCCCAGAGCCTTGGTGGGGTTCAGTGCAAGACCCTGTGCAGCCCAGTCCTTCCCCCTGTCACTTCAGGGAGTTTCGGAAATTTCACTGAGGCCTCAAGGCCATAGTCTTAGAACCCTGAGGGGCTTTTCTTCTCCTGGTACAGATCAGAGGCTATCTTTTCCTCTCCTGAGCATTGCTGTTTTATAGATGTAAATAAATCTCCATTTCTGATTACTTCCCAAATGGGCCCATGAGGAAATGGGACAAAAGCAAAGGACTTCCTGCAGAGCCTGGTCTTGGTTCTGTGCAGGAAATGAGGGCTTCCAAACCAAGGTCATCTTACAGACCAGCACTGTCCAACAGAAATAGGATGCTACCCACACATGTAATTATAAACCGCCTAGTAGCCACATTAAAATAAGTGCAGAGAAACAGCTGCAAGCCGGGCGTGGTGGCTCACGCCTGTAATCTCAGCACTTTGGGAGTCTGAGGCGGACAGATCACTTAGGGTCAGGAGTTCGAGACCAATCTGGCCAGCATGGTAAAACCCCATGTCTACTAAAAATACAAAAATTAGCTGGGTATGGTGGTGGGTACCTGTAATCCCAGCTGCTCGGGAGGCTGAGGCAGGAGAATCGCTTGAACCTGAGAGGTGGAGGTTGCAGTGAGCCGAGATCATGCCACTGCACTCCAGCTTGGGAGACAGAGTGAGACTCCTTCTTAAAAAAAAAGAAAAGAAAAGTAACAGCTGCAATTAAATTAATAATTTATTGCCGGGCGTGGTGGCTCACGCCTGTAATCCCAGCATTTTGGGAGGCCGAGGCGGGCGGATCACGATGTCAAGAGATTGAGACCATCCTGGCCAACATGGTGAAACCCCGTCTCTATTAAAAATATAAAAATTAGCTGGGCATGGTGGCAGGCGCCTGTAGTCCCAGCTACTTGGGAGGCTGAGGCAGGAGAATTGCTTGGGCCCAGGAGGTGGAGATTGCAGTGAGCTGAGATCATGCCATTGCACTCCAGCCTGGGTGACAGAGTGAGACGCCGTCTCAAAAAAGAAATAAATTAATTTAAAAAACCCAAATAATTTATTATATTTAACTAAATAAATCCAAAATGTTATTTTGACATGTAATTAATATAAAAAGCTATTATATTTTACGTTCTTTTATTCACTCTTCAAAATCTAATGTGAATTTTACATATGTAGCACATCTTAATTCAAACAGTAAATTTTCATTGGAAAGCTTTGATCTGAATTTAGATTACATAAAAAATGTATGGTTGAAGAAGTAGATTTATGTACTCAAGTTGTACATAAAAGTTTTTCAACAACTTTGAAAGCCAGAAGATCTATTTCCTTTAATATTGCACACACATTTTCAAAACTAGTTCATCTTTTCTAGAAGAATTGATTTGACTATGAAGCAAAAGCTTATTTTCAAAATAATGTCCAAGTTAAGTAAATTCACCAACTCTTGTGTTAGTTTGATACTGTAAATATCAAATTCAAAGATGTATTGAATATATTGAAAAGTAACTCTAAATTTACCAATGTCAACAAAGTGTTCCTCAGATTTCTTTTAGTTTTTGCAGCCAATTTTCATAATGCTATTACAATTAACATTTTTTGCATACTGAATCATGTTGTAAAAATATGTGAAATCATTATTATCAACTTATGAAGTTGGAACATAAATTCTCACACCTGTCTGGGTGGATCATAAATAAGATCTTCTCTTCCCTTCCTTGGAGCTTTAAATTTATCTTGTTTATATGCAGTATGAAGATAGATGAGAAAATGCAAATGGCAGTCATTTTTTATTTTGATTATTGAAATAATGAATTACTGAGTGAAAATGATGATTTGACAAACATTCCTTTTATTTTCAAGAAAATCTGAATTGGAGTTGAAAAGTAAATCTTTATTTAAAAAGACCCTTCCCCTTCTCCATCAGTGAATACTGGCAGAGAACACAGTATCATTAAATTCATTGTCTTCTGTTTCCATGAACTGGAGAATCATTGAGTATATACAGAACCATTTTAACAACTGTATCCGTGACACTTAGAGTCTGCTTCAGAAAACCTAGCACAAGGCCGGATGTGGTGACTCACACCTGTAATCCCAACACTTTCAGAGGCCAAGGCAGGTGCATCATTTGAGGTCAGGAGTTCGAGACCAGCCTGGCCAACATGGTGAAACCCTGCCTCTTCCAAATACAAAAAAAAATTAGCTGGGCATGGTGGTGTGCGCCTGTAATCCCAGCTACTTGGGAGGCTGAGGCACAAGAATCGCTTGAGCCGGGGAGGCAGAGTTTGCAGTGAGCCGAGATTGTGCCGCTGCACTCCAGCCTGGGCAACAGAACCAAACCCTGTCTCGGATAAACAAACAAACAAACAAAAAGCAGACCTAACACAAATGTTTTCAACATGTAACACATAATGCAATGAAGCAAATGTTTCCAATATGTATCATACAATAAAATGAAGTAGTAAAGGAAACATTAGTCTACTAAAATCTTAGTAAATCTTTTTTTTTTTTTTTTTTTTTTGAGATGGAGTTTTACTCTGTCACCCAGGCTGGAGTGCAGTGGCACCATCTCAGCTCACTACAACCTCTGCCTCCCAGTTCAAGCGATTCTCCTGCCTCAGCCTCCCAAGTAGCTGGGATTACAGGCACCCACCACCATGTCTGGCTAGTTTTTTGTATTTTTAGTAGAGACGGGATTTCACCATGTTGACCAGGCTGGTCTTGAACTCCTGACCTCAGGTGATCCACCTGCCTCGGCCTCCCAAACTGCTGGCATTACAGGAGTGAGCCACTGTGCCCAGCCATAAATCCATATTTTAATACAACCTAACTGAAGTCCTATCTGTCATGATAGAAAGAAATTTTTTGCATGTAGGTAAAATTCTGTGACAGATGTAAGAGATTTTAAAATATCTATACTATGAGTTTGCGTGTGTGTGTGTGTTGGAGTCTCACTCTGTCACCCAGGTTGGAGTACAGTGGCACGATCTCAGCTCACTGCAACCTCCGCCTCCCGGGTTCAAGCAATTCTCCTGCCTCAGCATCCCGAGTAGCTGGGACTACAGGCAACTGCCACCACACCCGGCTAATTTTTTGTATTTTTAGTAGAGATAGGGTTTCACCGCGTTAGCCAGGATGGTCTTGATCTACTGACCTTGTGATCCGCCTGCCTCAGCCTCCCAAAGTGCTGAGATTATAGGCGTGAGCCACCACTCCCGGCTGAGTTTGATATTTTTTAAGCTGCAATTTGACAGCATTTTATCATACATTTGGAAATCCTTTGAGGCAAAACACCCAAAGTATTAATTGGACAGCATCTTTTATGTCACACAGTTCACCTAAAGCTAAAGAAAAATACTTAATATTTTTCAAATTTTGAGTCAATCTTTGATATTGTTAGAAAGGTTTTGTAGTCTGTGGGCAATTGTGACTCAGCTGAAGATTGTTCATTTTTTGTAAATTATATTTTTAAGTCTTTTCCTTAAAATAGTTTTTTAAAACTACATTTGCATCTAAAATGGTTTTCTTTTTGTGTAAGAATCCAAGCCATTTTATAGTTGCCCAAAATTATAAACCCAGACTCTGTAAAACATTTGCTTAAAAAATGTGTTGGATATTGTGATTTTAGCCACTAGTTTCATTAATTTTTTTGAGCATTGAGAGGAAAATACTTATCAAGTTTATTATGTATTTGCTAAAAATGTCTCCTTTACACAACCGTTTTTTCATTTTACTTTTACCATAGCCTATTGCAGTCACCATTTCTTGTGAATCTGTGGCATACCTCCTTTCAGTTCTTTTTTTTTAAATCTCTTACTGTCCTTGTCATAGTTCTAGCTTCTGTGTCCCTACTCAATTCCACGTCAGTAGTATGCCTTCGTTTTAAATTTAAATTTTTGTCCAAATATTTTTTTAACTAGGAAGAAATTCTATTTCACCTTAGTCCCAATTGTGGTATTTGTAGCTAGCACTGTAATTCATGCTCTCTGCATAGTAAACATATCATAATGTTTCATCACTGCACAGAAATCACTTGATCTGAATCAATCTATTGTCCCTGAATAGAATAGCGATGTGTTTGTGTGTGATACTAGAAATGACACATGGCCCTGACGTGCATGCTGCGATACAACAAGAAAGTGAAGTATTATCTCACCATATCAATAAAGTTGTGCTTAATGGAAAAATATTTTATAATGCATCCGTTTTTAAATTAAAGGCAAATTAAATTTTAGGCCTGACCCAGTGGCTCATGCCTGTAATCCAGCACTTTGGGAGGCTGAGGTGGGTGGTTTACCTGAGGTCAGGAGTTTGAGACCAGCTTGGCCAACATGGTGAAACCCTGTCTCTATTAACAATACAAAAATTAGCTGGGTGTGGGCCGGGCGCGGTGGCTCACGCCTGTAATCCCAGCACTTTGGGAGGCCGAGGCGGGTGGATCACGAGGTCAGGAGATCGAGACTATCCTGGCTAACACGGTGAAACCCCGTCTCTACTAAAAGTACAAAAAAATTAGCTGGGCGTGGTGGTGGGCACCTGTAGTCCCAGCTACTGGGAGGCTGAGGCAGGAGAATGGCGTGAACCCAGGAGGCAGAGCTTGCAGTGAGCCGAGGTCGCGCTACTGCACTTCAGCCTGGGCGACAGAGCGAGACTCCATCTCCAAAAAAAAAAATTTGCTGGGTGTGGTCACGGGCGTCTGTAATCCCAGCTACTCGGGAGTCTGAGGTGGGAGAACGTTTTCAACCCGGGAGGTAGAGGTTGCAGTGAGCCAGGATCGCACCACTGCACTCCAGCCTGGGAGACAGACTGAGACCCCGTCTCAAATAAAAAAAATAAAAATAAAATAAAAAATTAAACTTTAAATTCAGTTCCTGAGTCACACTGACTACATTTCAAATGCTCAGTAGCCACTTGTGGTTGGCTAGTGACCACTGGATGGGACAATGCAGATACGGAGTTGAACTTTCAGTGAGTTAAAAATTTATTTATTTTGTTCCTTCAAGTTCAAGTAGCTTTTCAGTTCTTTCCCTTACGCTTTAAAATAAATTTGTTTTTAATATCTATCTACAATGTCGTTATTTCCACCATTTGTTCACAGACTGGGTTTTGTAGGTGAATCTTAACATGGACTTGGCATGAACAGTTCTGTTCTAAACAGAAGAGGGAGCACAGCTCAGGGAAGGCCAGTGCATGTCTGTGGGCAGGTTCCTCCCTGTCTCTGATTCCTGGGGAGTAAGAGCAGGTTTCCAGTTAAGACTTGGGGGTTTTGTAGTAGCTTGAGCTGTTAAAAAAAAAAAAAAGACTTGGGAGTTCGGGCCTGCATGTTGGCTGGTCCTCACTACCTTTATGATCTCAGGAAGTTTACTTCTCCATGACCCAGTTCCTAATTTGTGAAATGTGATGCCAGTGCCTCTAGCTCCAGGGGTCTGATTGCAGAGTAGATGCAGAGGGAAGCCCCTGTGTGCTAAGTGCCTTGCCTGACTTTATCTTCTGTGGTGTTATGGTATTTGGGGAGCAGGAGGTATATTTCACTATGACCACTGGTGTCCTATGTTCCGTTAGAAAAATACCTTTTTTATTCTGTCACCAAAGCCAGCCTGAGCTAAAAGCAAGAGCTTTAAAAAGTCTTTAGATAATTCAGATTCCTACGTAGCCTTTTCTCCCATAGAGAGTTGGGCCAGGATAGTCTTTTTGCTACTTAAATTTTCCTCTCTTCCCCATTTCATTTTTTTAGTATGGGTATGGTTCAACAACATATTTGTTGAAAAGATATCGGCTCAGGATTGTGTCCGGTTAAGTTTCATTAGAGATGCATTTTAAAAGGAGCATAAGTGTTGGACATTAAGCCTTTTGAATTAATTGGGGTATGCCTTTCAGGTTGCATCTAACAGCTGTGCGCTCCCCAATAACGCATTTGAGCTTTGTCCAGGGAGACTAAGAGCAAATAGAGATGTTAGAAGACTGAGTCATGCTTTGCCTCCCGGAAAGTCTCTGGGGGAAAGGAGTGGCCTTTCTGAAGGGAGTGACAAAGTGCACTAAGAAGGGAGGCTGATCCTCTTCTGTCATCTGCCAGGCTAATCAAGACAAGCCCTGAACTGGCTGAGTCCTGCACATGGTTCCCTGAATCTTATGTGATTTATCCAACCAATCTCAAGACTCCAGTTGCTCCAGCACAGAATGGAATTCAGCCACCAATCAGTAACTCAAGGACAGATGAAAGAGAATTCTTTCTCGCCTCTTATAACAGAAAGAAAGAGGATGGAGAGGGCAACGTTTGGATTGCAAAGTCATCAGCCGGTGCCAAAGGTGAGTTGGCACTGCTGTCCCCTTCTCTATTCCTGGTAAGTTGCTATTGTGATGTATTTAGATGAATGACCCTATTTTAATCTGAATCATCGAAGGTTGAGACCGTGTCTAGTTACATAGTTATAAATACCCATCTATGTACTGATGCCTTCTAAATGTCTATCTCCAGTATGGTCTTTTCCTTTAAGCTCTAGATCCATTGACACCCTCACCATCTCTAAAAGGCATTTCAAACTGAACACATCTGATACAGAACTTTTCATTTCCTTCCCAACTTTGCCCACGCCAGCCTGCTCCTCCTTCACGCTTTCCACTTAGTATATGATCCCACTATTCACTCAGTCTCTGAAGCTTAAAACCTAGGATTCATCCTTGACTACTGTATTCTTTACAATCTACTCCTAATGCATTAGCAATTCTTGCTAGCTCTACCTTCAAAATATATTCTGAATAGACTATTTCTTGCCGTTTCCCCTGCTTCCCCTCTAAATCAAAACCCCCATTCTTTTTACTGTGTGTAACTGCCGAGCCTGCTCTCAACCAGTTCTCCTTCCAGACAATAATGTTTTCAAAACGTAAATCTAATCATGTTACTTCCTACTTAAGACTTACCAGCTGGCTTCCTAATGCAATTAGAATGAACTCCGGATTCCTAATGGTAGCCTGCACCATTTGACATTTGCCCATATCTCTGATCTCATCTCCTTCTATCCTCAGCTTTGCTCTCTGCACTGTAGACACAAAGACTGCCTAGTATCTCTCGAATATTCCAAACTTGTCTCTGTACCTAGAATGTGCTTACATGGATTGTTTTGTTTCTCTTACCTCAGTTGCTGGCTCCTCAGGGAAGGCTTTTCTAATCTAAAATAGCCTCCGTGTCCATTGCTTTCTTTCCCTTTCCCCTGCCTCATTTACCTCCTGACATTAACCTTTTCCTGGCACTATACTACTTCTCTGTCCATCTCTCCTATTATTCTGTAGGCTTCACACAAACACAGACATTCTGTCTTATTCATCCTTGTACCTTCCTCATAGGCAGTCAACAAATATATGTTGAATGAATGCATGTAAGGGGTAAGGTTTATAATGTTAACTCAGGCTGAAAATAGAGGCAGTTCCCAATGTAATGAACACATAAACAATCTCTGTCTATGTTAATGCCCTCATACGCTCTTTATAAAACCATTCTGGCTGGGCATAGTGGCTCACTGCCTGTAACCCCATCGCTTTGGGAAGCCGAGGCGGGCGGATCACAAGGTCAGGAGATTGAGACCATCCTGGCTAACACGGTGAAACCCCGTCTCTACTAAAAATACAAAAAATTAGCTGGGTGTGGTGGCGGGTGCCTGTAGTCCCAGCTACTCGGGAGGCTGAGGCAGGAGAATGGCGTGAACCCGGGAAGTGGAGCTTGCAGTAAGCTGAGATCGCACCTTCAGCCTGGGTGACAGAACAAGACTCCTTCTCAAAAATTAAAAAAAAAACCATTCCATTTTGAACTCACTTCTTGTATTGCCTTGGAAGACATCTAGCCATTGGTACTCATTTCTGTTCCGGGTCGAAGGGACCTCACCTTCTTTTCCACCAGCGATGAGACAGGAAGGCCTCAACTGGTATCCCTGAAAGGGGGAGAGTTGGACTCTTGCCACAAGTCAGGTATCTCACCTACTTCTCTCTCCCCTCTTGTGACCTTTTCTCAACTACTGCCCCCTAGTGTGGTTCCAATGGTAAATGACGGATTTGGAAGAGGAAATAGACATCCCTTCTCCTGTGGGTTTGGGATTGGAGTCAGAATGGCCACTGTGAGGACACCTGGTGATCCCTGGACCCTCACTAAGACAAGACTCAGAGGGACACCAAGCAGCAGGGGGAAGTCAAGAGAGAATAAAATGCTAAAGACTTTTTGCTTTAAGAGTTGAAGAGATATATATTTGATATATATTTATTATGTTTGGAAACCATAAAATGAAACCAATAGGATGAATGAATGGTTTTTATTCTTGTTAAACAAGTATTTATTTGGTACCCACTACATGCTTTGTATAGTTGGCTCAACCTTCAAACTCTACCCATTATGAAGCTACTGTTTACCATGTCCACTGCCTATTTCTAATCTAGCCACCTTCACCTCTCACCTGGAGCGTGGGAACACACTACATCTATAACAGAAAATTATTGTTTAGAAACAACCCCATTATTCCACTATTACAGATAACAGTAGTAAATGTCTTTGCTGTAGATGACCCTTGTTTCTTTTTTAATTTTAATTTTTTATTTTATATATATATGTGTCTGTGTGTGTGTGTGTGTGTGTGTGTGTGTGTGTGTGTGTGTGTATTTTTTTTTTTTTTTTGAGACAAGGTCTCACTTTGTTGCCCAGGCTGGAGTGAGATGGCATGATCTCAGTTCACTACAGCCTCGACTTCCTGGGCTCAAGCGATCCTCCCAACTCAACCTCTTTTTTTTGAGACAGAGTCTCACTCTGTCACCCAGGCTGGAGTGCAGTGGTGCCATCTCAGCTCACTGCAAGCTCCGCCTCCCAGGTTCACGCCATTCTCCTGCCTCAGTATCCCGAGTAGCTGGGACTACAGGTACCAGCCACCACACCCGGCTAATTTTTTGTACTTTTAGTTGAGACAGGGTTTCACCACATTAGCCAGGATGGTCTCGATCTCCTGACCTCGTGATCCGCCCGCCTCAGCCTCCCAAAGTGCTGGGATTACAGGCGTGAGCCACCGTGCCCGGGCCCGCTCCCATCTCAAGCTCTTGAGTAGCTGGGACGACAGCCGTGCACCACCACACCCTGTTAATTTTTTGATTTTTAGTAGAGATGAAGTCTCACTGTGTTACCCAGGCTGTTCTTGAACTCCTGAGCTCAAGTGATCTTCCCACCTCAAGCCTCCCGAAGTGCTGGGATTACAGGCATGAGCCATCACACCCAGCCTTGACTCTTGTTTCTTCTTAAAAATTTCATTAGAGTAAGTTTGAAACATGAGATTACTTGGTCAAATGATATGAAGCCTTTATGGCTCTTGCTCTGTGTTATCCTCTTGCTTTTTCAAAGGGCCGTGAGCTAACAGGGAGCAGTTCATGACGAACTTTTACTAAAAGTATCACCATTTTTGTTTTCTTATTTTGTAGGTATAAAACGATACATAAAATTCAAATTTATTTTATAATTTTTGATACTGTTGTATCAAAAAATCTGAGTCTGATTCCTAAGGGAGATGAAACAGCATGAGTCATGTGTGTAGGGGAAGAGAATAAGGGAGCTTTTCCAGGTTGATTTGCAGTTTCTTGTTCAAGAAGCTCACCAGATGGTCGAACAAGTGACAGGAAGAAGATAGTTGAAAAGGGCGTTAACGTTTGGGAAAGGTGGATCATTGAATTAATGAACTGAATTGAATTCATTTATAAAGAAAGCATGAGATCCAGGTAGAAATCAGCTATAAATCTAAAGCATAGATCAGAAGATTCTAGCAAACTGAAACCACAACGAACTGTCACTACACTTTTATTAAAATGGTTATAATAAGAAGTGGTGACAACTCACTAAAGAGTGAGTTCAGCCATGTTACGGGATATGAGAGCAACACACAAAACTTAATCACATTTTTATGTGCCAACAATGAACATGTGGAAACCAAAGTTAAAAACACAAAACTACTTAGCTGGGCGCAGTGGCTCACACCTGTAATCCCAGCACTTTGAGAATCCAAGGCGGGCGGATCACCTGAGGTCAGGAGTTCGAGACCAGTCTGGCTGACTTGCTGAAACCCTGTCTCTATAAAAATACACAAATTAGCCGGGCTTGGTGGCAGTCACCTGTAATCCCTGTTACTCAAGAGGCTGAGGTGGGAGAATCGCTTGAACCCAGGAGGCAGAGGTTGCAGTGAGCTGAGATCGCACCATTGCACTCCAGCTTGGGCAAGAGAGCAAAAATTCCGTCTAAAAAAAAACCAAAAAACTACAGTACTACTTACAGTCACCCTAGAGAAAATGTGATGCTTGGGTATAAATTTAACAAGACATGTATAGGCTCTGTGTGCTAAAAATAGTAAAATGATTATGAAGGAAGTCAAAGAGGACCTAAAGAAATGGACAGACATACCGTGTTCATGGATTGCAGGACAGTATAGTAAAGATGTCAGTTCACCCTAAACTGGTCTATAGGTTTATGTAGTTCTTATCAAAATGTTAGCAACATTTTTGTATAGACATGGAGCTTCTTTTAAAATTTACATGGAGGGGCCGGGCACGGTGGCTCACACTTGTAATCCCAGCACTTTGGGAGGCCAAGGCGGGTGGATCACCGGAGGTCAGGAGTTCGAGACCAGGCTGGCCAACATGGTGAAACCCTGTTCCTACTAAAAAATACAAAAATTAGCCAGGCATGGTGGCGGGCGCCTGTAATCGCAGGTATTTAGGAGGCTGAGGCAGAAGAATCGCTTGGGCCCAGCCTAGGCGACAAGACCAAGACTCCATCTCAATCAATAAATAAATAATAAAAATTCATATGGAAAGGCACAAGCCCTAGAATAGCTTAAACATCTTGAAAAAGAAGAATATAAGTGAACATGCTACCTGATATTAAGATGTATTTTAGAGCTATAGTACTTAATACACTGTAGTATTCATGAAAAAATAGAAACATAAATCAGTGGGGCCAGGCACGGTGGCTCTCGGCTGAAATCCCAGCAGAGGCCAAGGCGGCTGAATCACCTGAGGTCAGGAGTTCGAGACAAGCCTGGCCAACATGGTGAAACCCCATCTCTACTAAGAATACAAAAAAATTAGCCAGGTGTGGTGGCGCATGCCTGTACTTTCAGCTACTCGGGAGGCTGAGGCATGAGAATTGCTTGAACCAGGGGGCAGAGGTTGCTGTGAGCCGAGATCACACCACTGTGTGACAGAGCAAGACTCTGTCTCAAAAACAGAAGAAACATAAATCAGTGGAAGAGAATAGAGAACTCAGAAATAGACCAAAACATATATGCCCATCTGATATTTGAAAAAGGTGCAAAAGCCATTCAATAGAGGAAGGATAAACTTTTCAACAAATTGTACTAGATAAGGTGGATATCAACAGGCAGAAAAATGAACATCAACATAAGCTTCACACCTCATACAAAAACTAACTCAAAATGGATCGTGGACCTAATAATTTTTCAGAAAAAAGGAGATAGGGCTTGGCAAAGAGTTCTTGAGCTTGACTCCAAAAGTGTAATCCATAAAAGTAAAAATTGATAAATTGAACCTCATCAAAATAAAACTTCTGCTCTATGAAACACCTCATTAGAGGATAAAAATGAGTTACAAACTGGGTGAAAGGATTTTTAAGTCATACATATGACAAGGGACTCAGATCTAGAATATGTAAACAACTTTCAAAACTTAACAGTAAACAACAGACACACAATCCAATTAGAAAAAGAGCAAACAGTAAGACCCCAGCTCTACAAAAAAAATACAAAAATTAGCCAATGTGGTGTCACACACCTGCATACGTAGTATTCCTGAGAATTGAAAATATATGTTCATAAAAACTTGTATGCAAATCTTATAGCAGCATTATTCATAAGAGGCAGACAAGAATGGAACCAATGCAAACGTCCATCAATTGATGACTAAATGAACAAAAATGACTTCAGCCATAGAAAGGAGTGAACATGATACTAATACACACTACAATGGGGATGAGCCTTGAAAACTTTGTGCTAAGTGAAATTAGACACAAAAGGCCACATACTGTGTGATTCCATTTATATGAAATGTCCAGATGAGACATCCATAGATACAGAAAGTAGATTAGTGGTTGTCAGAAGCTGGGGTGAGGAGGGAGTAGTGAGTGACTGCTAATAGGTACAAGAGTTTTTTTGGGGGGAGTGGTGAAACCGTTCTAAAATTAAACTGTAGTAGGCCGGGCATGGTGGCTCACACCTGTAATCCCAGCACTTTGGGAGGCCAAGGCAGGCAGATCACGAGGTCAGAAGACCAAGACCATCCTGGCCAACATGGTGAAACCCCATATGTACTAAAAATACAAAAATTAGCCAGGCATGGTGGTGCACGCCTGTAATCCCAGCTACTTGGGAGGCTGAGGCAGGAGAATTGCTTGAACCCAGGAGGCGAAGGTTACAGTGAGCTGAGATTGCGCCACTGCACTCCATCCTGGGCGACAGAGTGAGACTCCATCTCAAAAACAAACAAACAAACAAAGAAATAACAACAAAAACTGTAGTAATGGTTTAAAACTCTTGAATATACTCAAAGCCATTGAACTGTGCACTTTAAAAGGATAAATTTTTTGGTATATGAATTATACTTCAAGCTATTAAAAAGGATATATCAATTATTTAATGTTAATGGACAATTCCAATGTATCCAGTTTTTTCTATTGCAATGCTGCAAGGGACGTACTTGAACATTCATCTTTATGCCTTTATCTTCCTGGTAGTTCTATAAGATATAGTGAAGGAAGGGGATTTATTGTTGTTATAGTCTTTATTGTGGTAGCCAGTGACTAGTAATAGAATGGTATTTATTTTGAGTGCTTAGGCACTACGAATTTCTGTAAAACTGACGTTTCATGGTTGTAGCCAGCCAAGATAGCGTTGACACCTGTATGGAGAAAGAGTTGGTAGGATAATCCTGGGTGCTCTTGAGGGGAGAAGGGAGCATGTGGGGGACTGGAGTAAGGAAGGGAGGGAAAAAGGTGAGCGGGACATTGAAAGCCTCTTGTGGGGTTTTTGCTGTTCGTATTTCCTTTCTGGATTTATAGAGAGCTCTTGGTTTGAATTGGATTGGTTTGTCTTTTGCTTTTTCCCTGTTAGGTGAAGGCATTCTCATCTCCTCAGAGGCTTCAGAGCTTCTCGATTTCATAGACAACCAGGGCCAAGTGCACGTGATCCAGAAATATCTTGAGCACCCTCTGCTGCTTGAGCCAGGTCATCGCAAGTTTGACATCCGGTAATGCATTCATGTCCATAGCTTTTGTTTTTATTCATCTGAAAAAACTGCCATGGTATGTGGTGGGAAGGGGGACATGGAATATGAGGAAGCGTTTGACCATGTTTAATATGTTACCAAAATTGAGCACAGCTGAATGGAACTTACCTTCTGTACCTAATTTTCTATTTTTCTTTCTTGTTTTTTCCATCTAGAAAATGTTACTACGATTATGGATTTTCTTTTTTAAAAAATATTCTTTTCTGGCTGGGCACAGTGGCTCACGCTTGTAATCCCAGCACTTTGGGAGGCCAGGGTGGATGGATCACCTGAGGTCAGGAGTTCGAGACCAGCCTGGCCAACATGGTGAAACCCCGTCTCTAGTAAAAATACAAAATTAGCCAGGCATGGTGGCAGGCACCTGTAATCCCATCTACTCAGGAGGCTGAGGAAGGAGAATCACTTGAACCAGGGAGGGGAGGTTGCAGTGAGCTGAGATTGCACCATTGCACTCCAGCCTGGGTAACAGAGTGAGACTCCTGTGTCAAAAAAAAAAAAAAAAAAATCTTTTCTATAAAAATGACTTGTGGATTCAAAGAAATGAATATAAATGTATGGTCTTGCTCATGGAATAAACTGAGAGATGTGCATGGAACACGTAATTCAGACACAACAGGTTGTGCAACCTTGCCAAATAATTTCTCCTCACTTCATTGTTTGTGTCCCACTCTGTGGATTTTATGACCACACCTCAGGGGATTTTAAGTTTCTGAGCAAAGGGCTTGGCATGGAGAAAGAGGTTGTGTGGTGCATTCTAAAGCTAAACAGCCCTCCCTCTCCAACTTACCCTTGGCCTTGCTGTCAGCTCATTGCCAAGGACTCTGTCTCCTTGATTGCTTCATAACGATTTGTCGCTTCTTGAACATCAACATAGGTCAGATCATCTTCAGGAGGAACACTCTTTAAGATTACTCAAAGAGGAGACATAACAAATGGAGGTTTCATAGGTTAACCTTAAAATCCAACCCATCCAGGGCTTGGTGTGGTGGCTCATGCCTGTAATCCCAGCACTTTGAGAGGCCAAGGTGGGTGGATCACCTGATGTCAGTATTTTGAGACCAGCCTGGCTAACATGGTGAAACCCTGTCTCTACAAAAAATACAAAAATCACCCGGGCGTGGTGGCATGCGCCTGTAATCCCAGCTACTGAGGAGGCTGAGGCAGGAGAATTGCTTGAACCCGGAAGGCGGAGGTTGCAGTGAGCCGAGATCACACCATTGCACTCCAGCCTGGGCAACAAAAGCAAAACTCCATCTCAAAAAAAAAAAAAAAATCATCTGATTTTTTTATCTTTTGATCAAATTTCCCTGTTATTTATGGTAAAATGTTTTGTTTGCCTCATTGTAGTGATAACTCACTATCTTAGCTAAATCATAACATGCCTCTTATAGTTTTAGAAACTTCCTCCTTCCCTAGTTGCCTCCCACTCCTTACCTACCCCATAAAAGAAGTCAAGATGTGGGGATTGATGTATATAATATGCAGAAACTTTGGATGACTTGAGTAAAGCAGTGTTTTTGTTGAATTGCAGAAGCTGGGTCTTGGTGGATCATCAGTATAATATCTACCTCTATAGAGAGGGTGTGCTTCGGACTGCTTCAGAACCATATCATGTTGATAATTTCCAAGACAAAACCTGCCATTTGACCAATCACTGCATTCAAAAAGAGTATTCAAAGAACTACGGGAAGTATGAAGAAGGAAATGAAATGTTCTTCAAGGAGTTCAATCAGTACCTAACAAGTGCTTTGAACATTACCCTAGAAAGTAGTATCTTACTACAAATCAAACATATAATAAGGTAACTTAATTGTATCTTTTTGGATTACGTGTTTCTTCTTGAAGGAGCTTTGGCGTCTATGCCTTTCAAAGAATTGTTTCATATAAGTTGTCTAATTTATGGTCAAAAATTTTTTGTAATATTCCTTTATTTTCCTTTTAATGTCTGCAGGTTCTGTAATGATGTCTCCTCTTTCGTTTCTGATAATGGTTATATGTGTGTGTGTATGTGTGTGTGTGTGTGTATATATATATATATATTTATATATTTATTTATTTATTTATTTTTTTGAGACAGAGTTTTGCTCTTGTTGCCCAGGCTGGAGTGCAATGGTGCGATCTCGGCTCACCACAACCTCTACCTCCTGGGTTCAAGTGATTCTCCTGCCTCAGCCTCCCAAGTAGCTGGGATTACAGGCATGTGCCACCACGCTGGGCTAATTTTGTACTTTTAGTAGAGACAGGGTTTCTCCATGTTGGTCAGTCTGGTCTTGAACTCTTTTTTTTTTTTTTTTTTTTAATCAATAGTTTTCTTTATCATAGATTCAAAATTTTAAGCTTATTTTCCTTCCATTCTTTAGGCATTCAACACGTTGATGAAAAGTACAATGTCAGTCTACTTCTCATTCTTTTATCCGTAAACTTCTTTTTTTTTTTTTTTTTTTTATTATACTCTAAGTTTTAGGGTACATGTGCACATTGTGCAGGTTAGTTACATATGTATACATGTGCCATGCTGGTGCGCTGCACCCACTAATGTGTCATCTAGCATTAGGTATATCTCCCAATGCTATCCCTCCCCCCTCCCCCGACCCCACCACAGTCCCCAGAGTGTGATATTCCCCTTCCTGTGTCCATGTGATCTCATTGTTCAGTTCCCACCTATGAGTGAGAATATGCGGTGTTTGGTTTTTTGTTCTTGCGATAGTTTACTGAGAATGATGGTTTCCAATTTCATCCATGTCCCTACAAAGGATATGAACTCATCATTTTTTATGGCTGCATAGTATTCCATGGTGTATATATGCCACATTTTCTTAATCCAGTCTATCATTGTTGGACATTTGGGTTGGTTCCAAGTCTTTGCTATTGTGAATAGTGCCGCAATAAACATACGTGTGCATGTGTCTTTATAGCAGCATGATTTATACTCATTTGGGTATATACCCAGTAATGGGATGGCTGGGTCAAATGGTATTTCTAGTTCTAGATCCCTGAGGAATCGCCACACTGACTTCCACAATGGTTGAACTAGTTTACAGTCCCACCAACAGTGTAAAAGTGTTCCTATTTCTCCGCATCCTCTCCAGCACCTGTTGTTTCCTGACTTTTTAATGATTGCCATTCTAACTGGTGTGAGATGATATCTCATAGTGGTTTTGATTTGCATTTCTCTGATGGCCAGTGATGATGAGCATTTCTTCATGTGTTTTTTGGCTGCATAAATGTCTTCTTTTGAGAAGTCTCTGTTCATGTCCTTCGCCCACTTTTTGATGGGGTTGTTTGTTTTTTTCTTGTAAATTTGTTTGAGTTCATTGTAGATTCTGGATATTAGCCCTTTGTCAGATGAGTAGGTTGCGAAAATTTTCTCCCATGTTGTAGGTTGCCTGTTCACTCTGATGGTAGTTTCTTTTGCTGTGCAGAAGCTCTTTAGTTTAATGAGATCCCATTTGTCAATTTTGGCTTTTGTTGCCATTGCTTTTGGTGTTTTGGACATGAAGTCCTTGCCCACGCCTATGTCCTGAATGGTAATGCCTAGGTTTTCTTCTAGGGTTTTTATGGTTTTAGGTTTAACGTTTAAATCTTTAATCCATCTTGAATTGATTTTTGTATAAGGTGTAAGGAAGGGATCCAGTTTCAGCTTTCTACATATGGCTAGCCAGTTTTCCCAGCACCATTTATTAAATAGGGAATCCTTTCCCCATTGCTTGTTTTTCTCAGGTTTGTCAAAGATCAGATAGTTGTAGATATGCGGCATTATTTCTGAGGGCTCTGTTCTGTTCCATTGATCTATATCTCTGTTTTGGTACCAGTACCATGCTGTTTTGGTTACTGTAGCCTTGTAGTATAGTTTGAAGTCAGGTAGTGTGATGCCTCCAGCTTTGTTCTTTTGGCTTAGGATTGACTTGGCGATGCGGGCTCTTTTTTGGTTCCATATGAACTTTAAAGTAGTTTTTTCCAATTCTGTGAAGAAAGTCATTGGTAGCTTGATGGGGATGGCATTGAATCTGTAAATTACCTTGGGCAGTATGGCCATTTTCACGATATTGATTCTTCCTACCCATGAGCATGGAATGTTCTTCCATTTGTTTGTGTCCTCTTTTATTTCCTTGAGCAGTGGTTTGTAGTTCTCCTTGAAGAGGTCCTTCACATCCCTTATAAGTTGGATTCCTAGGTATTTTATTCTCTTTGAAGCAATTGTGAATGGGAGTTCACCCATGATTTGGCTCTCTGTTTGTCTGTTGTTGGTGTATAAGAATGCTTGTGATTTTTGTACATTGATTTTGTATCCTGAGACTTTGCTGAAGTTGCTTATCAGCTTAAGGAGATTTTGGGCTGAGACGATGGGGTTTTCTAGATAAACAATCATGTCGTCTGCAAACAGGGACAATTTGACTTCCTCTTTTCCTAATTGAATACCCTTTATTTCCTTCTCCTGCCTGATTGCCCTGGCCAGAACTTCCAATACTATGTTGAATAGGAGCGGTGAGAGAGGGCATCCCTGTCTTGTGCCAGTTTTCAAAGGGAATGCTTCCAGTTTTTGCCCATTCAGTATGATATTGGCTGTGGGTTTGTCATAGATAGCTCTTATTATTTTGAAATACGTCCCATCAATACCTAATTTATTGAGAGTTTTTAGCATGAAGGGTTGTTGAATTTTGTCAAAGGCTTTTTCTGCATCTATTGAGATAATCATGTGGTTTTTGTCTTTGGCTCTGTTTATATGCTGGATTACATTTATTGATTTGCGTATATTGAACCAGCCTTGCATCCCAGGGATGAAGCCCACTTGATCATGGTGGATAAGCTTTTTGATGTGCTGCTGGATTCGGTTTGCCAGTATTTTATTGAGGATTTTTGCATCAATGTTCATCAAGGATATTGGTCTAAAATTCTCTTTTTTGGTTGTGTCTCTGCCCGGCTTTGGTATCAGAATGATGCTGGCCTCATAAAATGAGTTAGGGAGGATTCCCTCTTTTTCTATTGATTGGAATAGTTTCAGAAGGAATGGTACCAGTTCCTCCTTGTACCTCTGGTAGAATTCGGCTGTGAATCCATCTGGTCCTGGACTCTTTTTGGTTGGTAAACTATTGATTATTGCCACAATTTCAGAGCCTGTTATTGGTCTATTCAGAGATTCAACTTCTTCCTGGTTTAGTCTTGGGAGAGTGTATGTGTCGAGGAATGTATCCATTTCTTCTAGATTTTCTAGTTTATTTGCGTAGAGGTGTTTGTAGTATTCTCTGATGGTAGTTTGTATTTCTGTGGGATCGGTGGTGATATCCCCTTTATCATTTTTTATTGTGTCTATTTGATTCTTCTCTCTTTTTTTCTTTATTAGTCTTGCTAGCGGTCTATCAATTTTGTTGATCCTTTGAAAAAACCAGCTCCTGGATTCATTGATTTTTTGAAGGGTTTTTTGTGTCTCTATTTCCTTCAGTTCTGCTCTGATTTTAGTTATTTCTTGCCTTCTGCTAGCTTTTGAATGTGTTTGCTCTTGCTTTTCTAGTTCTTTTAATTGTGATGTTAGGTGTCAATTTTGGATCTTTCCTGCTTTCTCTTGTAGGCATTTAGTGCTATAAATTTCCCTCTACACACTGCTTTGAATGCGTCCCAGAGATTCTGGTATGTGGTGTCTTTGTTCTCATTGGTTTCAAAGAACATCTTTATTTCTGCCTTCATTTCGTTATGTACCCAGTAGTCATTCAGGAGCAGGTTGTTCAGTTTCCATGTAGTTGAGTGGCTTTGAGTGAGATTCTTAATCCTGAGTTCTAGTTTGATTGCACTGTGGTCTGAGAGATAGTTTGTTATAATTTCTGTTCTTTTACATTTGCTGAGGAGAGCTTTACTTCCAACTATGTGGTCAATTTTGGAATAGGTGTGGTGTGGTGCTGAAAAAAATGTATATTCTGTTGATTTGGGGTGGAGAGTTCTGTAGATGTCTATTAGGTCTGCTTGGTGCAGAGCTGAGTTCAATTCCTGGGTATCCTTGTTGACTTTCTGTCTCGTTGATCTGTCTAATGTTGACAGTGGGGTGTTAAAGTCTCCCATTATTAATGTGTGGGAGTCTAAGTCTCTTTGTAGGTCACTGAGGACTTGCTTTATGAATCTGGGTGCTCCTGTATTGGGTGCATAAATATTTAGGATAGTTAGCTCCTCTTGTTGAATTGATCCCTTTACCATTATGTAATGGCCTTCTTTGTCTCTTTTGATCTTTGTTGATTTAAAGTCTGTTTTATCAGAGACTAGGATTGCAGCCCCTGCCTTTTTTTGTTTTCCATTGGCTTGGTAGATCTTCCTCCATCCTTTTATTTTGAGCCTATGTGTGTCTCTGCACGTGAGATGGGTTTCCTGAATACAGCACACTGATGGGTCTTGACTCTATCCAACTTGCCAGTCTGTGTCTTTTAATTGCAGAATTTAGTCCATTTATATTTAAAGTTAATATTGTTATGTGTGAATTTGATCCTGTCATTATGATGTTAGCTGGTGATTTTGCTCATTAGTTGATGCAGTTTCTTCCTAGTCTCGATGGTCTTTACATTTTGGCATGATTTTGCAGTGGCTGGTACCGGTTGTTCCTTTCCATGTTTAGCGCTTCCTTCAGGAGCTCTTTTAGGGCAGGCCTGGTGGTGACAAAATCTCTCAGCATTTGCTTGTCTATAAAGTATTTTATTTCTCCTTCACTTATGAAGCTTAGTTTGGCTGGATATGAAATTCTGGGTTGAAAATTCTTTTCTTTAAGAATGTTGAATATTGGCCCCCACTCTCTTCTGGCTTGTAGGGTTTCTGCCGAGAGATCCGCTGTTAGTCTGATGGGCTTTCCTTTGAGGGTAACCTGACCTTTCTCTCTGGCTGCCCTTAACATTTTTTCCTTCATTTCAACTTTGGTGAATCTGACAATTATGTGTCTTGGAGTTGCTCTTCTCGAGGAGTATCTTTGTGGCGTTCTCTGTATTTCCTGAATCTGAACGTTGGCCTGCCTTGCTAGATTGGGGAAGTTCTCCTGGATAATATCCTGCAGAGTGTTTTCCAACTTGGTTCCATTCTCCACATCACTTTCAGGTACACCAATCAGACGTAGATTTGGTCTTTTCACATAGTCCCATATTTCTTGGAGGCTTTGCTCATTTCTTTTTATTCTTTTTTCTCTAAACTTCCCTTCTCGCTTCATTTCATTCATTTCATCTTCCATTGCTGATACCCTTTCTTCCAGTTGATCGCATCGGCTCCTGAGGCTTCTGCATTCTTCACGTAGTTCTCGAGCCTTGGTTTTCAGCTCCATCAGCTCCTTTAAGCACTTCTCTGTATTGGTTATTCTAGTTATACATTCTTCTAAATTTTTTTCAAAGTTTTGAACTTCTTTGCCTTTGGTTTGAATGTCCTCCCGTAGCTCAGAGTAATTTGATCGTCTGAAGCCTTCTTCTCTCAGCTCGTCAAAATCATTCTCCATCCAGCTTTGTTCTGTTGCTGGTGAGGAACTGCGTTCCTTTGGAGGAGGAGAGGCGCTCTGCGTTTTAGAGTTTCCAGTTTTTCTGTTCTGTTTTTTCCCCATCTTTGTGGTTTTATCTACTTTTGGTCTTTGATGATGGTGATGTACAGATGGGTTTTCGGTGTAGATGTCCTTTCTGGTTGTTAGTTTTCCTTCTAACAGACAGGACCCTCAGCTGCAGGTCTGTTGGAATACCCTGCTGTGTGAGGTGTCAGTGTGCCCCTGCTTGGGGGTGCCTCCCAGTTAGGCTGCTCGGGGGTCAGGGGTCAGGGACTCACTTGAGGAGGCAGTCTGCCCGTTCTCAGATCTCCAGCTGCGTGCTGGGAGAACCACTGCTCTCTTCAAAGCTGTCAGACAGGGACACTTAAGTCTGCAGAGGTTACTGCTGTCTTTTTGTTTGTCTGTGCCCTGCCCCCAGAGGTGGAGCCTACAGAGGCAGGCAGGCCTCCTTGAGCTGTGGTGGGCTCCACCCAGTTCGAGCTTCCTGGCTGCTTTGTTTACCTAATCAAGCCTGGGCAATGGCCGGCGCCCCTCCCCCAGCCTCGTTGCTGCCTTGTAGTTTGATCTCAGACTGCTGTGCTAGCAATCAGCGAGACTCCGTGGGCGTAGGACCCTCTGAGCCAGGTGTGGGATATAATCTCATGGTGCGCCGTTTCTTAAGCCGGTCTGAAAAGCGCAATATTCGGGTGGGAGTGACCCGATTTTCCAGGTGCGTCTGTCACCCCTTTCTTTGACTCGGAAAGGGAACTCCCTGACCCCTTGCGCTTCCCAGGTGAGGCAATGCCTCGCCCTGCTTCGGCTCGCGCACGGTGCGCACACACACTGGCCTGCGCCCACTGTCTGGCACTCCCTAGTGAGATGAACCCGGTAAGGTACCTCAGATGGAAATGCAGAAATCACCCGTCTTCTGCGTCGCTCACGCTGGGAGCTGTAGACCGGAGCTGTTCCTATTCGGCCATCTTGGCTCCTCCTCCTGGTCTTGAACTCTTGACTTCAGGTGATCTACCCCCCTCGGCCTCCCAAAGTGCTGGGATTACAGGCGTAAGCCACCATGCCTGGCTAATTTATATTTTCCCTCTATTTTGCTTGGACAGATTGACTAAACATTTATCAATTTTATCAGTCTTTTCAAAAAATTAGCTTTTGGTTTTATTGGTTTTCTCTGTTGTTTTTCTTTTCAGCTTCTTTGATTTATGCACTTTATCATTCTCTTCCTTTTGCTTTTTGGAGGATATAATTTACTCTTTTTCTAGTTGTGCTTTTTGTTTGTTTTTTAAGAGATGGTGTCTCATTTTATTGCCTAGGCTGGAGTACAAGTGTGATCATAGCTCACTGCTGCTTCAAACTTTTAGGCTCAAGGGATCTTCCTGTCTCAGCCTCCCAAGTAGCTGGGACTACAGGTATACACCACTGTGCCTGGCTAATTTTTTTATTTTTTGTAGAATTGGGTCTCACTGTCTTGCCCAGGCTGGTTTCAAGCTCCTGGGCTCAAGCAGCCCTCCCATCTTGATCTCCCAGAGTGCTGGGATTATAGGTGTGAGCCACCATGCCCAGCCTATTCCAGTTTTTAAGGTGAAAGTTTAAATAATTGATTTGAGATATTTCTTTTTTTTTTTGAGATAGAATTTTGTTCTTATTGCCCAGGCTGGAGTGCAATGGCACGATCTCGGCTCACTGCAACCTCCATCTCCTGGGTTCAAGCGATTCTCCTGCCTCAGCCTCCCGTGTAGCTGGGATTACAGGCATGTGCCACCATGCCTGGCTAATTTTGTATTTTTAGGAGACACGGGGTTTCTCCATGTTGGTCAGGATGGTTGAGATATTTCTTTTTTAAAAAAATAAAAGCATGTCTCAGTTTCCCTTTATCAGTTTCCCTCTAAATATTGCATTAGCAGAATCCCACAGATTTTGCTGTTTTCATTTCCATTTTATTAAAATATTTTCTAATTTCCCTTATAATTTTATCTTTGATTCATGTGATTTAGAAATTTTTGTTTAATATCCAGATATTAGGTCAGGAAGAGACTTTGTCTGGTTTCATCTTTAAAAGTTGCTAAGGTTTGTTCCATAGCCCAGAAGGTCTTTTAATGTTCTATGTGCACTAACAGAATGTGTACTTGGCTATAATTGGGCAGAGTGTTGTTTTTTATTTTTATGTTTTTTGAGACAAGGTCTTACTTTGTTTCCCAGGCTGGAATGCAGTGGCACAAACATGGTTTGCTGCAGCCTTAACCTCCTGGGCTCAAGCGTAAGTAGCCTAGGTAGCTGGGACTACAGGTGCATGCCACCAAACCCACCTGATTTTTGTATTTTTTTTGTAGAGACAGGGTTTTGCCCTGTTGCCCAAGCTGGTCTCGAACTCTTGGGCTCAAGCAATTCTCCCATCTTGGCCTCTCAAAGTGCTGGGATTACAGACATGAGCCACTGCACCTGGCCTTATTCTGCTTGTTCTATTTATTACTCTTGATCTTAGCCAAAAGGCCGAGAAGCGATGTTTGTTCTATTTATTATTGAAAAGAGAGGCACTGAAGTCTACAAGTATAATTATGGATTTGTATATGTCTCCTTTCAATTTTATCTGTTTTTGCTTCATGTCTTTTGATGATCTGTTATTAGATGCATATATATTTAGGATTGTTATCTCTTCTTTGGGAATTGACTCTTTTATCATTATGTAGTTTTCTTTTCTTTTTTTTTCTTTCTCTTTTTTTTGAGATGGTCTGACTCTGTTGCCCAGGCTGGAGTTCAGGGGCATGATCTTGGCAAACTGCAACCTCTGCCTCCCAGGCTCAAGCCATCCTCCCACCTCAGCCTCCTGAGCAGCTGGGACTACAGGCACATGCTATCATGCCCGGCTAATTTTTGTATTTTTTTTTTTTGTAGAGACAGGGTTTCACCATGTTGCCCAGGCTGGTCTTGAACTCCTGGGCTCAAGCAATCTACACACTTCAGCCTCCCAGAGTGCTAGGATTACAGGCGTGAGCCACCATGCCCAGCCAGTATTTCTTATTTATTTATCTAATTTTTATATAACCAATCTAGCTTTCTTTTGATTAATGTTTCCATGGTATGTCTCCATGTTTGGAGTATGTTTCCATCCTTTTATTTTCATTCTATTCTATTCTATTCTATACTGTCCCTAGGTATTATATTCTATATTTAAAGTAGTTTTCTGGTAGACAGCATATAGTTGGGTTTTGTATTTGTATTTATTGTTATTATTATTATTATTATTTGAGACAGAGTTTCACTCTTGCTGCCCGGACTAGAGTGCAGTGGCGCGATCATGGCTGACTGCAACCTCTGCCTCCCGGGTTCAAGTGATTCTCCTGCCTCAGCCTCCTGAGTAGCTGGGATTACAGGCATGTGCCACCACGCTCAGCTAATTTTGTATTTTTTTTTTTTTTTGAGACAGTGTCTCACTCTGTCGCTCAGGCTGGAGTGCAGTGGCGTGATCTCGGCTCACTGCAAGCTCCGCCTTGCAGGTTCACGCCATTCTCCTGCCTCAGCCTCCCGAATAGCTGGGACTACAGGCGCCCGCCACCATGCCCGGCTAATTTTTTGCATTTTTAGTAGAGACAGGGTTTCACCGTGTTAGCCAGGATGGTCTCGATCTCCTGACCTCGTGATCCGTCCACCTCGGCCTCCCAAAGTGCTGGGATTTCGGGCATGAGCCACCACGCCTGGCCTAGTTTTGTATTTTTAGTAGAGATGAGGTTTCTCCATGTTGGTCAGGCTGGTCTGGAATTTCCGACTTCAGGTGATCCACCCGCCTCAGCCTCCCAAAGTGCTGGGATTACAGGCGTGAGCCATCTCGCCCGGCCCTGTATTTTAATTTTAATCCAATATGATAATCATTGTCATTTAATTGGTGTGTTTATACCACTTAAATGTAATGTAATTATTGTATTGGACTCACATCTGCCATCTTATTATTTGTTGTCTGTCCCCTCCTTTATTGTAGTTTTCGTTTTTGTTTTTTTGTGTCTCTTTTTCCCATCTTCTTTTTAATTATGTGAAATATTTTTAGAGTTTTATTTTAATTTTCCTGTTGAGTATTTGGCGCTATGTCTTCTTTTATTTTTTTTTAGTGCTTTTTTTTTTAGTGCTTGCTCTAGGAATTACAGTATACATATCAATTATTTCACAGCCTTCTTAGAGTTAATAGTTTACCACTTCAAATAAAATGCAAAAACCTTATAACATAGTTCACTAACTCTTGCCCTCTGTTATAGTTATCATAAGTATATATCTACACATTGAAATCTCTACCACATAATGTTATTATTTTTGCTATCAACAGTTTTATATATATATTTGCACAGGTATGATAGATTATCAGGTTGGATTATTTTTAAACTATAAAACCAAACTCTATACTGTCTATAAGAAATCCACTTTATAAAAGGAGAAAAATATTCTTTTATATTTACCCAGATACTACTTTTGTTTTTCCTTCAGTTGCGAAGTTCTGAGATTCTCTCTGGTATCATTTCCCTTCAGACTTAAGCATTTCTTTTAGAGTTTTTATATTTACCCATATACTTCCTTAAGTTTTAAAGTTCTGACTCTCTCTCTTATGCATTTTTTTAGAACAGTTTTGCTGCTGATAAATCCTCTTAGTTTTCTGTCATCTGAGAATGTGTTTATTTCACCATCTTCCTGAAGGGTATTTTCACTGGATTTATACAAATATACATATAAATATTTATACAAGTATAAATATTTATACAAGTATAAGTATAAATATTTATACAAGTATGAATATTTATACAAGTATAAATATAAATATACAAATAATATTAAGCAAAAAAATGCAAAAATACAAGCTATATAGAAGATGCATACAAATTTATTTCACTTACATAAGTTAAACAAGTAAAATTAAATAATGTTTTATTTAGCTGAATACACATGTATGGTAAAAATGTAAAGCAAAATGAAGAAGTGATAAACATACAATTCAAAATAGTGGTTATTCATATCCCTAGAAGGAAGGCAGAAGGGACACAGGGAAGAGGCTTAAAGATAGTGGATGGTGGGTACATGGGGAATAATTAATATTACATATATTTTAAACTCACAAGACAGCATTCCTATGATTATAGATAGTTAATATTCATTTAGAGTTCCCCACATTTTGACCATTTATGTTGTTTCTCTTCCTTTCCTGCATTTCCTTGCTTTTATCTAGGATTATTTTCCTTATTGTTAAGAAACTCATTTTTAGGCCAGGCGCGGCACCTCACACCTGTAATCCCAATACTTTGGGAGGCCGAGGTGGGCCGATCACTTGAGGTCAGGAGTTCAAGACCAGCCTGATACATGCTGAAACCCCATCTCTACCAAAATATGCAAAATTAGCTGGGCATGGTGGTGCACACCTGTGGTCGCAGCTACTCGGGAGGCTGAGGTGGGAGAATAGCTTGAACCTGGGGGGTGGAAGTTGCAGTGAGCCAAAATTGTGCTGCTGCACTCCAGCCTGGGTGACAGAGCAAGACTCTGTTTCAAAAAAAAAAAAACTAATTTTTAGTAGTTTTTAAGTAAAGTCTGCTGTGATAAATTAGTTATTATTTGTCTGAAAATATATTTTGTCTTTTTGTTTTTAAGGACATTTGCTCTGGACATAGATTTCTAGATAAGCAGTTAATTTCTTTTCCTACTCTGAAGGTTGCATACCATTGTATTCTGGCTTCCATCTTTTCTGCTGAGAAGTCAGGTGAAATCTTAGTATTGCTCTTAATGTATCTCTTCTCTATTTTTGAGATTCCTTTACATTGGTTTTTATAAATTTTACTATGAGATGTGTGTAGTTTTCTTTGTACATATTCCTGCATTTGGGTTCATAGTGCTTCTTGCACCGTGGCTTGATATCTTTTACCAGTTTTGGAATATTCATGGACATTATACTTTCAGTTGTGTCTTTTGATCCATTCTCCTCTTCTTCTAGGTCTCTAATTACATGATTGTTAATGCTTTTCACTGTTTCTCACACTTTTATGGCATTTTTGTATCATTTTATCTCCCCATGGTTGTACTCATTCTTTTCGTCTGACATCTTTGTTTGCTAATCCTTTCTTTATCTATTAAAACCTGTTAACAATTTTTACAAGGTAAAAGCTTTTAAAAGCTGCTGTTAAACTCACCTATTGAGTTCTTGATTTTAGTTAGCGTGCTTTTTAGTTCTGAAATTTATATTTGTTTCTTTTTTTCATATTATAGTTGTCTTATGAAATTCTCCCACTTGCCTCATATTTTCTTGAAGATAATGGCAATTCTTTAACATCCTTATCTGATAACTCCAAAATCTAGATTACCCATGGCAGAGTAATCCAGAGTATGCCCTGTGTATGGGCTGCATATGGCCTGTAGCTTGTTTTTGTAAGGTCTGTGGGCAAAGAATGTTTTTTATATATTAAAGATTGTAAAAATGAGAATATGCAACAGAGGTGGTACATATCCTGTAAAACCTAATATATTTACTGTCTGGCCCTTTATAGAAAAAGTTTGTCAGCTCCTGACTTTTAGGTCTGTTTCTATTGTCTCTTTTTTCTCTTGGTCTTATTTCTAAATATGCCTGGAAGTAGTATTTTAGCATTAGTGTTCACTTACTACAGTTTACTAAGTCTAGTAAAGATTTTTTAAATGAGGTGTAACATCCACAAAGTGTACAGTCTGGTGAGTTTTCAGTTATGCATGTACTCACCTAGCTGTGATATACATAAAAATATAAAACATTTACAGCATCCCAGAAGACTCCTTTGAACTCCCTCAAAACATGTATTCCCTGCCAGGCCAGGTGCGACGGCTCACGCCTGTAATCCCAGCACTTTGGGAGGCCGAGGCAGGCAGATCACGAGGTCAGGAGATTGAGATCATCCTGGCTAACACGGTGAAACCTCGTCTCTACTAAGAAATACAAAAATTAGCCAGGCGTGGTGGTGGGCACCTGTAGTCCCAGTTACTCAGGAGGCTGAGGAAGGAGATTCGCTTGAACCCCGGAGGTGGAGCTTGCAGTGACCCAAGATCACACCACTGCACTCCAGCCTGGGCGACACAGCGAGACTCCATCTCAGAATAAATAAATAAATAAATAAATAAATAAATAAATAAATAAATAAATAAATGCCCTGCCAAAGACAGCCACTTTTCTGACTTTTATCACCTTAGATTCATTTTGCTTGTTCTTAAACTTTATGTAAATGGAATTATACCATATTTCCTGTTTTATGTTCAGCTTTTCCCAGTGTTACATCTGTGGCATTCATCCATGTTATTGCACATAACAGTAGTTTATCCTTTTTATTACTGTGTAATATTCCATTGTATAAGTATTTCAGTTTATTCCTTCTGTAGTTGGTAGACATCTGGGTTTTATCTCTTATATTTTAGAACTATAATCTATCTGAAGTTGTTATATATCAAGTTTCATGTCTTTCCACAAGGATATCCCATTGACCCAGGGCCACTTGTCCTTTCCCCGCTGCATTGTGGTGTGTCTTTGTTACAAATCAGGTGGCTGGCTGGGCACAGTGGCTCACACCTGTAATCCTAGCACTTTGGGAGACCAAGGTGGGTGGATCACAAGGTCAGGAGTTCAAGACCAGCCTGGCCAATATGGTGAAACCCTGTCTCTACTAAAAATACAAAAATTAGCCAGGCATGGTGGCATATGCCTGTAATCCCAGCTACTTGGGAGGCTGAGGCAGGAGAATTGCTTGAACCCGGGAGGTGGAGGTTGCAGTGAGCCAAGATCGCATCACTGCACTCCAGCCTGAGCAACAGAGCAAGATTCCATCTCAGAAATCAATCAATCAATCAGGTGGCCATTTATGTGAGCGTCTGTTCTAGGATCTCCATTCTGTCCCATTGTTCTACCATCCACCATGTCAATGCTACCCTGTCACAATGACTGAGACTTTTTCCTTACTGTATTCTCACGTAGAGCCCAGTAGAATAATTACAGGGCTTGGAGTCCCATTTCTTCAGGGAATATAGGTGGTTGGAATTCTGACACCAGATAAATCAAATATGCTGGAAAAAGAATTCCTATTTTAGGCAAAAGCTTTATTGGAAGTTTGCGGCATCCTTTCCGCATTGTTCATTGCTGTTCAGAGTGTTGCTGCTGTGGTGCTATAAATGCTCCCAGCAGCTCTCAGGTTTTCTTTCCTTCCAGCTAGCCTCCCCCTAACTTCCCACTCCAGCCAAAAAAAGATGCACTGTATAAGTCTCTGATGAGGGATAAAAATCCTTTAAAGTGTATTATTAATCTTGAGCTTTCAGCAAAAAAAAAAAAAAAAAAAAAAATTAGTTTTGATTTGCTTCTGATTCTCAGGTTTTTCTTTATGTTGGAATGTAATACTTCTTTCAATTTTATTTTATCTTATTTTTTTGAGACAGAGTCTTGGTCTGTCACCCAGGCTGAAGTGCAGTGGCGCAATCTCATCTCATTTCAACCTCTGCCTCCCGGGTTTGAGCGATTCTCCTGCCTTAGCCTCCCGACTAGCTGGGATTACAGGCATGTGCCACCACTCAGTGCTAATTTTTTGTATGTTTAGTAGAGATGAGGTTTCACCATGTTGGCTAGGCTGGTTTTGAACTCCTGACCTCAAGTGATCTGCCTCCCTCAGCCTCCCAAAGTGCTGGGATTACGGGCATGAGCCACTGTGTCCAGCCCCCATTTTATATTTTAGTATTTTTTTCTCTCTCTCTTTTTTACCATAAGCATCTGTTAAACTTTTAAATCTTCCTTAATTATAATATTTTAAAGAATATTCTAATTAAAACAGGCTAAGTACGGTGGCTCATGCCTCTAATCCCAGCACTTTGGGAGGCTGAGGCAGGCAGATCACTTCAGCCCAGGAGTTCAAGACCAGCCTGGGCAACATGACAAACCTCTGTCTCCAAAAGTTACAAAAAAAATTAGCAGGGTGTGGTGGTGCATGCTTGTAGTCCCAGCTACTTCGGAAGCCTGAATTGGGAGGATCGCTTGAGCTCGGGGAGGTCAAGGCTGACTGCAGTGAGCCATGATTGGGCCCCTGCACTCCAGCCTGGGCGACAGAGTGAGACCCTGTCTCCTGCTTTTTTTTTGGAGATAGGGTCTCGCTCTGTTTCCCAGGCTGGAGTGCAGTGACATGATCTCGGCTCACTGCAGCCTTGGCTCATGCAACCTCTGCCTCCCACGTTCAAGCGATTCTCCTGCCTCAGCCTCCTGAGTTGCTGGGTTGCTGGGATTACAGGCATGCGCCACCACAGCCAACTAATTTTTTTTTTTTTTTTTTTTAAGTAGAGAGCCAGGGTTTCACCATGTTGGTCTGGCTGGTCTCAAACTCCTGACCTCAAGTGATCCATCTGCCTTGGCCTCCCAATATGCTGGGATTACAGGTGTGAGCCACCTCGCCCAGCCAAGAGTATTTTAATTAAAGCAAAAGTTAAGGATATTCTTGTGTAGAACAGGGATTTTTTTTTTTTAATGTGATGTGTGCTTGTCAATTCAGGTTGAATATGAATGGGAGAAGAAATTTTTATTATAATTAGTTTTTAAATGACTCATCTTAAAAGAACCATTTAAGCCAAAATAGTTTTTAAAGGTTTAAATGTATCAATTAAAATATTTTTCTTTTTAGGAAAAAAGAAAAGGAGATTGAAGTTTGTGGAGGGCCGAGGGCGGAGGATTGACCCTGGCTCCAAGTTCACAAAGGCCTCAGTTCTTTATTAAAGTCATGAGTCAAAACCTGCATCTAGAGCTACGTCTTAGAGTTAGTCACATGGACGACAGTTCCCTGTATCTTTTTCTTTTTCTTTTCTTTTTTTTTTTTTTGAGACAGAATTTTGCTCTTTCACCCAGGCTGGAGTGAAGTGGCACAGTCTTAGCTCACTGCAACCTCTGCCCCCTGTGTTCAAGCGATTCTCCTGCCTCAGCGTCTGGAGTAGCTGGGATTATAGGCACCTGCCACTATGCCTGGCTAATTTTTGTAATTTTAGTAGAGATGGGGTTTTGCCATGTTGGTCAGGCTGCTCTCGAACTCCTGACCTGAGGTTACCCACCCGCCTCGGCCTCCCAAAGTGGTAGGATTATAGGCGTGAGCCACCGCGCCCGGCTGGCCCCTGTATCTTTTTCCTTCCAAATACACAGCTGTGTAGAAGGACAGTTATCTCTGGTACACCAGAGTCATTGTAGCACATTTTATTTACTGAGAGAAATATTTTGCCCCAGCATTCAGTTGGGTGAAAAATCAGGGAAGATCTTTATAAAACAGAAATGGCATAGGTTTTCTGGGATAGTTGTAGATAAGAGGTATTTATTCTTCCTAAATAATAGATATATGGTTATCATAAGGAAATATGATGAAAAATTGTTCATAACAGTAACATTTATTAAAATGCTTCCTAGGTGCCAGGAGTTATGACAAGTTCCTTATGTAATTATCTCACTGAACAATCACTTGTTCAAGATTTTGGTCTGACCTGAGACCTCATGTACTTGTTCATTGTATTTCCAAAATACACTTTCAACTTTTTTATTGTGTCACTAAAATCCTGCCATTTTTCCATTCATTGTTGCTAATAATACTTCTACATTTCAACATTTAGTTTCAACATGTATAGCTCTTAAATCTTGTAATTAGCAATAATTTGCCATTGGAACTAGAACTAGCGACATCGTGAGGTCAACATGTTTTTTTTTTTTTTTTTTTTTGCAAATCCTGCCCTTCACCAAAGGGCAGTCCATTCTTTACATGGCAAAAATACATGGAAATGTTTTACGTGTTATAAACAAACATGGCAGCAGCCCAGCTGTTGGAAGAATCTTCATTTACAGAGGCCACAATGACTCGGCACTCTACTGCTTCTTGAGACATGGGAAAGTGGCTTTTGCCTGGAAGAACACGAGTGGTTGCAGTTTTCTAACAAATGCTTGATAAGTAACATTCTCTTGAGTAACCTAATGGTAATAAGTTGAAAAGAGAGAATTAGGCCGGGCACGATGGCTCGCACCTGTAATCCCAGCACTTTGGGAGGCCGAGGTGGGCGGATCACCTGAGGTCGGGAGTTCGAGACCAGCCTGACCAACATGGAGAAACCCTGTTTCTACTGAAAATACAAAATTAGCTGGGTGCGGTGGCGCATGCCTGTAATCCCAGCTGCTCGGGAGGCTGAAGCAGGAGAATCTCTTGAACCCAGGAGGCGGAGGTTGCCATGAGCCAAGATCATGCCATTGCACTCCAGCCTGGGCAACAAGAGCAAAACTCCGTCTCAAAAAAAAAAAAAAAAAAAAGGAAACAGAGAATTAAAGCTGATAAGCTGATATTTGTATTCATCTCATATAAAATCTTTCAAGCACACCTCATGTCTTCCTTCTCCTTTGACCACCCCGTTCTAATGAGCATTTCCCCTCCTGCCTCATAGGAACTGCCTCCTGAGCGTGGAGCCTGCCATTAGCACCAAGCACCTCCCTTACCAGAGCTTCCAGCTCTTCGGCTTTGACTTCATGGTCGATGAGGAGCTGAAGGTGTGGCTCATTGAGGTCAACGGTGCCCCTGCATGTGCTCAGTAAGCCTGCACGTCATTGTGTTTTTACAAGTGGGAAGTTGGTTCTGCAGTTGGGATAGTCTGTGGGTACAAGTGTAGTCACTTTGACTGCTGTGAGGGAGGATGCCACAGTGATAGGAGACCCTTGGGAGGACTCTATCTGGCAGGGGGCTTTGCTGAGTCACTTCCTTTCCTATTTCCCCGTGTATAGGCCAGATAGGCCCAGTGTGGTAGCTCATGCTTGTAATCCCAGCACTTTGGGAGGCCAAGACAGGTAGACTGTCAGGTAGACTGTCTGAGCCCAGGAGTTCAAGACCAGCCTGGGCAGCCTGGCAAAACCCCATCTCTACAAAAAATACAGAAATTAGTCAGGCATGGTGCTGTGTGCCTATAGTCCCAGCTGCTCGGGAGGCTGAGGTGGGAGGATCACTTGAGCCTGGGAGGTTGAGGCTGCAGTGAGCCATGACTGCACCACTGCATTGCAGCCTGGGCGACAGAGAGACCCTGTCTCAAAAGTAAAAAATGTAAGCAGCTAGCCTGTGCTCAGGTGGGTGGGAGATGCCATGAGAGTGTTAAAGTTCATTACTGCCAGAGAGACCCGTATGACAAGCTGAGTAAGCAGGATCCTATGATGTGGCGACCCAGAAGTTCAGAGCCTCCTGAGGCAGGAAGGAGTCAGAGAAGGCATCTTAGACATGGGGGGTCTGGAGCTGGGGTGCAAGAAAAGAGGGTTCCGCTGCACCAAAGGTTGGTGGGGAGAGTCTTCCAAAAGAGGTGCAGCGTCCTGTGGGCTCTCACCCTGTCCCGGGCTCTGCAGGTCTGGGAGATGCCCAGAGGAACAGAAGCTCCTGAGAACCTGCTCTCCGGAACTTCTGCTTCTCTCGGGAGAAGGCTGGTTGTAGCATGAGCGTCATGGAGTCATTAAGGAGGAAGGAAGGTAAGAGAGGACCTTCTGTGGAAGGCCTTACGTGTCAGGGAAAGTCACTCGGACTCAATTCTCTTGTGCTGAGGGTTCTTCTGAAGATCCTCTTTCATGATGTCAAGACCCTTTCGTGGTTCCCATCTACATCTTGAAGAAATTGAGTGATTTTTCAAAATGTTTAAGAGAAAGTCCCGTACCTGCAAGGGACGATGTCAACACACCAAAGTTGTTCTTTACTTAGAAGCTAGGCCTTTGCCATTGCCTGATGGTTACGACAGGCATGATTGCATGATTCCATCTTGTTCATCAGTCTCTGCAGCCGATAAGTGCTTATCAGGTGCTGCCTACCTGGCCAGGCTCTGTATGAGGCCATGGGTTCACAGTGGGGAGCAAAGAGAGACACAGGCCCTACCTTTCGTGGGGAGAGACTGTGAGCAGACAGATACCAGGCAGATGTCAATTACAAGCGAGGACAAGTGCTTCAATGGAGAACAAAGGATGTTGAAAGGTAACGTAACTGAGCCAAGGGCCCACGATGGGAAGTGATGTTGGAACTGAGATCTGAAGGCCAAACGCAAGTTAGATGGGCTAAGGGCGGAATAAGGCAGGGATCCGCACCTTCCCTCACCAAATCAACAGTGGTGTGCCCAGTCTCACCCACTGTCCTTTCCTATCAGGGGTTTGTCCCTCCATGGTGCTCTAGACCTTTCCCTCCTCCCGCTCCTGTCTTCTCATCTGGCAGTTAACATTGTCACCTTTTTCCCTCTCTGATGCATAATTCTTGTCAGCATATGCAGTCCCAGCAGATTTTCCCAACTATTCAAAAAGATGTCCTCCCCTGATGCCACATCCTGTTCCAATGATCACGCCTTCTCCAGTTCCCTTCACAGCCAAGCTTCTGGAGAGCAGCTTCTGCACAAGCTGTCTTCTATTCCTCTGTTCCCATCCATGTTCCAGTCCATTCCAGGCTGGCTCCCATCCTGATTGCCTCACAGAAACTGTTCTTTGCAGGTCCCCAGCCAAGTCCTTATTGCCACCTCCAGCAGCCTCTTTCTGTCCCCACCCCCTTGGACCTGTCAGCAGCATTCGAGGCAACCGACAGCACTTGCTGAGCTGCTCTCCTGTCATGGCTGGACACGTGGTGCTGGGCAGGCTTGCCTGGTGAGGTGTGGGCAAGCTGGACTCCGTCTTCTTCATCCAGTGCCTCTGGTCTTAGGCCTGGGTGTTTGTCTCCTCTCTGTGTATGTGATCTCATCCAACTTCATGATTTTGAAATTACCAAATTACATCACAGCCCAGAGATGCAGACTAGTATCTGCACCTGCCTTCCCTGCCAGAATGTCTCCCGTCTGCCTCCAGACTTACCCATCTTGGTCGGTCACCACCCCCTGCTCCCCCCAGAGACTAAGCTCGAACCTGACAGTGATCCTGCCTCTGCCTTCCCTTCCCCTCAAGTCCTGCCCATCAGGGCCCTGTGGGTTGTACCTCTAGCCTCCGGAGTCCTTTGCCCTCCATTTGCACTGTCACCCCTGCACAGGGTGTCTTCCACCATAGTGAAGGTTTTGGCATGGAGCCTTCTAACTGGGGTGCACTTCTGCTCTTGCCCCAGTGAAATCCATCCTCCCAGAGCAGCCAGTGTGTAAAGTCGACACCAGACCATGCCATTCTCCAGACTTGCCATTGCACCTAGGACACAAACCAGACTCCTCCCTCCACCTCCAAGGCCGCTGCCTTACCCACCTCTCCAGCTTCATCCCAAGTCACCATTTCCCTTGATTGCTCTTATCTGCAGTGGGCCTTTGTGCTTTCTGTTACCTGTGTGTGGAATCCCCACCACCATTACCACCACCACCACCAGCCTTACCGTGGCTGGCTTCTTCTTTACCAAAACATCTTGAGGAAGCTTTCTCTGAACAGTCCTAGCTCTGATTTTCTCTAGGCAGAGCCTTTGCAGTTTCCTTCATTGCACTAACTGCCATCAGATTAACTCATCAGAAGAAACTGTCTGTGGGTGTGTGTGTGTCTGTGTGTGTGTGTGTGTGTGTGTATCCGCCCCTTCTTCTTTATTTCTACCCTGTCATCCATTCTCTGTCTGCCTTCTATTCATTGGGTCTTGGCTTAGCTGCCACTGGAAAGTCTTCCCCTGTCACTGGGGAGTCTTCCTCTGTCACTGGGGAGTCTTCCTCTGTCACTGGGGAGTCTTCCCGTGTCACTGGGGAGTCTTCTCCAGTGTCCCTTCAATTATGCTGAGTTGGTCCTTTTCCTGGGTAGGGCCTGCCCCTGTCTGTAATGCAAGGTGGCTCTTACATGCTCTTGAAATGCCTGCCTTCCCTGCCAGTTGTGTGCCTTGTTCACCTGCAAGGCCTTCCATAAGTATTTGCTGAGGGAATGCTTTATCTTCGTGCAAAGGCTTCTGAAGCATCTGTATATACAGTGGCAACCAGTTTTTTTTTTTCTTTATTTTTTTGACATTTTGTTATTATTATACTTTAAGTTCTAGGGTACATGTGCACAATGTGTAGGTTTGTTACATATGTATACATGTGCCATGTTGGTGTGCTGTACCCATTAACTCATCATTTACATTAGGTATAACTCCTAATGTTATCCTTCCCCCATCCCCCAACCCCACAACAGGCCCTGGTGTGTGATGTTCCCCATCCTACGTCCAAGTGGTCTCATTGTTCAGTTCCCACCTATGAGTGAGAACATGCAGTGTTTTGTTTTCTATCCCTGTGATAGTTTGCTCAGAATGATGGTTTCCAGCTTCATCCATGTCCCTACAAAGGACATGAACTCGTCCTTTCTTATGGCTGCATAGTATTCCATGGTATATATGTGCCACATTTTCTTAATCCAGTCTATCATTGATGGACATTTGGGTTGGTTCCAAGTCTTTGCTATTGTGAATAGTGCTACAATAAACATACATGTGCATGTGTCTTTATAGCAGCATGATTTATAATCCTTTGGGTATATACCCAGTAATGGGATGGCTGGGTCAAATGGTATTTCTAGTTCTAGATCGTTGAGGAATCGCCACACTGTCTTCTGCAATGGTTGAACTAGTTTACAGCCCCACCAACAGTGTAAAAGTGTTCCTATTTCTCCACATCCTCTCCAGCACCTGTTGCTTCCTGACTTTTTAATGATCACCATTCTAACTGGTGTGAGATGGTATCTCATTGTGGTTTTGATTTGCATTTCTCTGATGGCCAGTGATGAGCATTTTTTCATGTGTCTTTTGGCTGCATAAATGTCTTCTTTTGAGAAGCGTCTGTTCATATCCTTTGCCCACTTTTTGATGGGGTTGTTTGATTTTTTCTTGTAAATTTGTTTAAGTTCTTTGTAGATTCTGGATATCAGCCCTTTGTCAGATGGGTAGATTGTAAAAATTTTCTCCCATTCTGTAGGTTGCCTGTTTGCTGATGGTAGTTTCTTTTGCTGTGCAGAAGCTCTTTAGTTTAATTAGATCCCATTTGTCAATTTTTGCTTTTGTTGCCATTGCTTTTGGTGTTTTAGACATGAAGTCCTTTCCCATGCCTATGTCCTGAATGGTATTGCCTAGGTTTTCTTCTAGGGTTTTTATGGTTTTACATCTAACATTTAAGTCATTAATGCGTCCTGAATTAATTTTTGTATAAGGTGTAAGGAAGGGATCCAGTTTCAGCTTTCTATGTATGGCTAGCCAGTTTTCCCAGCACCATTTATTAAATAGGGAATCCTTTCCTCATTTCTTGTTTTTATCAGGTTTGTCAAACATCAGGTGGTTGTAGATGTGTGACATTATTTCTGAGGGCTCTGTTCTGTTCCATTGGTCTATATCTCTGTTTTGGTACCAGTACCATGCTGTTTTGGTTACTGTAGCCTTGTAGTATAGTTTGAAGTCAGGTAGGGTGATGCCTCCAGCTTTGTTCTTTTGGCTTAGGATTGTCTTGGCAATGCGGGCTCTTTTTTGGTTCCATATGAACTTTAAAGTAGTTTTTTCCAATTCTGTGAAGAAAGTCATTGGTAGCTTGATGGGGATGGCATTGAATCTATAAATTACCTTGGGTAGTATGGCCATTTTCACAACATTGATTCTTCCTATCCATGAGCATGGAATGGTCTTCCATTTGTTTGTGTCCTCTTTTATTTCGTTGAGCAGCGGTTTGTAGTTCTCCTTGAAGAGGTCCTTTACATCCCTTGTAAGTTGGATTATTGGTATTTTATTCTCTCTGAAGCAGTTGTGAATGGGAGTTCACTCATGATTTGGCTGTTTGTCTGTTATTGGTTTATAGGAATGCTTGTGATTTTTGCACATCAATTTTGTATCCTGAGACTTTGCTGAAGTTGCTTATCAGCTTAAGGAGATTTTGGGCTGAGATGATGGGGTTTTCTAAATATACAATCATGTCATCGGCAAACAGGGACAATTTGACTTCCTTTTTTCCTAATTGAATACCCTTTATTTCTTTCTCCTGCCTGATTGCCCTGGCCAGAACTTCCAACACTATGTTGAATAGGAGTGGTGAGAGAGGGCATCCCTGTCTTGTGCCAGTTTTCAAAGGGAATGCTTCCAGTTTTTGCCCATTCAGTATGATATTGGCTGTGGGTTTGTCATAGATAGCTCTTATTATTTTGAGATATGTCCCATCAATACCTAGTTTATTGAGAGTTTTTAGCATGAAGGTTGTTGAATTTTGTCAAAGGCCTTTTCTGCATCTATTGAGATAATCATGTGGTTTTTGTCTTTGGTTCTGTTTATATGATGGATTACGTTTATTGATTTGCATATGTTGAACCAGCCTTGCATCCCAGGGATGAAGCCCACTTGATCATGGTGGATAAGCTTTTTGATGTGCTGCTGGATTTAGTTTGCCAGTATTTTGTTGAGGATTTTTGCATCGATGTTCATCAGGGATATTGGTCTAAAATTGTCTTTTTTTTGTTGTGTCTCTGCCAGGCTTTGGTGTCAGGATGATGCTGGCCTCATAAAATGAGTTAGGGAGGAGTCCCTCTTTTTCTGTTGATTGGAATAGTTTCAGAAGGAATGGTACCAGCTCCTCTTTGTACCTCTGGTAGAATTTGGCTGTGAATCCATCTGGTCCTGGACTTTTTTTGGTTGGTAGGCTATTAATTATTGCCTCAATTTCAGAGCCAGTTATTGGTCTATTCAGGGATTCAACTTCTTCCTTGTTTAGTCTTGGGAGGGTGTATGTGTCCAGGAATTTATCCATTTCTTCTAGATTTTCTAGTTTATTTGTGTAGAGGTGTTTATAGTATTTTCTGATGGTAGTTTGTCTTTCTGTGGGATCAGTGGTGATAACCCCTTTATCATTTTTTATTGCGTCTATTTGATTCTTCTCTCTTTTCTTCTTTATTAGTCTTGCTAGCGGTCTATCAGTTTTGTTGATCTTTTCAAAAAACCAGCTCCTGGATTCATTGATTTTTTGAAGGGTTTTTTGTGTCTCTATCTCCTTCAGTTCTGCTCTGATCTTAGTTATTTCTTGCCTTCTGCTAGCTTTTGAATGTGTTTGCTCTTGCTTCTCTAGTTCTTTTAATTGTGAAGTTAGGGTATCAATTTTAGATCTTTCCTGCTTTCTCTTGTGGGCATTTAGTGCTATAAATTTCTGTCTACCCACTGCTTTAAATGTGTCCCAGAGATTCTGGTATGTTGTGGCTTTGTTCTCATTGGTTTCAAAGAACATCTTTATTTCTGCCTTCACTTCGTTATGTACCCAGTAGTTATTCAGGAGCAGGTTGTTCTGTTTCCATGTAGTTGAGCGGTTTTGAGTGAGTTTCTTAATCCTGATTTCTAGTTTGATTGCACTGTGGTCTGGGAGACAGTTTGTTATAATTTCTGTTCTTTTACATTTGCTGAGGAGTGCTTTACTTCCAATTATGTGGTCGCTTTACTTCCAATTATGTGGTCAATTTTGGAATAAGTGAGATATGTGGTGCTGAGAAGGATGTAGATTCTGTTGATTTGGGGTGGAGAGTTCTGTAGATGTCTATTAGGTCTGCTTGGTGCAGAGCTGAGTTCAATTCCTGGATATCCTTGTTAACTTTTAGTCTCATTGATCTGTCTAATGTTGACAGTGGGATGTTGAAGTCTCCCACTATTATTGTGTAGGAGTCTAAGTCTCTTTGTAAGTCTCTAAGGACTTGCTTTATGAATCTGGGTGCGCCTGTATTGGGTGCATATATATTTAGGATAGTTAGCTCTTTTGTTGAATTGATCCCTTTATCATTATGTAATGGCCTTCTTTGTCTCTTTTGATCTTTGTTGATTTAAAGTCTGTTTTATCAGAGACTAGGATTGCAACCCCTGCTTTTTTTGTTTTCCATTTGCTTGGTAGATCTTCTTCCATCCCTTTTATTTTGAGCCTATGTGTGTCTCTGCACGTGAGGTGGGTCTCCTGAATAGAGCACACTGATGGGTCTTGACTGTTTATCCAATTTGCCAGTCTGTGTCTTTTAATTGGAGCATTTAGCCCATTTACACTTAAGGTTAATATTGTTATATGTGAATTTGATCCTGTCATTATGATGTTAGCTGGTTATTTTGCCCGTTAGTTGATGCAGTTTCTTCCTAGCATCTATGGTCTTTACAGTTTGGCATGTTTTTGCAGTGGCTGGTACCAGTTGTTCCTTTCCATGTTTAGTGCTTCCTTCAGGAGCTCTTGTAAGGCAGGCCTGGTGGTGACAAAATTTCTTAGCATTTGCTTGTCTGTAGAGGATTTTATTTCTCCTTTACTTTTGAAGCTTAGTTTGGCTGGATATGAAATTCTGGGTTGAAAATTCTTTTCTTTAAGAATGTTGAATATTGGCCCCCACTCTCTTCTGGCTTGTAGAGTTTCTGCCGAGAGATCCGCTATTAGTCTGATAGGCTTCCCTTTGTGGGTAACCCGACCTTTCTCTCTGGCTGAGTGGCAACCAGTTTTAGAAATGTGGTCATGATATAGAATTTCTAGGGCAGATCTTGGTAAAAAACAAAAACAAGAAAAACTGCCAGGCACGGTGGCTCACGCCTGTAATCTCAGCACTTTGGGAGGCCGAGGTGAGAGGGTTGCTTGAGCTCAGGAGTTCAAGAGCAGCATGGGCAACATAGCAAGACCCTGTCTCTACAAAAAATTTAAAAATTAGCTGGGCATGGTGGGGCACACCTATAGTGCCAGCTACTTGGGAGGCTAAGGTGGGAGGATCCCTTGAGCCCAGGAATTTGAGGCTGCAGTGTATGTACCATGATCGCACCACTGCATGCCAACTTGGGAGACAGAGCAAAACCCTGTCTCAAAAACAAAAAACATCTATTTTTTTTGCTTGTACTTTGATGAACATCCTCAATGATATTTTTAAAAACACATTTCAGGAAGCTCTATGCAGAACTGTGCCAAGGCATCGTGGACATAGCCATTTCCAGTGTCTTCCCACCCCCAGATGTGGAGCAACCTCAGACCCAGCCAGCTGCCTTCATCAAGCTGTGACAGAGGGCACTCCCTGCTGCCTTGGAAAAAGCACGGGGTCCTGCTCCAGGGAATGGTGAAATGACTGGATTGCTCTTTATCCAGCCCACAGCAGGGGAAAGAAAGGCAACTCGCAAAGATGAGATGGAAGAAGGCACGTGAGCAGAGGAGGCAGCTCCCAAAGAGAGGGCTGCTCAGGGGGCTTCCCAGATGTAGCTCTCAGCAGTGCTGTTGAGACTTTTGAAAACAACTTTGGTACACAAAGGCAGCTTTGTGAGCAGAGCTCCTTCCCCTCTCCCCGGGAACGGCAGGGCACTGGGACCTCTGGTCGGTGCCTCCCACCCACTGCAGCCCTAGTGCCTTAGCTCCATGCCCGGCTGCAGCCCCACTGCTCTGGACTATGGATTGGACGTCAGAGCATATTGGAGGTTGCCTGTGTGTTCCCCACCCATCCCTTCGGTAACACTCTGCCACACTAAGCTCTGTACAAGCATGCACCAACAGTCCTTAGTTTTGTGCTGTGCACTGGCCTCTCGGCAAAGGTGGTTTCCCTCATCACCTTCCTGATGGTGTTTGGTCAGTCACCTGTCAGGGTTTGTGCGGGTTGGGCCCCAAAACAGCATATGCTGCTCTAAGTCTGCTCTCTGCATGTTTTAGAAACAAAGTGGCAAGTCTGCCCTGAACCTGTAAGCATCAAATAAGCATGAGAGAGAAAAAAACATGATATATTGCTTTACTTAATAGGTTGAATATGGTAGGTCTTTGAAAATATGATGATTCAATTTTCTCAATTTTCTTTGCTTTAACCAAAATTCTAAATGCAGTTTTGCCTAGTTCCCTTTTTTTTTCTTTTTTTACTTTTTTTTAAACGTTTGTAAAAACCTCTTTGAGGATGAGGAGTCAGTAAAATTCCACTCCCCAAGTGGCCCTGCCCCAGACAAAGGTTGCTTTCCCCCTTTTTGTTCTTTTTATGCCCCCAAGCACTTTCTGCAGTAGCTAGAGGGACAGGTTTCCTTCCAGGAAGGATTCGAGTTCCTGTGCCTGTGGGTATTAGGAGAGTATATATCCTGCCTGAATGGGGAAGTCTTCTAAAATGGGAAAGAAGTGGTTTCATCTCCACACAGTGTCTTGTAAATCTCAACAAATGTGTACTGTTAGAAGTGGCTTCCGCTTACTGGATTAACTAATACTTTATAGGCTTTTCAGGAGGCCACATCACTAGCAGTAGGGAGAACAAGATGTCATTTGTGTTCAGTGTAAGCTGAGTAAACAGGCCCTTCCTAGAGTGTCCTGGAAATCACAGCAACCCATTGAAAACTGCCCTCCCCACCAGAACGTGCTACGTTCTTTCTTCATGCCTATGTGTGCTCCATTCCTCATTTCTACTTGGCTCAAGAAAACATTTCTGCAGTCAGGTGAGACTTTTACAAAAGAGGAGAAAATCAATGCCTCCTTGAACATGATGAGATGTGAGAACTTACAATGAAAAAGGCAATAATGATAGAAATTATTTCTTAGGTACAGCAATAGTTGATAGGATGTGAGGGTGTTACCTTGGGGTGAAGTGGAGAAGGTCCCAGGTGAATTGGCTCTCATGGAAATTTGGAATTACAAAATAAACGTCCTGGGGGTTACCCAGAATACAGATTTAAAAGTTTGCCTGTAGAGCAAAATAAAACAGTCAGTTGTAGTCATTAATCCTTGAGGCCCAACGCAGCCGATGGGTTGGTGTTTGGGAAATTCTGAGATGGGAGTGAGATCTGATCGGATCCTGGGAAGATGTATACCCAGTTAGAACGTGTAGGGTTCTGGGTCCCTGGCAAGTCTAGGTGGGCGGGTGACAGGGAAAGCATGGGCATTTTTGTATTGCTGTCACATGCTAACAGAGGTTTGTAATTATCTTTTGGACCCAAATTATAGAGACATTCACGAGTTTTCTAGCCCTCACAGTAACAGAGCTAAGAATTCAGATGTCAGGAAGTCTGTGAATCTTGATGGATTTTCTGAGAAACCTGACTCAATGGCATATATAAGAGGGAAGTAAGACTTTTAAGAAAAGAAAAAGTTATGCCTCATTCCTCATGTGGCTTCCAATAAGTATCTTAGGAACTTATTTCCTTTTTAAAAAATATTTTTTAAATTTTTAAAATTTGATTTTAAATTTCAAATAAATTTAAATAAATTTTAAATAAATTTTAAATAAAATTTTACAGAGACGTGGTCTCACTGTGTTGCCCAGGCTGGATTGCAGTGGCTATTCGCAGTTGTAATCATAGCACACTGCAGCCTCGAATTTCTGGGCTTGAGCAGTCCTCCCGTCTCAGCCTCCTGAGTAGCTGAGACTACAGGTGCACACCACCAAGCCTGGCTTTATGTATTTATTTCTGTTCATGCGGAATGATTGGTTCAGAACTGTTCCTTTCCCTTCCATGATGTCCTTGACACAGAAGGTTATGCCTGGCTCCCAGTCAGGCTTCATACTTTTGGTCCATGTAAGTGCTACCCGTTGCTGGGGGAGGAGTCATGGTTTATTTGGAAATGTCAGTTGCAATCATGGTTCTGTCATTTGACTGCACAGTATCAGAGGAGCCTGTTAACCTCTCTGTGCCTTAGTTTCTTAGCCCATGAAAGAGATCATTGCCTGACCCAGGGACTACCTCAAGGGCTTTTGATGAGGACAAGTGACAGTAGGAAGATGCAAGAGCCTTTAGTACCAAGGTTCTCAACACTGACTACATGCTGGAATGACTGTGAAGCTTTTAAAAAATGTTAGTGCCCACTCTTCCCCTGTACCCCCGGACAGTTAAATCAGAACCTCAGACAGCAATATGCCTTGAGATGCCTTGAACCATGCTTGAGAAGGAAGGACAAACACATTATTATCTTGGAAGAATTGCATAAGGCTTATGACTTAAAAAAAAAAATTCTTTTTGGAAACACAAGCATTTCTTTAAGGATGACCGGATGTTGCCGTATGTATTTATGGCACAAGCAGGTGTTGTCTAAGCAGTTTCTCTGTTTGCTTGTCATAGCAGCATTTGGAAACTCAAACATGCTTTCATTTACATAAATAGTTTATGAAGCTTTGACAACAAATGTAAACAGACACGAAATTATAAATCTGCTAAATATGTATTAAGGGTATTAATTATTGAAAGTCCCTTTCCCCAAAACTCAACTCCTATGGCAATTATGAACTCCATTTTACCAAGAACATTTAAGTGCCTCAGCATCTGTATGATATAGTGGAGCAGGTGCTGACATAGGTACCAGCTGACATGATGTGTCACTAGCTCTGTGGGATGATTGCCACATACATGGAACACCTGGGAGTGCTGGAAATGTACTGTGATCGAAGTGACAAAGTGTGTTTTCATTCACAGTGGAGGCTACATCAAGCAAGGGGAGGTCCAGCCCTCTTGCAAGTGTGGTGAGAGGCTCTACTAGCAAAGACATGGGCACCGGAGTAGGTCCCGTGTAGCATGCGGGTGCTGTAGAGAAAATTCAGTGACGTACATGGCTCTGGTTCTGGACACAAAATCTGTACTGGAGAGGAAATGACTGCTGAAATAAGGCGATTGTATGAATATTTAAAATGCCTGGAACACTAAAGTAAAGTAATGATATTTCAAGTGTTTTTGTGCTCTTTGGTTCTTGTTGTAGGTATTGACTGTCCTGGGATATCACTGGTCATTTAAATTCACCATATAATTAGCCGGGCATGGTGGCATGTGGTGGTGGCTGAGGTGGGAGGATCGCTTGAGGCTGAGGTGTGAGGCTGCAGTGAACCATGTTCACACCACTGTACTCTAGCTTGAGCAACAGAGCAAGACCCTGTCTCAAAAGTAAATAAATAATAAAGTAAATATAAATCCATGATGCCGTTACTCAGGGGTAGACAGACTTTCTGTAAAAGGCCAGATAATAAATCTGCTAGGCTTTGCAAACCATGTAGGGCCTTTTTTGCATACTTTTTGTTTTTTTCTCCAACTCTTAGCTCATAGGCCGTATAAAAGCAGGCCAGATGTGCAGTAATTTGCTGACCCCAGGATGTTACCCAATACATAAGCCAACAGATTGTCCTTCAAAACTGATGAGCTTCTCAGTGAAGCACTGAGACTATTTCAGCTGCCAAAGTCCCAGCCCATCGTTTCTTACGTGTCTTGTGTATCGAGTTCTTGTAAAGCATTTCACCAAGGCCAGGTTTTTAAATACCTATAAACCTCACACACCTGAGATGCTTAGTCTTGTGGATAGAAAGAGTTTCATTAATGCAAATTGTTATTAACTTGTAACTTCTTGTGCAATAAGGCTGAATGCTTTGGACATCTTTCCTTTGTATGGCTGGCCTGCCTTCTGTGGCTGCTTCCACTTCATAAATATACCTCTGGCACAGAGGAGGTTTCCATGCCAGAAGCCCTGTGTAGGCACTCCACTCCAAACAGGTTTCACATACACTATGACACATTCCCAGTGGACTCAGCAGAGATTGCATGGGCAGGGTGCAGGGTGCAGGGTGCAAGCAGACATGGATCCAGGCAGGCACCTACTTAGGACCCTGAGAGTGGACAGGCCCAAAGCCTTTGGAAGACTTCTCTTAAAGACTGGTCCCACTTCCTGTCAGTAGCTACACCTCCTTCTTAACCTGAAGTTCTCCCATAACCCATATTTTAGAAGTGTTTTCCCCAAAGCATCCCTCCATATCTTAGTCTATTTTGTATTGCCATAACAGAATGTTACAGAGAAGTGTATGTGGCTCACGGTTCTGGAGGATGAGAAGTCCAATATCAAGGGGCTATATCTGGTGAGGGCCTTCTTGCTGCCTCAGCATGGCAGAAGGCATCACATGGCAAGAGAGGAATGGAGTCTAACTCACCCTTTAACTAGCAACCCATTCCTGTGATAACTAACCCACTCCTGGCATAACATCATTAATTTATTCATGAGGGTAGAGCTCTCGTGACCTAACCTCTTACAGGTCCCACCTCTCAACACTATTGCAGTAGAGATTAAGTTTCCAACACATTTACTTTGGGGAACACATTCAAACCATAGCAGTCCCTGAAGGCAAAGGAAAATGAACCCCTCTCCAATGCAATACATAGTAGCAGAACTTGAAGATTGTTGCAAGCATAATTCCTTTCAAAAATTATGAGAGGACATCAGTGGGCATAATAGAGTAACAACCTCTGAAAACCCTCTCTTCCATAAAAGCAATGAGAACACTAGCAAAACTGTCTAGACATTAACCAGAGGCTTGCAGCAATCCATTTATTCAAGAAAAGGCCTGTAATCCCAGCACTTCGGGAGGCCAAGGCGGGCGATCACGAGGTCAGGAGATGGAGACCATCCTGGCTAACACAGTGAAACCCCATCTCTACTAAAAATACAAAAAATTAGCCGGGCGCGGTGGCAGGTGCCTGTAGTCCCAGCTACTTGGGAGGCTGAGGCAGGAGAATGGCGTGAACCTAGGAGGCAGAGCTTGCAGTGAGCCGAGATCACGCCACTGCACTCCATCCAGCCTGGGTGACAGTGCGAGACTCTGTCTCAAAAAAAAAAAAAAAAAAAAAAGGAAAGGGTTGCATCTGGGTAAGAAAAGCAAGCTTTCTGACATTTTAATGTACCCTATTCCCACTCCCCCTTTCCCCAGCTCCACAACAGCCTCGGCCACACAATCATGCTGACATCCAGCAGCAGAGCAGCCACCGTAGGGCTCAGAAGGGGATTGGAACTCCTCCAAAGCTTCATTACCAGAGAATTGCCATTTGGCCTTTTTGGTAGTTCCATGTAAGTCCCTACTCCTAGGTCTTGTCTTTATTTGATGTGACTAAGAGGTTACCCAGTGTGAACAACCTTTTCCCTGGGTGCATTTGTCAAAAAAAATCAACAGCAATTGTTGAACATCTCAGCTTCCTAAGGTGGCTGTAACAGTTGGAACAAACAAACTGACCAAAAGACTTAGAAGGAAAAACTGGGAATGAGATTTCTATAGGACGTTTTGAAAAGCTTCAACCTATTCCTAAGAATGCAGAAGGCCACACACATGTGTAGGACTGTGCACATGCCCAGAAGAGACCTGAGAATTCCCCAGCTCTTTCGTCTGACCTTAAGTGTCTGCACAAACAGAGAGGACAGAGGCAGAAGGAGGGAAAGAGGGAGGGAGGAAAGGTAGGAAGGGGAGAAAGAGAGAGGAAGAAAGAGAAAGGAAAGAAAGGCAGGCAGAAAGAAGGAGAAAGGGAGGGAGGGAGGGAAAGGAGGGAGGGAAGAAAAGAGAAAGATTGAGAAAGAAAAAAGAGAAAGAAGAAAGAAAAGAAAAAAGGAAAGAAAGTTAGTTTATAAAATAGAACCAAGTAGAAATTTTAGAGTTGCAAAGTACAAAAATGCAAATGAAAGATTTACTTGAGAAGTTTAAAAAATGTGTGAACTGGTAAAAGAAGTAATCAGCAAATTAGAAGTCATTTGAGATTATCCAGTCTGTGGAACAGAAAAAAAAAATCAGCAAAGAAAAATGATCAGTGCTTCAGACACCCGTCAGACACCATCAAACATACCAACATACACATAATAGGAGTCCTAGAATAGATAAGTGAGAGAGAGGGAAGGGGATAAAACATATACTGGAAGAAATAGTGGCCAAAACCTTTCCCACTTTGAGGAAAAACATTAAAGTGAATCCAAGAAGCTCAACAAATTCTAAGCAGGAAAGACTCAAAGAGTCCACCTCAAGACACACCAGCCACTAAGTAAATAATTTTAAATATATAGTAAAAAATGACAAGGAAACAGAAATGTTACACTAGAAAATATATAAGAAAAGAGAAGGAAGTAATGAAAAATAGAGGAGAAAAAAAAGGCAAGAGGCCTAAAGAAACCAACAGTAAAATGGTAGATAAATCCTGCCTTATCAGTAATTTCATTAAATGCAAATGAATTAAATACTCCAATCAGAAGGTAGAGATTGGCAAATTGATTTTTTTTAAAAATCATGATCCAACTATATGCTATCTACAAAAAACACACTTCATTTTATTTTTATTTTTATTATTTAGAGACAGAGTCTTGCTCTGTTGCCTAGGTTGGAGTCTAGTGGTGTAATGATAGCTCACTGCAGCCTCAAACTTCTGGTTTCAAGTAATCTTCCCACCTTAGCCACCCAAGTAGCTGGAACTATAGGTGCCTGCCACCATACTTGGCTAATTTAAAACAATTTTTTTAGAGATAGGACCTGGCTTACTTCAAAACTTACCTGGCTAATTTCACTTCACATAACGATCTTCAGTTCCATCCATGTTGTTGGAAGTGACAGGATCTCACTCTTTATGGCTGAACAGTACTCCATTGTGTATAAGCAATATATTTTCTTTATCCATTCATCTGCTGATGGACACTTAGGTCGCTTCCAAATCTTGGCTATTGCAAACAAGGCTGCAGTAAACATGGGAGTGCAGATATCTCTCCAAAAAAAATTTTTTTTTTTTTAGAGATAGGGTCGTACTGTGTTTCCCAAGCTGGTCTTGAACTCCCGTCCTCAGGCAATCCTCCTGCCTCAGTCTCCCCTAAGCAGCTGGGATTACAGGCATCAGCCAATGCACCTGGCAAAACACACTTTAGATTCAAAAACACAAACAGGTTGAAAGTAAAATGATGGAAAAAGATATACCATGCAAACAGTAACTCAAAGAGAAGTGGAGTAGCTATACTAATGTTAGACAACATAAACTTTAAGAAAAAAATTGTTTCTATAGACAAAGAAGGACTTTTTTTTAATAGTTCCAACTTTTATTTTAAATTCTGGAGGTACATACACAGGTTTGTTACATGGGTCCTGAGGTTGGGGTACAGATCCCATTACCCAAGTAGTAAGCATAGTACCTAATGGTTAGCTTTCCAATCCTTGCACCCCTCCCTCCCTTCTCCCTCTTGTCATCTTTAGTGTCTCTTGTTGCCATTTTTGTGTCCATGTGTATCTAATGTTTGGCTCCCACTTATGAGACTGTGCAATATTTGGTTTTCTGTTCCTGTGTTATTTCACTTAGGATAATGGCCTCCAGCAGCATCCATGTTACTGCAAAGGACATGATTTCATTCTTTTTTATGGCTGCATAGTATTCCATGGTATATATGTACTATATTTTCTTTATCCAATCCACTGTTGATGGGCACCTAGGTTGATTCCATGTCTTTGCTCTTGTGAATAGCACTGTGATAAACATATAGGTGCATGTGTCTTTCTGGTAGAATGAATTGTTTTCTTTTGGATATATACCCAGTAATGGGAGGCTATGTTGAATGGTAGCTCTGTTTTTGTTTGTTTGTTTGTTTGTTTGGTGGAGTCTCTCTCTGTCACCCAGGCTGGAGTGCAGTGGTGTGATCTGTGCTCACTGCAACCTCCGCCTCCTGGGTTTAAGCGATTCTCCTGCCTCAGCCTCCCAAGTAGCTGGGACTACAGGCGTGTGCCGCCATGCCCAGCTAATTTCTGTATTTTTAGCAGAGACAGGGTTTCACCATGTTGGCTAGGCTGGTCTTGAACTCCTGACCTCAGGTGATCGACCTGCCTCAGCCTCCCAAAGTGCTGGGATTACAGGCATGAGCCACCATGCCCAGCTGCTCTGTTTTAAATTCTTTGAGAAATCTCCAAACTTCTTTCCACAGTGGTTCAACCAATTTACATTCCTGCCAGCAGTGTATAAGCATTCTCTTTTTTTCCTTAGCCTCTTCAGCATCTGTTATTTTTTGACTTTTTAATATAGCTATTCTGACTGGCGTGAGATGATATCTTATTGTGGTTGTGATTTCCATTTCTCTGTTGATTAGTGATGATGAACATTGTCTCATATGTTTCTTGGCCACTTGTATGCCAAGGACATTTTATATTGATAAAAGGGTCAGTCCATTAGGAAAATATGACAATTATAAACATATGTACCTAGCAATACAGCCTAAAGATACATGACATAAAAACTTAGAGAATTGAAGGAAGAAACAGACAATTTAACTACAATAGTTGGAACCCTCAAAACTCCATTTCAATAATAGCTAGAGCAACTAGGCAGAAGATCAACAAGAAAATAGAAAACACTATAAACCAACTAGACTTGACAAATATCTACAAGGCACTCCACCCAACAGCAGCAAAATACACATCCTTCTCAAGTGCACATGGAACATTCTCTGGGGTAGATCACATGCTAGGCCATAAAACAAGTCTCAGTAAATTTAAAAGAATTGAAATTATACTACATATGTTCTCTGACCATGTTGGAATAAAATCAGAAATCAGTAACAAATTTTGTTAATTTCTGTATTAATGAAGAAATATACAAGTAAAGAGGTTGGACTAATAATAATTCTTTTAAAACTTCCCACAGGGAAAAGCCCAGGACCAGATTGTAAGCCAGATGGTAAGGAATTAACACCAATATTTCATAGAGTCTCCTAAAAAATAGAAGAGAAGAAAATACTCCTCAATTGAGAAGAGTGTCCTCAACTTTATGAGGTCACTCTTAATACCCTGATACCAAAACCAGACAAAGATGTCACAAGAAAAGCAAATAGCAGACCAATAATCTCTTGGGAATACAAACGGAAAAAATCTTCAACAAAATACTAGTAAACCAAATCCAGCAACATAGAAAAAGGATTATACATTATGACTAAGTGGGACTTATCCTAAGATTACAAAGTTTGGAATAACTCATGTTCTCTTGTAAGTGGAAGCTAGGCTGAGCACGGTGGCTCACTCCTATAATCTCAGCACTTTTAGGAGGCCAAGGTGGGCAGATCAAATGAGGCCAGGAGTTTGAGTCCAGCCTGGGCAACATGATTAAATCTGGTCTCTATAAAAAATACAAGAATTAGCCAGGCATGGTGGTGCATGCCTGTAATCCCAGCTACTCTGATGGCTGAGGCACAAGAATCGCTTGAACCTGAGAAGAGGAGGTTGCAGTGAGCAGAGATCGCACAACTGCTCTCTGTCCTAGGTGACAGAGCAAGTCCTGTCTCAAAAAAATTAAAAAGTGGGAGCTAAACATTGGGTACACATGGACATAAAGTTGGGAAGAGGCCAGTCGCGGTGGCTCACGCCTGTCATCCCAGCACTTTGGGAGGCCAAGGCGGGCGGATCATGAGGTCCGGAGATCAAGACCATCCTGGCTAATATGGTGAAACCCCGTCTCCACTAAAAATACAAAAAATTAGCCGGGCGTGGTAGCAGGCGCCTGTAATCCCAGCTACTCAGGAGGCTGAAGCAGGGGAATCACTTGAACCTGGAAGGCGGAGGTTGCAGTGAGCCGAGATTGCGCCACTGCACTCCAGCCTGGGTGACAGAGACTCTGTCTAAAAAAAAAAAAAAAAAAAAAAAAGATGGGAACAGCAGACACTGGGGACTACTAGAGCCAGGAGAGAAGGAGGGGAGCAAAGATTGAAAACTACCTATTGGATACTGTGCTCGCTACCTGGGTGACAGGTTCAACCATACCCCAGACCTCAGCATCACCCAATATACCTTTGTAACAAATTCGCACATGTACCCCCCTGATTCTAAAATAAACGTTGAGAAGGGGAAAAGAAAGAATGCAAGGTTTTTTTAACATACAAAATTTACTTAATATAATATACCACTTTAATAGAAAAAAGAGGACAAAAAGCACATGATCATTTCAATATACACTGAAAAAGCATTTGGCAATACACAACACTCTTTCTTGGAAAAAACCTTTCAACAAACTAGAAATAAATTACTTCCTCAACATGATAAAGAGCATCTTTGGAAAAACCCACAGCCTACATCATATTAATGGTGATGTGAAAGCTCCAGTTGGGAGCTTTCTTCCCAATATCAGGCACAAAACAAGTATATTTATTCTTGTCACTTCAACATTGTATTAAATGTTCTAGACAGAGCAATTCGACAAAAGGAAGGAAAGAAGACTGCGCATTCAGATTGGAAAGGGAGAAGTATGATGATCTCTCTTTGCAGACGACAAGATACCATATAGAAAAAGTCCTAAGAAATCCACTTACGCTGTTAGAACTAATAAAGAGTTTAGCAAGATTGCCAGACACAAGATCAATATACAAAACTCAATGGTATTTCTACATATTACAAACAATTTGAAGTTAAGAAAACAATTCCATTTATATCAACACCAAAAAGAATGAAATACTTAGGAATAAATTTAACAAAAGTTCATTTCTACACCAAATACTACAAAACATCTCTGAAAGAAATTAAAGAACACCTAAATAAATGGAAAGACATCCCATGTTTATGGATTGGGAGATAATTATTGTTAGGATGAAAATAGGCCCCAAATTGATCTACCAATTGAACACAATCCTGATCAAGAATCTCAGCCTTCTTTGCAGAAATTGACAAGCTGGGCCGGGTGTGGTGGCTCACACCTGTAATCCCAGCACTTTGGGCGGCCAAGGCAGATGGATTACTTGAGGTCAGGAATTCAAGACCAGCTTGGCCAACATGGTAAAACCCTGTCTCTATTAAAAATACAAAATTAGCCAGGCATGGTGGTGCATGCCTGTAATCTCAGCTATTTGGGAGGCTGAGGCAGGAGGTAGAGGTTGCAGTGAGCCAAGATCATGCCACTGCACTCCATCCTCAGCAACAAGAGCAAAACTCTGTCTCAAAAAAACAAAAAACAAAAAAAAAAAAAAAAGAGAAAGAAATTGACAAGCTAAGCTGACGCTAAAATCCATATTGAAATACAAAGGATCAAATAAATCTGGAGAAAGAAGAACAAAGTTGGAGGATGTGCACTTCCTGATTTCAAAATTTATTACAAAGCTGTATTAATCAAATCTGTGTAGTTTGTAGACAGATATACAGATAAATGTAGATAGACATACAGATCAAGAGAATAGAACTGAGAGTCAAAAATAAACCCTTGCATCTATAGTGAACTGATTTTCGACAAGGAGGCCAAGACAATTTGATGAGGGAAAGAATAGTCTTTTTAACAAATGGTGTTAGGACAACTGGATATCCACATGCAAAGGAATAAAGTGATATGCCTTTCTCACACCATATACAAAAATTAGCTCAGAATGAGTCAAAGACTTAAATGTAAGAGTTGAAACTACAAAACTCTTAGTAGAAAATATAGGTGAAAATCCCCATGATTGAAAAATATCTAGTATTTGATAGCACAACAGGGTGACTGCAGTCAGCAATAATTTGTTGTACCTTCAAAAATAACTGAGGAAGTACAATTGGAATGTTCATGACAGAAATGATGAATGCTTGAGGTGATGGAAACCCCATCTACCCTCCTGTGATGATTACATCGTATGCCTATATGAAAACATCTCATATACCTCATAAATATGCTAATTATGTACCCATAAATTTTTTTTTAAATCCTCATGACCTTGGATTACACAATGATGTCTTAGATATGATATAAAAAGACAGGCAACAAAAGAAAAAAACTACACTTCAAAATTAAAACGTTTTGCTTCAAAGGACACCAGCAAGAAAGTAAAAACCCACAGAATGGGAGAAAAATATTTGCAAATCATGGATCTGACAAGGACTAGTATAGGCTATATAAAGAACTACAACTACTCAGTTGGCCGGGCGCGCGCGGTGGCTCATGCCTGTAATCCCAGCATTTAGGGAGGCAAGGCGAGAGGATCACTAGAGGCCGGAAGTTCAAGACCAGCCTGTGCAACAGACTCCCGGCTCGAATTTTTTATAAAAAGTGATATAGGAATGAAAAGTACCAGCTGAACTAGGAAAGGGGAAGTTGACAGTAAGGAGGGACTATCAGGGGCAGGAGGATACTGGGTAGTGGTGGTTTAATTCATTGTTTTAATTGTGGTGATGGCTGCATGGTTGTATACATAGGTCAAAACTTAACGCGTACACTTTAAATGTGTGGTTTATTGTATGCCAGTTATAACGCAATATAGCTGTTAAACACAAACACAATAAAGTTGAAAAACCAGCAGGCATTCCCTGATTAATCAGTATTCTGGGGAGGTAAGGGGCTCACAGGAACGCAAAAGAAATTCAGGCTGTAAATCCAGTTGGACGCCCCGCTGCCCCATCCCCTCCATCCGGGACCGCCCGACTCCTCTCCCACCTCCTTCCCCAGGCCTCCCCCAGGCCTCCAGTCCGGAAGATGCGACGAGGTTAGCGGGGCCCGACCACTCCTTGGCTTCCCAGGGGTGAGCCTCGCGAGTTAGGAGTTGGGTAGAGAGTCAGCCCGGGGCCCGGCATCCGCTTTTTCGTTGAAGCAACGACTTTGGCCGGATGACTCCCCAGGGTCGGCATCAGCGTGGGACTGGGAACAGGTGAAGGGAAACAGAAGAGAGCCTGAGAAGACCGCTCTCCTCCGATCCTAATTGACTGAGCCAATGAGAGCCAAAGAGGTCACATGCTCAACTGGGCGGGGAGCGGGTTTCCACCTGCGGCATCTTTCGCGAGCGGGGAGATGAGTGGGGCGGAATATGGGAGAAAGGGAGGGCCCGCCACGCTCTGGCTGGACACGGCCTTAATCGGCCCGTTCACTCGACGTTTTTGGTTCTACGTTGACCCCGAGAAACCGAAACCGCAGGGCCTAGGGCGGGTGGAACGAGAGGGAACTACATTTCCCAGCAGGCTGCGGAAACGGGACTGCGGCCACTACTTCCGGCGTGTACCGAGAGACTGGCGTCCGGCGTGTACCGAGAGACTGGCGTCCGGTGTGCAGGTGGCCACATGGATCCTGGCAGCCGGTGGCGGAACCTGCCCAGCGGGCCTAGCCTAAAGCACTTGACTGACCCCTCTTATGGAATCCCGCGGGAACAGCAAAAGGCAGCGTTGCAGGAGCTGACGCGGGCGCACGTGGAGTCCTTCAACTACGCTGTGCACGAGGGTCTCGGCCTCGCGGTGCAGGTGAGCGCGGCGTCCGCCGGCGCCCTTGCCGCGGCGAGGCCAATCCCAGGGAGGTGGCTGGGAGGTCACAGTATGACCCCAGATGCATGTGCTCCTTGATCCTGACAGGCTTGGTGGGTAAGCGGGAGAGCACAACATGTTAAACAGGACGCGGTACTGGCCTTCGTGAGACTTGGAGTCGAGGCGTCTTAAGAGATGTATTCGTGATTCTGGAGTGAAAAGTGATTGTGAACCGTAGTTTGGACAGTTTCGGGGTGCTGTGAGAGTGAGGAAGTGGCTTATCTGGGGATGTGCTTCACAATGCACACGGCTTTATATCACTTGAAGACTTACCTCTCCAAAACGTACCTCGAAAGATCCCGAACGTATTTGTAGGTACAGTGTAATGTTCAAGGTTATCCTTCAGTTTCCTTCTCTTAGAGCTTTAAAGAGAGAAACTACTCGTCATTTGTTATGAATTAAGCAGGTGCCGAGGAAGGTATAAATGAGTCATGAAAGCAAGATTGAATCGAAAAGTGTAATTGCATTATTAGCGTAGAGTAATGGTAGCAGAATTCAAGTGAGTATGGTGGGGGAAAGCTTCGTTTAGTAAGCATCCCCAGTGTCTCCAGGCACTAGGCTCAGAGGATGTGGAGGAGGCAGTCCCGTGTACGAGACAGTTCATGCATTTAAGTGCTCCCTGTCGTGTTTGGGGGTTGAAGGGGTGAAGATAATGAAAGCAGTGCATGCCAATGTTCTTGAGAACTGCTCTGCCAAGGGATTGTGTGGGCTACTGCGGGAGCCTATGGGCGGCGCAACTAATCCAGGAGTTTGAGAAAGGGCAGGATTAGATGAGTTCAAGAAGTGAGAAACGTGCATTTCGTCCAGGGGAAGAGTAGAGCAGAGTCACATGCTTCGGGGACCCTACCTGTGGTTTTGTTGGGTAAGATTTGTGTTGTGGGAGATAGGGATACAGATAATGTGGAGAGCTTTGATTGCCAGTCTGATTCTTGAACTCTATTCGGCAAATAATATGGGAGCCATTAAGATTTATTGTTTAGAAAGACTAGAGGGGTGGGGGTTATTTGTATTGTGCCTGGATTGTTACAGTATCATGTCTGTGAGAAAAAATTCCTAATTAAAAGTTAATCGGGCTGGGTGCAGTGGCTCACACCTGTAATCCAGGACTTTGGGAGGCCAAGGCAGAAGGATGACTTGAGCCCAGGATTTCAAGACCAGCTTGGATAACATAGTGAAACCCCATCTCCACAAAAATTTAAAAATTAGTGGGGCATGGTGGTGCGCACCCAAGTAGCTGGTCCCAGCTACTCGGGAGGCTGAGGTGGGAGGATAAGTTGAACCCAGGAATTTGAGGCTGCAATGAGCTATGATTGTGCCGCTGCACTCCATCCTCGGTAACAGAGTGAGACCTGTCTTTAAAAAAAAAAAATCCAATTGAGAAATTTTAGAAAAGCACTAATTTAAAAATAAGCCAGTCGGCTGGGTGTGGTGGCTCTTGACTGTAATCCCTGCACTTTGGGAGGTCAAGGCGGGTGGATCACTTGAGGTCAGGAGTTCCAGACCAGCCTGGCCAACCTGGTGAAACCCCATCTCTACTAAAAAATACAAAAATTAGCCGGGCATGGTGGCACATGTCTGTAATCCCAGCTACTCAGGAGGCTGAGGCACGAGAATCGCTTGAACCTGGGAGGCGGAGGTTGCAGTGAGCCAAGATTGCACCACTGCATTCCAGCCTGGGTGACAGAGTGAGACTCTCCCAAAAAAATAAATACATAAATAAATAAACCAATTATATGTTAACATTTTTAAGAAAAATATTTTCCAAAGCAAAAAAGAAGTTAGATGAATTGCATTATTAAAAATCTTTTTAATGTCTGGCTTAATGAAAAGACAGCTGGATTCTCATGTCTGCTTGTGCATTCAGTCCCTTGTGATAATTGTTTTGGTTGAAGTAGATGAAGAAAATTTGGCCCTGCATAGAAAATGATGCCACAACTTAGCTAGGACTATAATAATATAGTATTTGAAAAAGTTCTGTAAAACACAGTAACATAAATAACTAATACTTATAAAGCCAAGGGAAAAAATAGTTATCATATTTTTTACTTACAAAACATAATTTTGCCAAGTTTCTTTGGAGTGAATTCCTCCTTTCTGTGAGTCAGAATTTATGTGTCTGTCTTTTCAAAATACAATTGATTTTTATTACTTGGGGATTCCATATTTGCAAATTCACCTACTCACTAAAATTTACTTCTACTCCAAAAGCACCATGCCCAGAAGCAGCAAAAAAGTTGAGTTGCTCAGTGTCCATTTTCCCAGCTGAGATCTAACAAGGTGATGCTCGGCCTTCTTGTTTTAAGTTCTTAAACTATAAACAGAGGTTGTCTTCACTATCTATTTAGTGCCGTGTTTTGTGCTTTTTGTTGGTGATTTTGCTGTTTAAAATGTCCCCCAAGCAAAGTATTAAAGTATTAAAGTTCTGTATAAAGTTCCTAAGCACAAGAAGGCTGTGCTGTGCCTTTAGGGGAAAATATTAATACATGCATTTAACATAGGCTTTGTTCAGGCATGCGTTAGGGACTCAATAATATATATTAGATAAGCTGTCCTTAAACAGAAACCCACATAATGCAAGGTTGTGTATTGATCAGTGGATGAAATCATAGGCTTTGTTCAGGCATGAGTTACGGACTCAATAATATGTATTAAATAAGCTGTCCTTAAACAGAAACACACATAATACAAGATTGTGTGTTGATCAGTTGATGAAATGTGACCAGAGGCTCGCAGGAAGCTAACCATGTATTTACCCTAGGAGCAGTGGTTCAGTATTGGCTAATTCAGTGTTTATGGCAACTGTATAGAACATAACTATTATGAATAATGACAGTTCACTGTATTTCCTTCTAAATAGTGCAGCTGCGTCTTGAGAAAGCAAATTGTCTAATCTCTCTTTTTTTAACTTCATTCTGTTTTTTTTTTTGAGACAGGATCTCACTTTGTCACCTAGGCTGGAATGCAGTGGCATGGTTATAGCTCACTGCAGCCTCGACCTTCCAGGATCAAGTGATCCTCCCACGTCAACCTCTTGAGTAGCTGGGACCACAGGCGTGCACCACTATGCCCGGCTAATTTTTTTATTTTTATTTTTTGTAGAGACGGGGTCTCCCTATGTGGCCCAGCCTGGTCTCAAACTCCTGAGCTCAAGTAGTCCTCCTCTCTCGGTCTCCCAAATATTGGGATTACAGGTATAAGCCACTGCATCTGGCTTTTATTTTTAAATAAAATATGAATTTCTAAAATAATACCAGCTTTAGATAACATTTTAAAATTTAGAAAAGGTAAGTTAACTCACGTGAAGGTGGAGAACCTCCTTGGTATTCTTTCTTGGTTCCATTTTTTCATTTTCATTATTCTAAGACTAAGTCTAGGAGGTTGCTTGTAATTAATATATAGGAGAGCTTGGTGATGCCCCTTCCTCAGAACAGCAAAGCTTCCCCTACAGAATGGTACAAAGAAGTAACTTCTGTGGAAGGGGAAACCCAGCCTGGCCACCATCTTTTCCTTTGCATGGCTCTGGCTTCAGTTTGACGTTGCCATTGTACATTAAGCATCTAGTCTTAAATCCTAAAGGATGTTTCCGTATCCTTGCTCTATTAGCAGTAGTCCCATTTGTCTTGCTATGCACATAGACAAGTTAAGAATACACAAGGCTCTTGGTTCAGAGAACAGGAATTTTGTTCTGTTCACAGCTGTATCCCTAGAGCCTACTACAGTCTCTGACACATGTGGTCACTCAAAACAATCTTGTACTAATAATGCTTTGTGGTTTTAAGTATTTAGTGAAGTTATGAGTAGACTGGAGGTAGCTTTTTTTTTTTTTTTTTTTTTTTTTTTTTTTTTTTGAGACGGAGTCTCGCTCTGTCGCCCAGGCTGGAGTGCAGTGGCGTGATCTCTGCTCACTGCAGGCTCTGCCTCCCGGGTTCACGCCATTCTCCTGCCTCAGCCTCCCGAGTAGCTGGGACTACAGGCGCCCACCACCACGCCTGGCTAATTTTTTTTGTATTTTTAGTAGAGATGGGGTTTCACCGTGTTAGCCAGGATGGTCTCGATCTCCTGACCTTGTGATCCTCCCACCTCGGCCTCCCAAAGTGCTGAGATTACAGGCGTGAACCACTGCGCCCGGCCAACTGGAGGTAGCCTTAACTGTCCTTTTTAGGTGTGTCATGGTGGCATCACAGGCATCAATGTTTGTAGAACACATAAGATTTGGAAGAGTCTTAGAGAAAAAATGCCTTGGAAATGCAAGCAATTTAATAGTGTGAATTGCATTTCAGGCTATACCTCCCTTTGAATTTGCTTTCAAAGATGAGCGTATCTCTTTTACTATTCTGGATGCTGTTATCAGTCCACCTACAGTTCCAAAAGGGACCATCTGCAAAGAGGCCAATGTTTATCCAGCAGAATGCCGGGGCCGAAGGAGTACCTACCGTGGGAAGTTGACAGTGAGTACTAGTGATACTGTGTGACTCTCAACACTGCACATATTTGGGAGTAGGGCGGGTGCCTAATAAAGTTTATGCCAGAAATTGCTTTCTTGGTGCTATTGTCTAAGAGATCCCACCTTCTAAATCTAAGGCATAAAATAATTTAATTGATCTTCTTCCTCAGTCTTTGAAAATACTCATTTGTTCTCGTAAATGCAGATATTTCTGTTAAGTAACTTTTTCTCTTGTTTTCATTTAGGCTGATATCAACTGGGCAGTGAATGGAATCTCAAAAGGAATCATTAAGCAGTTTCTTGGCTATGTTCCCATCATGGTGAAATCCAAGCTTTGCAACTTACGTAACCTTCCCCCACAAGCCCTCATTGAGCACCATGAGGAGGCAGAGGTAATGACGGGCGTCCAGGCATGAGACAGTAGAGAAGGCCTGGGTTGGGAGTAAGAAGACAAGAAGTGTGTCAGTGTTTTCTTTCTGTGCTCCAATTTCTGGATAGGTGAAAGAGATATCAGTATCTTGCCTGCATACAGTGTATGGCTCTGAATAACTATCAAATTAGACAGTATGAAAAAGTGGCTGTAAAATTAGAGAATATTATTGTTCGGGGGGAAGAACTGGTAGGTTTTTCCCTAATTTTCTGAATGATAGAGACATACTTCCACAAAATTTGTTTTTTTTTTCAAGCTGTCTTAATCCACAAAGCTATTGTCAAAAATGTCTATTTATCTGGGCATGGTGGTGGCATGGATCTGTAGTCCCAGCTAACTGGGAGGCTGAGGCGGGAGCATCAGTTGAGCCCAGGAGGCCTCACTACAGTGAGCCATGATTGTGCCACTGCACTCCAGCCCGGGAGACAGAGTGAGACCCCGTCACTAAAAAAGTGAAATAAAAATGTCTGCTTTGCTAACAGTAAGATTCTGTGCGCATATTAAATGACTTATATGCATTCCCTTCATCATTTCTTTCAGCTATATTAGGTGGCTTTGCAGAGTTGAGTTGAGGTAATCAAGATGAACAAACAGTGCCTACTAAATAGGTAGATGGTGTTATGTGGTGGGAAGAGGGTTTTGGTGTCAGATCTGGGTTTGACACACAGCTCTTCCGCTTATCAGTCTTGTGGTTTGGGGAAGTTAATCTCCCTGAGCCTCAGTTTCCTCTGCTGCAAGTGGGTATAATAGCTACCCCACTCATTGTTATGAGAATTAAATGTTATGATAACATAGAGCACCTACTATAATATGCCTGTTTCATAGTAGGCAATTCGTAAATAGTAGCTGTTTATTACAGAAATGTGATATTGAGCAGAGCTATTAAAAATATTTTTCTATTTAGCTAATCCAAATTTCTGGTTTCCAGAGCTTTCATACAATCAAGTTTTTGAACGTATTTGGGAAACCATACTCGTATGGAAGCAAAATGGTTACAGTTTTTATCTTTCTTTTTTTTTTTTTTTGAGACGGAGTCTCCCTCTCTCACCCAGGTTGGAGCGCAGTGGCGCAATCTTGGCTCACTGCAAGCTCCGCCTCCTGGGTTCAAGCCATTCTCCTGCCTCAGCCTCCCGAGTAGCTGGGACTACAGGCGCCCACTACCACGCCTGGCTAATTTTTTGTATTTTTAGTAGAGACGGGGTTTCACCGTGTTAGCCAGGATGGTCTTGATCTCCTGACCTTGTGATGCTCCTGTCTCGGCCTCCCAAAGTGCTGTGATTACAGGCGTGAGCCACCGCGCCCGGCCCAGTTTTTATCTTTCAACACCTCTTTGGAGTAAGTTTTTTTTAGTGTTATTTGAAGACTGAAGTCATTTTAGGGGACAGAAAGGCAAGATAGGTTGAGCCTGTCTGATAAAGAGAAGTACCCTGTTTTTCTTCCATACTTTTTTCCCATGTCCCTAGGACCTTTGTAATATACTTGAGAAAACTGTTAATTCACACAAAGACAGTGTCTGTGTACTGTTTTCAAGGGATCAGTAGTACATTTCACCTCTGTGTTCCTATTCTGTGTGTTGTACTACCTTTGGCTAGGAGTGAGGTTCATGTTTACAGTTAGTCATGTATCTTTGTTTAACAAGTTGCAATTCATCTTTTTGGCAGGAAATGGGGGGCTATTTTATAATCAATGGCATTGAAAAAGTCATCCGAATGTTGATTATGCCTCGGAGAAATTTTCCCATTGCAATGATAAGACCAAAATGGAAAACCAGAGGGCCTGGTTATACTCAGTATGGTAAGTTCTGGAGATTATTAGAATATTTTTTAAGGAAAATTTAAAACTTTTTTTTTTTTTGAAGTAGATGCATCCAAATGGTCTTTGATATTTTTGTTTCTTTTTTTTTTTTTTTTTGGTAGGGATGGGGTTTCACCACGTTGCCCAGGCTGATCTCGAACTCTTGGGCTCAAGCAGTCCTTCTGCCTCAGCCTCCCAAAGTGCTGAGATTACATGCATGAGCCACCGTGTCTGGTCTTTCTTTTGTTTTTTGTTGTTTTTCTATTGAGCATTCTTGTGTTAAGTTTTCATAATTGGGATGGAAGAAGAAATGGAGAGATGTTAGTCAGAGGATACAGACTTGCAGTTACAAGATGAATAAGTTCTGGGGATCTGATGTACAGCCTGGTGATGATAGTAATACTGTACTGCTTAAAATTGATGAGTACATTTTAAGTGTCTCAACCACACACGCGTGCACACGTACTACAAATGATAACTATGGTGATTGATGTTTTCATCAGTTTGATTGTGGAAATCATTATAATATATGTATATGTATATTCAAGGTATTGTACACCTTGAATATATATGATTTTTATCAATCATAAGCATTTTAAAATTCACTTTTGCTAACTGAAAGAGCATGTGTATTTTTGTTACTACTTATGAAGATGAAAGCTAGTCTGGCTTGGCCATAAGTGGGTGTGGGTCTTGGCTGTCTTCTGGTTCAGGCTGCTGCACTTTTGCAAACTGAAAGAGCATGTGTATTTTTGTTACTACTTATGAAGATGGAAGCTAGTCTGGCTTGGCCATAGGTGAATGTGGGCCTTGGATGTCTTCTGGTTCAGGCCACTGTGGTACACCCCTCAGGGTCTCTGTCTGACAGCCACCTGGCCTCTGTTGGAACATTCTCTTTGACAATGCCTAAGACAGCATGTTGTATTCTTGAGCAACCCTGACAGTTAAACAATTTGTCCTGATAGTTGAGCTAAAAATCAGACCTTAATTATAGCCATACATACTATACCTAGAAAAACAGCATGCCTGAATGTCTAGTGATTTTCTTTTGCATCAGTTGATGGTAGTATGTCTTAGCAGTCTTTGCCTGAAACTGAAATAAAATCTAAAATTCTACTTTTCTCCATTGGAACTATTAGATCAAGCACCATGTCTTGACCAGACTCCACAGTTTAAGGCAGATATAAAGTGCTAAAAGATGTGGACTCTGTCCTGGAGGGAAACTTTGAAGTTTGCTTAAATTCATAGTTTCGGTTATTTTACATTAGTGTTTCTCAATCTGGGTAGATTTTGCATGCAAGAGGACATTTGCTGAGGTTTAGAAACATTTTTGATTGCCAGTCTTGGCTAAACTTAGTGATTTGGCTTTAATTGTGTCTAAGAGGTTAAGATTGTTCAGAAAGAAAATGGTTGAAGCAATTAAGATATCAATGAGTTTCTGATTTTTTTGTTGTTTGGTTCAATAGGAGTTTCAATGCACTGTGTGAGGGAAGAACATTCCGCTGTCAATATGAACCTCCACTACTTGGAAAATGGCACTGTTATGTTGAACTTTATTTACCGAAAAGAACTGTTCTTTCTTCCTTTGGGATTTGCACTTAAGGTATGACTTAATGAATGCATTCTTTTGTTATGAAGAAATTCACTGGGGGTAGTATCCTGTGCACATTGGATGGATTCTCCTTGTTAAAATAATACTGTACTAGTTGTCTACTGCTCCAAAACAAATTACGTCAAAATTCAATAGCTTAAAACTCAATAACATTTCTGTCTCACAGTTTCTGCGGGTCGGGAGTTTGGGAGTGCTTTGGCTGGGCACTTGTGGCCCAGGGTCTCAGGAGGTTGCATGGAGATGTCAGACAGGACTGCAGTCATTTTCAGGACTTCCAAGGTGGCTCACTCACATGGCTGGCAAATCTGCTGGTTGGTGGCAGGAGGTCTCCTCATGGGGTTGCTCTCTACATGGCCCTTTCTGTAGGCTGCTTGAGGCAACTGTCTTCCTCCATATAGTTAGCTGAGAGAACAGAGAGCAGAAGATGCAGAAGGAAAAAGCTGCAGTGCCCTTTGTGATCTAGCCCTGGGAGTCTCCCATTATCTTTTTCACCACATTCTCTTGGTCAAGCAGGCCAGCCTTGATTCGGCATGGGAGGAAACTACACGTTTGTGAACACCAGGAGATGAGGACCCTGGAGGCAATTGTGCTGTCTGGCTATCATACAAAGAATGCTTTATTTTAGAGAGTTTACTTTGATTCAGCAATAGCAGAGTGCTAATTTTCCTTGGGTATTAAAAAAATGAGAGAAGATAATTATTAGTGAATAGATAAAGTATTTTAGTTATTAGTGAGCAATTAAACCTTTTATTTTCTATTCTAGGCACTTGTCAGCTTTTCTGATTATCAGATCTTTCAGGAGCTCATCAAAGGAAAAGAGGATGATTCTTTCCTTAGGAACTCTGTTTCTCAGATGTTAAGGATTGTAATGGAAGAGGGTTGTTCGACACAAAAACAGGTCCTTAACTACCTAGGTGAATGCTTCAGAGTAAAACTCAATGTTCCTGACTGGTACCCAAATGAGCAAGCTGCGGAGTTCCTGTTTAAGTATGTGTGCTTTGTCTAAACTGTTTTTGGAGGGGCGGAGGGCTGTCAGTGGTTCTTTGTATTGGTTGCAGTTTGGGCGGGCGAGTCATTTGGGAATGAGAATGAATCTTGGGGTAGAATCCTGGTCCTTGCTAGCCGGGGGCTACCTTTGTTTTTGCGGCCCTCCTCACTTGTATTTTTTTAGTAGTCGTGTTTTATTTTATAGTACTTTTTAACTTTTATTTTGAAATAATTTCAGACTTCCAGAATAATGTCCAAATAGTACATTGGATTCTAATTGTGAACATTTCATTCATTTACATTTACTTTTTTACTTTCTGTGTACACAGATGTACATTTTTCTTTCTGTACAATCCCTGAAAGTTGCAGGGATTGTATCACTTTATTTCTCCAAAGCAAGGACTTTGTCTTATATAACCACTGTATAATTACTAAAGAAGCCAGCTCCATACTGGTGCTGTCCAGTGCATAGCCACCAGTCACATGATAAGCACTTCAAATGTGGCCAGTGTAGCTCAAAAACTGAATGCTTAATTTTATTTAATTAAAGTTAAGTAAGCATGAGTTGGGGATCTTGGTTAATAGAATATTAAGTAGTATTACCAACTGAATTGTTTTAAGCTTTTTTTTTTTTCTGTTTTCACAGCCAGTGCATCTGTATCCACTTGAAATCCAATACTGAAAAGTTTTATATGCTTTGTCTCATGACGCGAAAGCTCTTTGCTTTAGCCAAAGGAGAGTGCATGGAGGACAATCCTGATAGTTTGGTGAACCAGGAAGTCCTCACACCGGGTCAGCTCTTCCTTATGTTCCTGAAGGTAAATGCATGCTATGTCCACCCTTGGCCAGTGGTACCACTTGTGGAATGGCGTGACTTTGTCCAGCAGCACTGTTTTCTGCATGTTTATAGTTTCTAGTTTTGGCATTTTGTGTGGTCTCTTTTTTGTTTGTTCATTTAGCAGTAAGGGGATCAGAAATCCTGGCTTACACCAGGTTTGGAAATTTGCTTAATATTTTTATGTAAAGATCACATCAAATCTTGGTCACAGTGTTAATGATAAAAAGCAAATGGCCTGTATTTATACATATGGTTGATCCTCATTATTTGTAGATTCTGTATTTGTGAATTCACTCACTGGCTAAAATTTATTTGTAACCCTAATGTCAGTGCTCAGTGCTTTCATGATTATTCACATACATGAGCAGAGCAGTGAAGAATTTGGGTCTCCTGAGGCAAATGTTACAGCTGAGGCGGGGCAGGGCGATGCTCTGCTTTCCGGTTTCAGCTCATACTATAAAGAGGGTCCTTTTTGAGGTGCATTTGGTGCTATGTTTTTCACATTGTCGTGCTTCTTATTGGTGACTTTTTTGTTTTTTTTTGAGACAGGGTCTCAGCCTCAACCTCCCAGGCTCAAGCAATCCTCCCACCTCAGCCTCCTGAGCAGCTGGGACTATAGACATTCACCACCACACCCGGCTAATTTTTAATTTTTTTTGTAGAAACAGGGTCCCACTATGTTGTACAGGCTGGTCTCAAACTCCTGGGCTCATGTGATCCTCCTGTTTCAGCCTCCCAAAGTGATAGGATTGGAGACATGAGCCACTGAGCCTGGCCAGTTTTTGCTGTTTATAATGGTCCCCAAGCATAGCACTGAAGCGCTGTCTAGTGTTCAGTGTTAATGAATTAACAAGGTATGTTAAATAAGGTGCCTTTCAACAAAAGCTGACATTAAACAAGATTGTATATTGATCCGTTGACCAGAATGTTATGACCAGAGACTTGCAGGAACCCAGCCCTGTATTTTTCCCCAGGAGTAGTGGTTTTATATGTGTTAATTCAGTGTTCATTAGAACATAGCTACTGTGAGTAGTGAAATTTGACTGTAGATGTATATAGAGAGAAAGTTGGCATGGCACAAAAATGATTTCATAAGAATATTGATTCAGTGGCATTTTATATTTTGCATCTTATCCTCAAAAAGATGTAATCTAAGAGTTAATATATTTTTAGTAGAGGTGGGGTTTCACCATTTCAGCCAGGCTGGTCTCGAACTCCTGACCTCAGGTGATCCACCTGCCTCAGCCTCCCAAAGTGCTGGGATTACAGGTGTGAGCCACTGTGCCTGGCTTCTAATTTATTTTATTTTATTTTGAGACAGAGTCTTGCTCTGTCTCCCAGGCTGGAGTGCAGTGCTACGATCTCAGCTCACTGCAACCTCCACCTCCCGGGTTCAAACAATTCTCCTGCCTCAGCCTCCCGGGTATCTAGGATTACAGGCGCGTGCCACCATGCCCGGCGAATTTTTTTATTTTTAGTAGAGACGGGATTTCACCATGTTGGCCAGGCTGGTCTCGAACTCCTGACCTCAAGTGAGCCACCCACCTTGGCCTCCCAAAGTGCTAGGATTACAGGCGTGAGCTACCACACCCGGCCTTCTAATTTCTTATCTAGGTAGTAATTCTTATTTACATTCTTCCCGAAAGGTAATAATCTTTGTTTCTGTTTGCTCTGTCCATAAAATTAGATTGAAAAATTTCAGCAGCCTACAATTTTCCTGACAAAAATTGAAAGCAGGCAGCGTAAGTTTTCTCTTATTAATTTAATGTTATTAAATTAACCTTTCAAGTAAAGGTTAATTTACATTTCCCATCTACTTAAAGTGAAGCATGGTGGGCTCATTGTATTCCACACTTATAAATGTGTCTTTATTCCACATCAATTCCTAATTAGGAAAAAAAAGAAAAGAAAAAGAAATGAGACCAGGAGTACAGTGGCTCATGCCTGTAATCCCAGCACTTTGGGAGGCTGAGGCAGAAGGGTAACTTGAGCCCAAGGAGTTTGAGACCAGCCTGGACAGCACAGAGAGATCGCTACAGAAATAATAAAAACTATTAGCAGTGGCTGGGTGTGGTGGCTCACGCCTATAATCCCAGCACTTTGAGATGCCAAGGTGGGTGGATCTTCTGATCTCAGGAGTTCAAGACTAGCCTGGGCAACATTGCAAAACCCTGTCTCTACAAAAAATATAAAAATTAGCTGGGCATGCTGGCATGCTGCAGCAATTCCAGCTACTCAGGAGGCTGAGGTAGGAGAGTTGCATGAGCCTGGGAGACGGAGGTTACAGTGAGTTGAGATCACGCCACTGCACTCCAGCCTGGGCGACAGAGCAAGACCCTGTCTCCAAAAAAAACCTGTTAGCTGGGCATGGTGGTACATGACTGTGGTCCCAGCCACTTGGGAGGCTGAGGTGGGATCCCTGAGCCCAGGAGGTCAAGGCTGCAATAAGGGGTGATTTTGCCACTGCACTCTAGCCTGGGCAAAAGAGCAAGACCTTATCTCAAAAAGAAAAAAGAAAAAAACACCTGGTGCGGTGGCTCACACCTGTAATCCCAGCACTTTGGGAGGCCGGGGTGGGAGGATCACTTGAGCCCAGGAGTTTGAGATCAATCTGGGCAAACAGCCCAGAGACAAAACTTCGTCTCTACAAATAATTTTAAAAAAATTTAGCCAGGCCTGGTGGGCCACACCTGTGGTCCCAGCTACTCAGCAGGCTGAGGTAAGAGGATTGCCTGAGCCCAGGCGGCGGAGGATGCAGTGTGCTGTGATCACGCCAGTGCACTCCAGCCTAAGTGACAGAGCAAGACCCTGTCTCAACAGAAAAAAGAAATGAGTCTTCTGTAGCAAGGCGTTACTAAGGTGACCTGTGTCAGCAACAAGAGAAACCAAGGGAAAATTGGGGCTTTTTCAGAGAATTCATTGCCGAGTATCTGATTTCCTTACCAGCTACGTTAAAGCTTTTAAACCTTTGAGTTTGGAGCATAAAAACAATCTTCAGAAGATACATAACCATGACATAAGATGAATTATAGACTGTTAAAAATTCACATTGTATTTACATTGAAATAAGCAATATAAAATTGAAAAATAGCAACCATATTTTCTGTATTATTGTAGATTAACCATAAAACACTTCAGTTAGCCTTTCTGGTTTTGATTTTAAACCCAAATAAGGAAGTAGACATAGTTATGAAAAAAAAGGGAGAAGAACACAAACAAATCAGTTGTCAAGATCCAGGGCTTCTTATTCCATCTTGACTGTGAAGATGAAGTGTTCAGTGTACACCTGATAAAAACATTTATGACACAGGAAGATGTAGGCTCAAGAAAGGAATCTAAACAGCAACCAGCAGAGGTGGAGCAGTGATGCCAGGCTCTTCTACTCAAACTTGATTCTCTAGTTTCACTTGATAAAGTCCAAACCTACATTAATACCCTTGTTGGGTGAGCTAACAGCTTCCTTCACTCCCTGGTAATTCCCTTATCTGTACATTACAGATTTTTAGCAGTGTACTTACAAATCCTACTAGTGTGTAGTCAGTTGTGAGATTCATTGTAACATTTTATAAAATATATTCCTTCTTCCCACACCTCTCCAAAATTTATTCCTTCCAAGTACTAAAAATTTAATATTACTGCACCACAGTGATATTAAATGCAGTGTCAGTGCCAGAGAATATGCAGAAATGAAATGTGTCACTTCCAGTGCTGTCTTCTGGAAGAATAGTTAGGTCTTCCAAGTGTGAGTGTTCAAACACTGATAGTTTGAAGAGGTGGATTATCAATAGTCAATGGCTAATGTGTTGACTCAGGGGCCTGCTGGAAAAGGTATACATGAGTGACCTATGTACATCTTCCACGTTTTCTTCCAAATATCAAATATAGGAGAGAACCTATCTCAAACATTCTCTTAGGTATTTTCAGTGGTTTCTGAACCACCCATAGAAAGCGCTGATGGTGTATAGTCTTTTTTTCTTTTATTTTTAGTTGACATGTAATAACTGTACATATTTATCGGGTATACAGTGATTTTTCCATATATGTCAATAATGTATAATGATCAAATCAGAGTAATTAACACATTCATCACCTCAAACATGTATCATTTTTTTGTGTTGTGAACATTCGAAATCCCCTCTTCTAGCTTTTTGAAAATATACAATAAGGCTGGGTGTGGTGGCTCACGCCTGTAATCCCAGCACTTTGGAAGCTGAGGCAAGAGGATTGCTTGAGCCCAGGAGTTTGAGACCAGCCTAGGCAACAAAGTGAGACCCCCATCTCTACAAAAAAAATTTAAAAATTAGCCAGGCATGGTGGCACATACCTATGGTCCCACCTACTTAGGAGGTTAAGGCAGGAGAATCCCTTGAACCCAGGAGGTTGAGGCTGCAGTGAAAAAATATACAACAAATATAGTTAACTGTATTCAACCTACATTGCTGCAGAATACCAGAACTCATTCCTCCAGTCTAGCTGTAATTTTGGAATTGCAGGCTGCTTTAGGCTTTTCACTTAGTGTTGGCAGCATAGATTAAGATGGACTGTGTAGTTCGTGTGATTGGTTTTAGATGTATAACAAGTATAATGGGTGAAGGAGGGCATCACATTGAAGAGCTATCCTTTCTGCACCTGAAAAGCCCTCTTTCAGGTTTTTGGTTTTGATGTATGTTAGTAGACGTTTGTTAAAGATCGTACAGATTACATGGGAATAAATATGAAGTTTGTGATAATTGAAACACATACTATTTTATTTTATTGAGAATAGGGTCTTGCCCTGTTTCCCAGGCTGGAGTGCAGTGGCACAGTCATGGCTCACTGAAGCCTTAGGCTCCTGGACTCAAGCGATCCTTCCGCCTCAGCCTCCCAAGTAGCTGGAACTACAGGCACGCCCCACCCCCTCACCCCACCCCCTCTGGCTAATTTTTTTGTAGACAGGGTTTTGTTTCACCATTTTGCCCAGTCTCATGTTGAACTCTTGGTCTCAAGCGATCCACCCAATCCTGGGATTATAGATGTGAGCCACCACACCTGGCTCACATACTATTTTATATTAATTTTTTTTCCTTATTTCAGGAAAAACTGGAAGGTTGGTTAGTGTCTATTAAAATAGCTTTTGATAAGAAGGCTCAGAAGACCAGTGTTTCCATGAACACTGACAATTTGATGAGGATTTTTACAATGGGCATAGACCTTACAAAACCATTTGAATACCTTTTTGCTACTGGGAATCTGCGTTCTAAAACAGGTAAAATTAAATCGATCGTTTTAGTTATGTTTTTCAAATTAGTTGCTTAGTGTAGATTTGCCTGTCCCTGAGAGTTCTTTTTAAAAGCAAACCCCACGAAAAAAGTAAATTTCTCATAACTATGACTTCGACAACTATTGGTCTAAAGGGCTTTAGACAAGGTGTCTGTATAGCTAAAATTTAATTCAGATAACTGAATACATTTTCTCTGCTTCCTTCTAGAAAATGAAAGGCCACTTAGACCTCTGAGGAAGGCTTACCTAACAGGAACTCTAGATGGGTTGCTGTACATGCCCATCTCTAAACCATTTGCCTTGCCTCAGAGTGACCTGAGAGGCCAGGTGTGGTGGCTCATGCCTGTAATCCCAACACTTTGGGAGACCAAGGTAGGAGGGTCACTTGATCCTAGGAGGTCAAGGCTGCAGTGAGCTGTGATTGCACCACTGTACTCCAGCCTGGTGACAGAGTGAGACCCTGTCTCAACAAAAAAGAGAATGACCCTAGAAACTTAAAAAGTGGTAATTGGGAATTCAGAATTTTTTTTTTTTCTTTTTTGAGTCAGGGTCTCACTCTGTCACCCAGTCTAAAGTGCAGTGGCAGGATCATGGCTCACTGCAGCCTTGACTTCCCAGGCTCAGGTGATCCTCCGACGTCAGCCCCACGAGTAGCTGTGACTACAGGCATAAGCCACAACACCTGGCTAATTTTTGTATTTTTTGTAGAGATGGGGTTTCGCTATGCTGCTGAGGCTGGTCTGGAACTCTTGAGCTCTGGTGAACCACCCACCTTGGCCTCCCAAAGTGCTGGGATTATAGCATGAACCACTGTGCCCCGCCTTTTTTTTTTTTTTTTAAACCCATGTTACTGTTGCCGATTCTTTCATTAGCCTGCTTTCTTGCTTGTCTATTATCTGACTCTCTCAGATGAATTTAACTACTTGCTATTTTATTAACTCATTTAATGTTCACCCACAAAGGAGGTCATAGAGGAGACAGGGAACTAGTTGGGGCTAATACAGTTTGTGAAATCTGGGGATTATTTTACATATTTTTTTGTGAACTCTTTACACTCATCAGAGCTAGGAGAATAAATGTTGTAATAATTCATTCTATGATCTGTAGAGTGCTCTGAGGTTTTGTCGTCATAAAGCCTCAACAATTTCCATTTTTCAAAAGATTGGCCCATTTTTGAATGACTTTTGTTTTATTAAGGTCTTGGCCTCCTACAAGATTCTGGACTTTGTGTTGTGGCTGACAAGCTGAACTTCATACGCTACCTCTCCCATTTCCGCTGCGTGCACAGAGGGGCTGATTTTGCCAAGATGAGGACCACCACAGTACGCAGGCTGCTGCCAGAGTCCTGGGGCTTCCTTTGTCCCGTGCATACCCCAGACGGGGAGCCCTGTGGCCTGATGAACCACCTAACTGCCGTATGTGAGGTTGTCACACAGTTTGTGTATACGGCATCTATTCCAGCTTTACTGTGCAACTTGGGTATGTAGTGTACAGTGATAAACATCTTGTTTGGTTATGTGGGTTTTTTTGTGTTCTTTTTGTTTGTTTGTTTTGAGATGGAGTGTTGCTATGTCGCCCAGGCTGGAGTGCAGTGGCGCGATCTTGGCTCACTGCAAGCTCTGCCTCCTAGGTTCACGCCATTCTCCTGCCTCAGCCTCCCGAGTAGCTGGAACTACAGGCGCCCGCCACCACACCCGGCTAATTTTTTGTATTTTTAGTAGAGACAGGGTTTCACCGTGTTAGCCAGGATGGTCTCGATCTCCTGACCTCGTGATGTGCCTGCCTCGGCCTCCCAAAGTGCTGGGATTACAGTTGTGAGCCACCGCGCCCGGCCAAGGTTACGTGGTTTTTAACCTGTTAAGTTGTGCTGCTTTTGGAGATTCAGCAGAGATTTTCTGTAAGAATTCTTTTTTACTCTTCTGTGCAGGAGTTGGGCTGCTTTCTTGGCTCCTCTGTAGAAGGCCGAATGCATTCTTTGAAAGTGAAAACAGGAGAAACTAAGTGTTATAGGTACTTTGTTTTCTTTGGGAAAAAAAAAAAGATAATGGAAGTGAGGATCGCTTGAGCCCAGGGATTTGAGGCTGCAGTGAGCTGTGATTGTGCCGCTGCTGCACTTTAGACTGGGTGAGAAAGTGAGATCCTATCTCCAAAATGAAAAATAAATGAATAAGAATGATGCCAAAGCATTCGAAATAGACTAGTCATTAATATTGGAAGTATAGAAGCTATTGAGTAGTTTTTTGGGTCATTTCTTTTTGCATCTCTTGGCGGATCTTTGCATTTCTAAATAGAAAACAGTGTTGGTTTGCAGGAGGACAGTTTAAAAGGAGGTTTCCCAGTCTACCCTGATATCATCAGATATATAACCTTTTTTCCTGATAACCTTAAAGCTGCTGTCTCTGTCTCTGCTTGGCTTGATACTTGGTTTGAATTTACTTTCATACCTAAAGATGTCAGCCTTCTCTGCAGTCTTCTAGTCCCAGGGTTCTCCATTTATGATTTGGAGACAGAAATGTTCTGTCTTTGGTGGTCTGTGGACAGGGTCCTCAGTGGGATTAATATGTGTGCAGTAAAACTTCCAGTTCATGGGGATCAGATGATAAGTGTTCTCAGGCAACTAGAAGGGCATTGACTCAAGAAAGTTCTGCTTAAAAGTACTTCTCCCAATTAGAGTGGCCTGGCCGGGCGTGGTGGCCCATGCCTGTAATCCCAGCACTTTGGGAAGCCGAGGTGTGCAGATGACTTGCGGTCAGGAGTTTAAGACCAACCTGGCCAACATGGTGAAACCCCATCTCTACTAAATATACACACACAAAAAAATTAGCTGGGTGTGGTGGCATGTGCCTGTGGTCCCAGCTACTCAGGAAGCTGAGGCAGTAGAATCACTTGAATCCAGGAGGTGGAGGTTGCAGGGAACCAAGATTGCACCACTGCACTCCAGCCTGGGTGACAGAGTGAGACTCCATCTAAAAAAAAAAAAGAGAGAGAGAGTGGCCTGTAAGAAGAGGGCCCTACAGAAAGTAATCAAGAAATACTCAAGATTCAGAAGATGTAATCAGCGTAATTTGAAGGTTTATCCTCTACGAGGAAAAGAATTTTGTTACTCGTGATTCAAAATGTCAAAGTCCAGGAGAGGGTAGAAAGGAGAAAAGAGAAAGTGGAGAGGTAGAAAGTATATCCAACTGCAGAAAAAGAGATGGGGAAGGGTTTTTTGCTCTAGCACTGGAGAAGAAGACGGAATCGCTACCTAACTTTCGATAGAGATGTTCATATTGTGGTGACAGATGAAACACGAGGCAGGTAACTTCTGACACTCTAACAAACACTTGATGTCTTCAGAATGTATTTATGGTTCATGGAAGAGTGTTCTTTTTTTTTTTTACTTAATTTCAGTTGATTCTCATTATTTGTAGTACTCATCTTTAAAGTTACCAGTGAATATTGAACCATTGTGCCTAGGGGAAATACAGGGTAAGGTTCCTTCAAGCCTCGGGTTACAACATTTTTGTTAGCCGATCAATATGTAGCCTTGTTTTTTGTGTGTTTCTGTTGAAAGACACCCTTTAAAAATATATATTGTTCACGTGGTAACATTGAATTCTCAGCCAACAGCAGTGTAATTATAGGCTTATCTAACACACATGTTTTTCTGTTAGGCACATCACACCTTTTTGCATTTATGAACACTAGGCAGCACTTCAGTGCTGCACTCGGAGGCAATTTGTTTTTTCTGTTTGTTTGTTTGTTTGTTTGTTTTGTAGAGATGGGGTCTTGCTATGTTATCCAGGCTGGTCTCGAACTCCTGGCCTCAAGCATTCCTTCTGCCTTGGCCTCCCAAAGTGCTGGGATTGCAGGTGTGAGCCACCATGCGAAGCCTGGAAGCTGTTATTTAAACAGCTTCCAACAAAAAATCACACCAACAAAAAGCACAAAAATGCTGAAAACGTGCCAGTGAACAGACTGGGCAAGGGGCACTTGTTTATAGTATGAGCTGACAAGAAGGCATGGCATCGTCTTGTTTGACTTCAGCTGCGGGGAGCATCTGCATCGGGGGACTCAAAGTTTTTTGCTGCATGTTCTGAAATGACTTTGAAAGCATCCCCAGTATTAATTTTGTGGTTACAGAGATAATGTAGCAAGTAGGCAAATGTGCACATAATGAGGATTAACTGTAATTACATTTTGGGGGTTAATGCATTTAATGCATTTAGGTGGCTTAGAAATAAAAATATTAAGACATACAGTGAAATGCTCCCTCCCATAGGCCCCTGTCCCCTTGCTACTTCTTTCCTGTGTGTCCTTGCTGAAGCAATTTAAACTTCCACAAGCAATACAAAAGCCTTCAGGCTTACCCCGGAGATATTGCAGGTTTGGTTCCAGAGCGCTGCAATAAAGTGAGCCACATGAATTTCTCGGTTTCCCACAGTGCATATGAAAGTTATGTTTACACTATGCTGTAAATATTTCAATTTTAAGAATACTTTATTGCTAAAAAATATTAAATCATCTGACCCTTCAGTAAGTTGTAATCTTTTTGCTGGTGGAAGGTCTTGCCTCAGTGTTGCTGGCTGCTGACTGATCTGGGCGGTGGTTGCTGAAGGTTAGGATGGCTTGTGACAATTTCTTTTTTTTCTTTTTTTTTTTTTTTTTGCGACGGAGTTTCGCTCTTGCCCAGGCTGGAGTGCAGTGGCGCGATCTCGGCTCACCGCAACCTCCACCTCCCAGGTTCAAGTGATTCTCCTGCCTCAGCCTTGCGAGTAGCCGGGACCACAGGCATGCACCATCATGCCCGGATAATTTTTTTTGTATTTTTAGTAGCGACGGGGTTTTTCCATGTTGGTCAGGTTGGTGTCGAACTCTCGACCTCAGGTGATCTGCCTGCCTCGGCCTCCCAAAGTGCTGGGATTACAGGTGTGAGTGACTGCACCCGGCCAGCTTGTGACAATTTCTTTCTTTTTTTTTTTTCTTTTTTTTTTTGAAATGGAGTCTTGCTCTGTCACCCAGGCTGGAGTGCAGTGGCGTGATCTCGGCTCACTGTAAGCTCTGCCTCCCGGGTTCACGCCATTCTCCTGCCTCAGCCTCCCGAGTAGCTGGGACTACAGGCGCCCGCCACCACGCCCGGCTAATTTTTTTGTATTTTTTATAGAGACGGGGTTTCACCGTGTTAGCCAGGATGGTCTCGATCTCCTGACCTCGTGATCTGCCCGCCTCTGCCTCCCAAAGTGCTGGGATTACAGGCGTGAGCCACCACGCCTGGCCTGTGACAATTTCTTAAAATAAAACAAGTTTGCGACACCAATTGCATCTTCCTTTCACAAAAGATTTCTCTGTAGCATGTGATGCTGTTTGATAGCATTTTACCCACAGAGGAGATTATTTCCAAGTTGCAGTCAGTCCCCTCAAACCCTGCCGCTGTTTTATCAACTAAGTTTATGAAATAATCTAAATCCTTTATTGTCATTTCAACAATGTTTACAGCATCTTCTCATTTCTTGAGATCCCATCTCAAGAAACCATTTCTGCTGGGCACAGTGGCTTAGGCCTGTAATTCCAGCACTTTGGGAGGCCAAGGCGAGAGGATTGCTTGAGCCCAGGAGTTCGAGACCAGCCTAGGCAACACAGGGAGACCCTGTCTCTACAAAAAAAAAATTTAAAAATTAGCCAAGCATGATGGCACGCACCTGTCAGCTACTCGGGAGGCTGAGGTGGGAGGACTGCTTGAATCTGGGAGGTTGAGGTTGCAGTGAGCCATGATCATGCCACTGCACTGCAGCCTGAGCGACAGAGCAAGACCCTGTCTCAAAAATAAAACAAACCCATTTTTTTTGCTCATCCTCTAAGAAGCAATTCCTCATCCATTCAGTCTGATTATGGGATTGCAGCAATTCACTCATAGCTTCAGGCTCTACTTCTAATTCTAGTGGTCTTGCTATTTCTACCACATCTACAAGTCCAGTAGTAACATCAGAGATCACTAATCACAGATCACCATAACAGATATAATAATAATAATATTTGAAATATTGCAAGAATTACCAAAATGCCAGCACAGAGACACAAAGGGAACACTTGTCGTTGGAAAAATGGCATTGATAAGCCTGCTTGAAATATCTGAAGTGCAGTTAAAAGAAATAATGCCTGTACCTGTTTTAGAGACAAGGATAATTTGATATCTGAACTGATACAGCAGCTGTTGACCCCATCTGGAGGGAATCTGGAATGTTGGATGAAGCATTCTGATGTGATTGTGCTGTTTGTTTCCTTTACCAGGGGTCACTCCCATTGATGGAGCTCCCCACCGATCATACAGTGAGTGCTACCCTGTCCTGCTGGACGGTGTCATGGTTGGCTGGGTGGATAAGGATCTTGCTCCAGGCATCGCAGATTCTCTTCGTCATTTTAAGGTGGGCTTGAGGCTTTGTGAATTGTCCTATCCCTTGACCTTAGGTTTTTCAGTTCCTTTCTAGTTTTGGGGTTAACCCCTGGGCGGTCTAGAGTGATCAAGTGGTCAGGGGGTCACAATGTCCAGAATGCCTGTGCATTCCCTCTGGTGACAGAGGCTTGCCTTATACTGGCCTCATTGGTTGGGGTCAGTGACAGATATTTGACCCATATACATTCTTTGGCAGTTTCATTGAGGCACCTCAGTCTGCTTATCTAACTAATTTTAACTTTTTTCCCCCTTCTTAATACTAGTGGCATAGAAGGGATCTCAAAATACAGATATTTCAGTAATATTCAAAATATGCAAGGTAGAAGTTATACCCCATTGCCTCCTAGGTTTTGAAAATATATTTTTAAAAAGTAGAATGACATTCTTTGAATAACTTACCTTTGGGATTTCCTCCTAGTGAAGAGTATTTGTTGCTTTGATAATGGCCATTGAAAGAATTATCCTTTGGCAACAGGCTGTTTGTGGTTTATATTCTGTTCTGTGTTTTTATTTTTAAAAAATGTTTAAACTAAATTTTAGTTTTCGTTTAAGTGCTGTTTCGGACACTTGGGTTGTTTCTACCTTTTGGTCATTGCAAATAATGCTGCTATGAACATGAGTGTACAAATATCTATTTAAGTCCTTGTGCTTTTAATTCTTTAATTCTTATATTCCTATAAGTGGAATTGTGGCTCATTTGATATAATTTTACACTTAGAGCAAAGATGTTTAATCAGTACATGGGACCCCCCTGTATACACATTACCCAAATCCACCAGTTGCTATGCTTTGCCCTACATCCTTTATCTTCTGTATACTCAATTTTTTTCTTTTGAACCATTTGAGAGCAGTATTGAGACATTGTCTCATTTTCCATAAAGATTTTAGTGTACTTTTTCTAAGAACAAGGACTTTCTCTTCAATAACCACAGTACATTTATGAAAATCAGAGAAGGTCATGTGGGTGGGATCCATAGTTGATACTCAGATTCCACCAGCTGTCTCAGTAATGCTCTCTTTTTTTTCTTTTCTTTTCTTTTTTTTTTTAGAGAGACGGGTCTCACTCTGTTGCCCAGGCTGGGGTGCAGTGGCACAATCACAGCTCACTGCAGCCTTAGTGTCCCAGGCTTAAGTGATCCTCCCACCTCAGCTTGCCAAGCAGCCTGACCACAGGACTGTACCACTGTGCCCGGCTACCCTGACCCAGTCCTTTGGGTTGTTATGGAGGCTTTATTACATAGGATGACTGATGGAATCATTGGCCACTGGGGATTAGCTTAACCTCCAGCCCCTATCCCCTTCCTGGAGGTTGAGGGTGGGGGTGAAAGTCCCAATCCTCTAATCCTGGCTTGGTCTTTCTGGTGACCAGCCCCATCCTGAAGCCACCTAGATGCTGCCAACCACCAGTCTTTTATTTTTATTTTTTTGAGTCAGAGTCTTGTGCCTCAGCCTCCTGAGTAGCTGAGACTACAGGTGTGTACCACCACGCCCGGCTAATTTTTTTTATTTTTAGTAGAGGTGGGGTTTCACCATTTGGGTCAGTCTGGTCTCCTGACCTTAACTGATCCACCCGCCTTGGCCTCCCGAAGTGCTGGGAATCACAGCTCTCCTGTAATTTAGGTTTATGTTTTGCTTCCTCATGATGAGATTCAAGATATTTCAGGAAGCACATGACGTTGGTTTGTCCTGTTACGACTCATGTTAACTGATCCCTTCAAAGTTGTGTTCTTTAGGTTAATTCACTGTACAGTTTCTGTTTTTCTCTGTAATAAGTAACTTGTGGAGAGATAGTTGAAAGCTATGTGGAGCCCTCTTTCTTCATATTTTCACCCACTAGTTGATGGATTATTAGCTGAATTACTATTCCATTGGTGGTTCTTTGCTGAGTTAATATTACTGTGATGGTTACCACATGGTGTTTTCCCCCACCAGCATTTTTTCTATGTTTATTAGTTGCTATTCTGTAAGGGAGGGCTTTCTTTTCTATTAGTTGTTCATTTATTTATGTTAGCGTAGATTTATAGATGCTTGTTTAATTTTGTGAATATTCTGTTACTACTTATTTTGATGCTCAGAAAGTGTATGAGATTTGATCTAGTGTACAGTTGAGGGTTTTAAGTACATTCATGTTGTGGAGTCATCACCATCTTCAGAACTTTCTCATCATCACAAATTGAAACTCTGTAACCATTAAACAATCATTCCTCTTTTTTTTTTTTTTTGAGGCAGAGTCTCGCTCTGTCGCCCAGGCTGCAGTGCAGTGGTGTGATCTTGGCTCACTGCAGCCTCCGCCTCCCATGTTCAAGCAATTCTCCTGCCTCGGTCTCCCAAGTAGCTGGGATTACAGGTGCACACCACCATGCCTGGGTAATTTTTATATTTTTAGTAGAGATGGGGTTTCTCCATGTTGCCCCGGCTGGTCTCGAACTCCTGACCTCAAATGAGCTACCTGCCTCATTAGTCTCAGATTTTATCTTTTTTATAGAGAATTTATTTTCATTCTCTTTTTTTTGGTTAGCATTGTGGAGCATCGGAGGATGAGGACACTTAAGATCTGCTCTCTTAGTAAATTTCAAGCATGCAATATAGTATTCTTAACTATAGTCACATGCTGTACATGAGATCTCCAGAAACTTAATTTTGTTGCATAACTGAAGCTTTATACTCTTTGACCAACATCTCCCCGTGTCCCCCTCCACCAAACATTCTCTCATTTTTAATGATAATGCATCTAGCTGTGAATCCCCATGAGTTCTGACACATGGGTTTGTTGTTGTTGTTGTTGTTGTTGTTGTTTTCAGGTTTCTGTAATTTAGGTTTTTATTTCTCCTTTCACCCAGGAGTTTGTTGGAGTTTTTTTGTTTTGTTTTTGAGACAGGGTCACTCTGTCACCCAGGCTGGAGTGCAGTGGCATGATCATGGCTCACTGCAGCCTCAACCTCCTGGGCTCAAGTGATCCTCCCACCTCAGCCTCCCGATTAGCTGGGACTACAGGCACGTACCACCACACTCAGGTAATTTTTTAATTTTTGTAGAGACGGGGTTTCATCATGTTGCCCAGGCTGGTCTTGAACCTCTGGGCTCAAGTGATCCACCCACTTTGGCCTCCTAAAGTGCTGGGATTACAGGTATAAGCCACCCCCGGCCCACCCATGAGTTTTTGGTTTATTAAATTTACAAATAAAACCAGTAATCTACTGTATTTTAGATCACAGAGGACAGAATTTCCTTTAGTGTATCGACACGTGCATTCATGGTGTGCTTTATCCTTAGCCTCAGTAGTTAGTGATTTGCCTACTAGCTGGGGTGAGCACCCAAGGAAGTAGGGCTTTTACCATGGCTGAGTGTGGATGAGTGGTATTCCATGGGGCATAAGACTGGCAGCGACAGCCATGGCCTTGGGACAGGTTTGTTAAACTCTGTTTTTGTTAAAAACAGGTGTTGAGAGAGAAAAGAATTCCTCCCTGGATGGAAGTGGTCCTTATACCCATGACAGGAAAACCAAGTCTGTACCCAGGATTGTTCCTTTTTACCACTCCTTGTAGACTGGTACGGCCTGTGCAGAACTTAGCATTGGGCAAAGAAGAGCTAATTGGAACTATGGAACAGGTAAATACATATGTGTGATGGATGAGTGTATGTGCTTGTTTGTATAGTATACAACTTTCAGAGACTTAACTCTTCCTTTTTTAAAAGGGTTGTTAATGTTACAACAACAGTTGGACATTTGAAAGAAAGTCAGACTTTCCACCTCCTCTATGATCAGCACAGAGCAATTTCCATGTCTGATCTCACTCCACAGAACCTGAGAGAGGGCTGGTGGTCACATTACCTGCCTCCCATCTTATCTAGCTCCCAGAACTCCTTTGTACCTGGCTCTGCCTCAGCCGTGAAGTGAAAACATTCCATTAGATTCACACTCAGTCTTTGCCTACATATTTACAGTTGCAAAATTATAGGCTTTGTGCTACTTAAAAATTTTTCTTCCTATTCCCCTTCACAATTGGTCTGGGGTAGTTTTAGAGTGAGATACGTAAAGCAAGTGGTATTTCTAACTGGTCGCTTCCCTGTGCTTCCCAGTTGATCCCTTCAGCACTCATGATGCTGGGTGGGGATGGTTTTCTCTTGAGTCTTTGAGTACTGAACTCTGAGAAATGGTAAGAGTAAATGTGTAACCAGTTGCAGTTATTTTGTGCCTTGGACATCTGCTCTTCCAGATCTTCATGAATGTCGCTATCTTTGAGGATGAAGTTTTTGCTGGAGTTACCACACACCAGGAACTCTTTCCACACAGCCTGCTGAGTGTGATTGCCAACTTCATCCCTTTCTCTGATCACAACCAGAGTCCACGGAACATGTACCAATGCCAGATGGGTAAGGAAGAGGGATGATGTTACAGTCACAATCAGGAAAGTAAACTTGATACTAGCACACTCTTTTATTGTCCTTATTTACATATGCTGACCATTTGTTCCAAAAATACAGTTTATGGCAAGTTTTTCTTTTTTCTGTGCCACAAGCAACCAGCCCAGGATCACTCATTGTATTTAGTTGGCATGTCTATTTAGTTTCCTGTAATTTATGACAGATCTTTAAACATTCTTTGTCTTTGACATTGACATTTTTGAAGAAAAAGGTATAGAATGTCCATAGATTTGGGTGTGCCTGAGGTCTTATTATTTGATTTTTTGAAGAATACAAGCAATTATAGTCACCCGCATATTTATCACTTCCAGTCCTCTTCATTCCTGCTGCAAGATTCAAGTTTTCATTGTATACAATTTTCCTTCAGCCTGATAATCTTCCTTTAGCATTTTTTTATAGTGCAGGTTGCTGGCCACAAATTCTCTTTGTTTTCATTTATCTGAAAATGTCTTTATTTTGCTTCACTTGAAGGAATCTTTCACTGGATATACAATTCTGAGTTGACAGTTATTTTTCTTCCAACACTTAAAAGTTGTTGTTACACTGTCTCTTCTTAGTCTCTGTCATTTCTAGTTAGAAGGCAGCAGTCTTCTGAATATAGTGTGTTTCTTTTTTTTTTTTTTTGAGACAGAGTCTCGCTCTGTCGCCTAGGCTGGAGTGCAGTGGTGTGATCTCGGCTTACTGCAACCTCTGTCTCCTGGGTTCAAGTGATTCTCCTGCTTCAGCCTTCCAAGTAGCTGGGTCTACAGGGACTCACCACCACACCCAGCTAATTTTTGTATTTTTAGTAGAGACGGGGTTTCACCATGTTGGCAAGGCTGGTCTCGAACTCCTGACCTCAGGTGACCTGCCCACTTTGGCCTCCCAAAGTGCTGTATTACAGGCGTGAGCCACTGCGCCCGGCCTCAAATTTTGTTTTTTTTCAGTTTAATTAAATTGCTAAACTCTTCTGTCATTATTTTTAAAAACATTGCTCCTATCCTTTTCTCTCTTTCCTCCTCTTCTATCAGTTATTCATATATTTAAACCTTTTGATATTGTTCCATAAGACATTGAGTTTCTGTTCTCTTTTTTCTTTATTTTCTTCAGATTGGATCTTTTTTTTTTTTTCCCGAGATGGAGTCTCACTTTGTTGCCCAGACTGGAGTGCAGTGGTACAATCTCGGCTCACTGCAACCTCTGCCTCCCATGTTCAATAAATTCTCCTGCCTCAGCCTCCTGAGGAGCTGGGATTACAGGCACACACCACCATGCCCAGCTAATTTTTGTGTTTTAGTAGAGATACGGTTTCACCATGTTGGCCTGGCTGGTCTCAAACTCCTGACCTGAAGTGATCTGCCTGCCTCAGCCTCCCAAAATGCTGGGGTTACAGGTGTGAGCCACTGCACCTGGCCCAGATTGGATTATTTTTATTGACCTATTATCACAGTCACTTTTTATTCTGTCTTCTACTGAATTTTTGCTTACAGTCATGTGCCCTTAACGACAGGGATACCTTCGAAGAAGTGAGTCATATGTGATTTTGTCGTAGTGTGAACATCATAGAGTGAACTTACACAAACCTAGATGGCAGAGACTACTACACACCTAGTATATGGTATAGCCTGTTGCTCCTAGGCTACAAACCTGGGTGGCATGTAACTGTACTGTGTACTGTCTACAGTTGTAAGACAATGGCAAGGATTTGTGTAGCTAAACATAGAAAAGGTACAGTAAAAATATGGGATCACCATAGTATATATGCCATCCTGCATTGACTAAAACATTGTTATGCAGTGCATGCCTGTATTTTTCAAGTCCAGCACTTCTACTTGTTTCTTTTTTTTTTCTTTTTTTTTTTTTTGAGACAGGGTATCGCTCTGTCACCCAGGCTGGAGTGCAGTGGCACGATCTTGGCTCACTGCAACCTCTGCCTCCCCAGTTCAAGCAATTTTCCTGCCTCTACCTCCTGAGTAGCTGAGATTACAGGCATGTGCCACCATGCCCAGCTAATTTTTTGTATTTTTAGTAGAGGCAGGGTTTTATCATGTTGGCCAGGCTGGTCTCAAACTCCTGACCTCAAATGATCTGCCTGCCTCAGCCTCCCAAAGTGCTGGGATTACAGGCATGAGCCATTGCGCCTGGCCTGACTTGTTTCTTTTTTTATAGTTTCTTTCTTCTCTAAGATTTCTTATCTTCATTCATTGTGGGCATGTTTTCCTTTATATTTTGAACATAGTTTTATATGATGGGTGTTGTAAAATCATTATCTGCAGATTCCAATGTCTGGGTCATCTTAGTATCAGTCTCTTTGAGTATAAGTCAAGTTTCACCATTTCTTTGTATGCCCAGTAATATCGGATTGTATTATGAACATTGCGAGGAGTATGTTTTAAACCCTGGATCCTGTTAGGGTCCTCTGAAGAGGATTGGTTTTGTTTGTTTTTAGTGTGGTGTTTGGCCTTCAATTACATTTTAATTTTTTTCATTTTATGTCTTTCCTTCTTAATACACAGTCCATCACCTGGTTCAGTGCATGTCACCAAAAATTCTCCAGGGGAAGAGGATTGGTTTTTAGTTTTCACTGGTACTTAACTTGGTGAACGTGGCAGTTGAAGTACATTCTTCAGCCTTAGGTGGGCTGCTGTGATCTGTCCCATGCATGCATAGTTCAGGAGTCCACCAAAGATTCGGACCCAATTTATATGCTGAATTTAAGGGTCTCCCTTTGTGGTTCTCTCATTTCTGAAATGTTCCCCCTTCCCAATTGTTGTCATGCTCAGAACTCTATTTCTTGGTTCTTCAAGCCAGTAAGATTGTGGGTTTCTATCTAAGTTGTAGCTGCCACACTGGGCCATAAGGCAAAAATAAATACATAAATACTTAAAAACCTGGAAATTCACCCAGTGTGTTCCTTTTGTCCAAGTAAAAATTCTTCTCAGCTTCTGACAGCTTTTGGTTACTCTCCAGTGCTGTATGTGTAGTTGGGGGTCTGCGTCTCATACTTATGTGTTGAGGGTGGTCTAGTAAGAGTAGCCCTTTATTACTGGAAGCTCTAAGTCTATAATTTTTTTAAAAATTTCACTTGTATGTATTTATATTTTAAAATCATTTTGTCGTGAAATGATTCTCTGTACTGTGAGGTAGTACACAGAGGAATCTCACCCCATGCTCCACTACTTAGAATTAAATACATATTCCGCTGTAAGAAAGTAATCTAATTACGTAATAATTCCTATCCCCTTTTCTTCCCCGAGTAGTGATAGCCTGTAATTTGCGTACTTCCTTTCTGTCCCCTTCTAAAGCTTTTATTACATCATACATGTATCCATAAACTAAGTATAGAATTGTTTGGGGTGTGTTGCAAATACACATAAATCGTATCATATTAAATGTCAGTCTGCACTTTCTCCCACTCAGCATGGTTTTCCTGGTCTGGTCACGTTGATACATTTAGGTTTACTTCATTTTCACAGCTTATGTATTAGTCTAAAGTAAGCATAACTACCATGACTATTTATTTGTTCATTTTCCTCTGATGGATATTTAGTTGTTTCCAGTGTTGCGTATCACACCTATAATCAAGATGAAAGCAGCAGAAAATGCTAAGATGTTTTTTCTCCATGTAGGTAAGCAAACTATGGGCTTTCCACTTCTCACTTATCAAGACCGATCGGATAACAAACTGTATCGTCTTCAGACTCCTCAGAGTCCCTTGGTGAGACCCTCCATGTATGATTATTATGACATGGATAACTATCCAATTGGGACCAATGCCATCGTTGCTGTGATTTCTTACACTGGCTATGATATGGAAGATGCCATGGTAAGTTTTACCAGGAAATGTTGTTCCAATCTTTTTATTTTTTAACTTGTTTGTTTACTGTGAAATCACTGAAGGAATATTTTTGTGTACCCAAGTACCTAGTATTTGGCACGTGATGTTCTATTAAATGATTAGTTCTTAGTCTAAGTTGAAAGTGGGCAAGCCTTGAGGAATATCCACTAAATATTCAGATACACGTATGTCTTGCATATTTGAGTGCATATTATGAGTAAATTTTGAAGTTTGGTTTTGGATCTATCTACCTTTTATATTTAAGTATGATTAGATTTTAAGCTATTTCTGTGTGCCTGGGTTTTTGTTTTTCTTGTTTTTTGTTTGTTTGTTTTTTGTTTTTTATTTTTGAGACGGAGTCTCGCTCTGTTGCCCAGGCTGGAGTGCAGTGGCACGATCTTGGCTCACTGCAACCTCCACCTTCTGGGTTCAAGCAGTTCTCCTGCCTCAGCCTCTCGAATAGCTGGGACTACAGGCACCCATCACCATGCCTGGCTAATTTTCGTGTTTTTAGTAGAGATGGGGTTTCACCATGTTGGCCAGGCTGGTCTCGAACTCCTGACCTCAAGTGATCCACCTGCCTTGGCCTCCCAAAGTGCTGGAATTACAGGCGTGAGCCACCGTGCCCAGCCATGTCTGGGTTTTTGTAGTTAGTATCAGTGATTTGGAAAATGTGAGGAAAGTTAAAATGTGATGCCAGTTATCCTAAACCAAGTATGATAGTCCCACCTAGTTTTATTTTGAAAATCCTCAATTGGCCTCAGTCTTTTAACGATTCTTTTACTTCACAGATTGTGAATAAGGCCTCTTGGGAACGAGGCTTTGCCCATGGAAGTGTCTACAAGTCTGAGTTCATAGACCTCTCTGAAAAAATTAAACAAGGAGATAGTAGCCTGGTGTTTGGCATCAAACCTGGTGACCCACGCGTTCTGCAGAAGTTAGATGACGATGGATTGCCGTTTATAGGAGCAAAACTGCAGTACGGAGATCCGTATTACAGCTACCTCAACCTCAACACCGGGGAAAGTTTTGTGATGTACTATAAGTAAGTTTGGGTATCCAAGCTGTTTTGTTTTTGTTTTTGTTTTTGTTTTGAGACAGGGTCTCAGTGTGTCAGCCGGGCTGGAGTGCAGTGGAGTGATCTCAGCTCACTACAACCACCACCTCCCGGGCTCAAGCAATCCTCTCGCCTCAGCCTTTGAGTAGCTGGGACTCCAGGCATGGACCACCATGCCCAGCTAATTTTTTGTATTTTTAGTATAGACGGTTTCACCATGTTGCCCAGGTAGGTCTCGAACTCCTGGGCTCAAGTGATCCACCTGCTTCAGCCTCCCAAAGTGCTAGGATTACAGGCCTGAGCCACCATCCCTGGCCTATTTGTGCTTTTTTTAAAAACTGTATTATCCAAACTTTGTCATCTTTCTCACATACAATGTTAGCAATGTTTCCTAGCCAAAATGTTGAGCTCATACCTCTTATTAGAAATGTCTTATTTTAGCTTATTTTACAATATAATTTATTTCAATAGGCTTTCATAATAATTTTTCAGTTGCTTTTGTTGCTAGTTTTCTTTCAGATGAACATAATTCTGTAGTGAATATCACCAATAGCTCTATTCATACCATCTCTGTTTGTATTGGAGAATAAAGGTAAGAATGAGTTTTGCAGGCCAGGCACAGTAGTTCACACCTGCAATCCCAACACTTTGGGAGACCAAAACAGGAGGATTCCTTAAGCACAGGAGTTCATGATCAGTCTGGGCAATGTAGTGGGGCCCTATCTCTACAAAAAAAATTTAAAGACTAGCCAGGCCTAGTGGCATATACCTGTAGTCCCAGCTACTCAGGAGGCTGAGGTGGGAGGATTGCTTGAACCCGGAAAGTCAAGGCTGCAGTGAGCTGTAATTGCACCACCGCACTCCAGCCTGGGCAACAGAGTGAGACCCTGTATCATAAAAAAAAAAAAAAAAAAAAAAGTTTTACAAATATCCTTTATGAAGCACTAATTATATCAATGAAACTTATCTCCATAAGTTAAAACAAATAGGTTGACCTTATATGGTTTACTTTTTCCTAGGAGTAAAGAAAATTGTGTTGTGGATAACATCAAAGTGTGCAGTAATGACACTGGGAGTGGAAAATTCAAGTGTGTTTGCATCACTATGAGAGTGCCTCGGAACCCAACTATCGGAGATAAATTTGCCAGTCGCCATGGGCAGAAGGGCATTTTAAGCAGATTGTGGCCGGCTGAGGACATGCCTTTTACTGAGAGTGGGATGGTCCCAGACATTCTGTTCAATCCCCATGGTTTTCCATCCCGCATGACCATTGGGATGTTAATTGAGAGTATGGCCGGGAAGTCTGCAGCTTTGCATGGTCTCTGCCATGATGCTACACCCTTCATCTTCTCAGAGGAGAACTCGGCCTTAGAATACTTTGGTGAGATGTTAAAGGCTGCTGGCTACAATTTCTATGGCACCGAGAGGTTATATAGTGGCATCAGTGGGCTAGAACTGGAAGCAGACATCTTCATAGGAGTGGTTTATTATCAGCGCTTACGCCATATGGTCTCAGACAAATTTCAAGTAAGGACAACTGGAGCCCGAGACAGAGTCACCAACCAGCCTATTGGGGGAAGAAATGTCCAGGGTGGAATCCGTTTTGGGGAGATGGAACGGGATGCGCTTTTAGCTCATGGTACATCTTTTCTCCTTCATGACCGCCTCTTCAACTGCTCAGATCGGTCGGTAGCCCATGTGTGTGTGAAGTGTGGCAGTTTACTCTCTCCACTGTTGGAGAAGCCACCCCCTTCTTGGTCTGCCATGCGCAACAGAAAATACAACTGTACTCTGTGTAGTCGCAGTGACACTATCGATACTGTTTCTGTGCCTTATGTTTTTCGGTATTTTGTAGCTGAACTGGCAGCTATGAACATCAAAGTGAAACTGGATGTTGTTTAACTTGATGTTGACCTTTTGGATTAAGAGGACTATCAGATTAAAGCAAAATGTAATTTTAATTCAATGAAGATATCATTACCAGGTTACTCTTGAGATTTTTCAACGGTGTTAGAACTCTCAACCAAGACCTGAAAACCAAGTATGCAAGGTTTCTGAATCTCTCTGGTAGATTAACTATTGACAATGATTTTCTGTTATCTTTGTTCAAAAAGTTCATGTCTTCTCAAAATATGAAATATTGATAAATGGAAGAGCATACGGTGACAAGTCTCCTTTCCAACCCCAGGTTCCCTACACCCTGCTCTCAGCAGGCAGTGAGTGTCACACACCTGTTAATCCATCTTGAGCAGGACAGTACTATACAAATAGAATGCAAGCTGTAATGTAATTTTATATTTTCTTATAGCCACGTTGAAGTAAAAACAAACAGGTACAGTGTTTTTTACCAGCTTTATAGAAGTACAGTTGTTACATATTTAATGAATACAATTTGATGGGTCTGACTATATGCACACACCTTTGATACCATCACCACAATCAGGGTAATAAACATACCTGTCATCTCCACAAGTTTCCTCCTGCCCCTTTGTTTTTTGCTTTTTGGTTGCTGTTGAGTTTTTGTTTTGTCTTCTGTGGTAAGAACACTTAACTCAAGACCTACCCTCTTAACAAATCTTTAAGTGCACGATATAGTATTGTTAATTCCAGGCACCATGTTGTACAACAGATCTTTAGACCTTACTTGTCTTGCATAACTGAAGCTTTATACCTGTTGAACAACTCTCCATTTCCCTGGCCCCTAGCAACCACCCTTCTACCCTGTTTCTATGAGTTTGACTATTACAGATATCTCATATAGTGGGATCATGCAATATTTGTCCTGTGACTGGCTTATTTCACTTAGCATAGTGAAATAAGATTCATCCATTTTGGAAGCCAGGCATGGTGCTGTGCATCTATAGTCCCTGCTATTTGAGAGGCTGAGGTGGGAGGATCATTTGAGTGCAGGAGTTCAAGGACAGCCTGGGTAATATAGGAAGACCCTGTCTTGAAGACCCTGACCTCAAGTGATCCACCCACCTCGGCCTCCGAAAGTGCTAGGATTACAGGTGTGAGCCACTGTGCCTGGCCTCCGGTGAGTATTTTATATTTAGTCTACACTTCCATACTTGGCTTTTTTCTGCTTTTATATTGATCTGCTTTCATAGCAGTGTGTAGAGTGCCACTTATGTTTTCTTTCTTGTGTACAGTATTTTATTGTATGGATTTACCATCCCCTGTGTATTTAAGTTGTTCCATTCTTTGGCCATTATAACTTTTTTCTGCAAATATTCTGGTGACTTATCTTTGGCCATTATAAACTGTTGATAATAGATCATCTTGTATATACTTCTGCAATTATAAGATGTTTTTTGATGATGAAAGCTTTCCTAAGGTAATTCTTTCCTGAGTTTGGTTCAGATGGTCTGTCACTAATTATAAGGCAGATAGGAACAGACAGAAAAATCTATCATTTCAAGATAGGCTTAGCAGGATGGGCGCAGTGGCTCACGCCACTAATCCCAACATTTTAGGAGGCCTAGGCAGGAGCAATCACTTGTGCCTGGGAGTTCTAGACTAGCCTGGGCGAGACTTCATCTCTACAAAAAAAGCAACAACGACAAAAAAAATTAGCCAAGCATAGTGGCACACCCCTGTAGTCCCAGCTACTTGGGAGGCTGAGGTGGGAGGATTGCTTGAACCCAAGAGGTCGAGGCTGCAGTGAGCCAAGATTGTGCCACTGCACTCCAGCCTGGGTGACAGAGCAGGACCCTGTCTCTATTTTATAAATTAAAAAAGGCTGGGTGTGGTGGCTCACACCCATAATCCCAACACTTTGGCTCAGCAGATTGCTTGAACCCAGGAATTCAAGTCCAATCTGGGCAACATGGGGAAACCCCAGCTCTACAAAAAAAATTAGCCTGGTGTGGTGGCACATGCCTGTAGTTCCAGCTACTCAGGAGGCTGAGGTGGGAGAATCTCCTGAGCCTGGAAGGTCCAGGCAGTGAGCCAAGATTGTGCCACCACACTCCAGCCTGGGCGACAGAATGAGACCCTGTCTCAAAAAAAAAAAAAAAAAAAAAGCGGGGAGGCATAAGAAAAAACCAATTTAATAGAAAAGATAGGCTTTGCTTCAGGAAGCTGGTTGAGAAGAAGAAGGAAAAAGTCGATTCTACTGACTGACGTTTCCCCCTGCTGTTAAGAATCCCAACCACACACTTTCACACACTATTCCAGGTTCTGGCTACTGAATGATCCCACAGCTGAGGTCTATTGTCATCGCTCCACTTCTATTTTTAGCAGCACTAAAAACATTCCCAAAAAAAATGTTTTTTAGCTTTTTAACTGTAGATTCACCACTAAGAAATTGGCATTGGAACAGTCCACAGAGCTTATTCAAATTTCACCCATTTTACATGCACTCATTTGTGTTGCATGTGATATATAGTTCTATTTCATTTTATCACCTGTGTAGATGGATGAAAACAGCAACATAAGCAAGATACAGAGCTGTTCCGTCATCACAGAGCTCTGCCATACTATCCTTTTATAGCCATCTCTACCTCTGTCCCCCATTTCTAACCCCTGGAAACCACTAATCTGTTCTTCATAATTTTCTTATTTCAAGAATCTTACGTAAATAGGATCACGAAGTATAACCTTTGAGAATGGCCTTTTCACTCCATTCCCTTGAGATACATCCAGGTAGTTGCATGTATCAATAGTTAATTCCTTTTTATTGCTACACAGTACTCCATAGTATGAATATACTATGTACATAGCATATATATTTATAGTTTAACCATTCACCTTGAACATTTTGGTTGTTTCCAGTTTGGGGGCATTAACAATAAAGCTGATCTGAACAATCAGGTATAATAGTCCCCCTTTATCTTTGAAGATTATATCCCAAGACTCCCAGTGAGTGTCTGAAACCATGGATAGTATATACACTATCCATATGTGCTATATGTACTATATGTCCTCTATATATTTTTTCTATACATACATACCTTTGATGTTTAATTAAGCACTGCAAGAAACTGACAGCAATAAATAGAACAATTATACTGTAATTAAATGAATGTGGCCTCAAAATGTACTGTTCTCACATATTTTCAGACTGTGGGTAACTGAAACTGCATAAAGCAAAACTGGCTGGGTGCGGTGGTGCACACCTGTAATCCCAGGACTTTGGCAGGCTGAGGTGTGCAGATCACTTGAGGTCAGGAGTTTGAGACCAGCCTGGCCATCATGGGGAAACCCCGTCTCTATTAAAAATACAAAAATTAGCTGGGTGTGATGGCACACGCCTGTAATCCCAGCTACTCAGGAGGCTGAGACAGGAGAATCACTTGAACCCAGGAGGCAGAGGTTGCAGTGAGCCAAGATCACGCCACTGCACAGCAACCTGGGCAACAGAGCAAGACTAGAGTCTCAAAAAAAAAAAAAAAAAAAAAAAAAAAAAAAAGGAAAGCAAAATTGTAGATAAGGAGGACTACTATACAGGTTATTGTGTAAACATAAGTTTCATTTCCCTGGGACAAGTGTTCAAGACTGGGATTGCTGGGTCATATGGTAGTTGCATATTTCATTTAATAAACTGCCAAACTTTTCAGAGTGGCTGTGCCATTTTACATTCCTACCAGCAATGTATAAGTGATTCATTTCTTGGCATTCTGACCAACCAGCATTTGGTGATGTCACTTTTTTTTTAAGGCTAGTCAAGTGAAGCAGTGGGAGTGGAAAAAGAACAAATAAATCTGTAAGTGGTTGTGATCAATTTGTTGCAACACCATTGCACTTGGACCAGCCCACTATTTCTTATTTTAGCCATTCTGATAGATGTGTAGTGATATCTCATTGTGGCTTTAATTTGCATTTCTCTAATGGCTGAAAATGTTGAACATCTCTTCATGTGTTTATTTGCCATCTGTGTATCTTCAGTGAAATGTCTGCTGTTCATTTTTTAATTGGATTGTTTGTCTTCTTACTGTTGAATTTCAAGACTTCATTATATATTCCAGATATAAAGCCTTTGTCATACAAGTGCTTTGCAAATATTTTCTCCCAGTTCATAGTTTGTCTTTTCATCCTCTTCACAGGTATTTTGCAGAGAAACAAATTTAAATTTTGATGAAGCCCAATTGACAGGTTTTTGGTGTTGTGTCTAAGAACTCTTCACCTAGCCCAAAGATTTTCTCATATGTTATTTTCTAAAGGTTTTATAGTTTTATGCTTTATATTTAAATCTATGATCCATTTTCCACTTAAGAGTTCATTTTTGTACAAAGTGTAAGGTTTAGATCAAGATTTTTTTTTTTTTTTTTTTTTTTTTTTTTGCCAATAGATATCCAATTGCTCCAGGACTGTTACTTGAAAACGATCCTTTCTCTATTGAATTACTTCTGCACTTCTGTCAAAAATCAGATGGCCATAGGCCGGGTGCACTGGCTCACGCCTGTAATCCCTGCACTTTGAGAAGCTGAAGTGGGATGATTGCTTGAGCCCAGGAGTTTGAGACCAGCCTGGGCAACACAGCCAGACCCCATCTCTACTAAAAAAATTAGCCAGGCATGGTGGTGTGCACCTGTAGTCCCAGCTCCCCAGGAGGCTGAGGTGGGAGTATCGTCTAAGCCTGGGAGTCGAGGCTGCAGTGAGCCGTGATCACGCCACTGCACTCCAGCTGGAGTGACAGGGTTTAAATCAGATGGCCATACTTGTGCGGGGCTAATTTATTTTGTATTATTTCATTTTTATCTCCTTTGTTGGCTTATTAACCCTACCTCCATTTTCATTTTTTGTTGTTTCTCTTAAAATTTCTAGTGTACATCTTTAGACTTGTCACACTTTTATGTAATATTCTACCACTTCACAGGTAGTAGAACAACTTAGCAACAGCACACACTTTCCTGTCTCTTGGCCTTTGTGCTATTTTGTCATAAGAGTTATATTTACTGTATCTGGAGATCTTGATTTCATATGCCAGATTTCCATTTTCCTTCGAACTGAGAGCTTGCTTCAGTGTTTCTGAGCTTACTTAGGTGAGACCAGAGCGGCCATTAGGGCTAATTTTGCCTCACTAGACAGGCAGTATCTTTGAGTAGTTTAGCCAGTGCACAGTGATGGTCTCCACTATGGCTCCGGGGATTGCTCTGCCTGCACCTTCCTGGTAGTTCCCTTGGTTTCCAGGAGTGTGTTCACAGGCATGCTGTGCGCTACACGTGCAGGAAACCCTTTGCAGGTCTGTGCTGCGCTACTCTCTGGTACCCTGCCTTACAAACTAGCTGCCTTGGCCTCTCCAAATTCTCAACTTTGTCCCAACTCAGGGACACCCCTGGGCTATGTAGCCTAGAAACTAACTCTCCAGACATAAGCCGGGCCACTAAGGTCACTTCATTTGTCTCCTTTCTCTTGGGGACCACTGTGCTACAATGCTTGTTTCCAATGTCTGAACTCTGTTGTCTCCTATTTTGTCCAGATTTTTTAGTTGTTGATGTTTGAAGGATAAATCTACTACCTATGACATCACCACACCCGGGTAACTTTTGTACTTTTTGTAGAGACAGAATTTCGCCATGTTGCCCAGGCTGATCTCAAACTCCTGGGCTCAAGCAGTCTGGCCACCTCAGTTTCCCAAAGTGCTGAGATTTATAGGCATGAGCCACTGTACTTGGCCTATGTTTCTAACGCAGAAGCCACCACCGTATGCCACACCTGTGACTCTTTCCCATATTTGTTGTAGTAAAAGGGACTGCAGGCCAGGCGCTGTGGCTCATACCTGTAATCTCAGCACTTTGGGAGGCCGACATGGGCGGATCACGAGGTCAGGACTTTGAGACCAGCCTGGCCAATATGATGGAACCCCGTCTCTACTAAAAATACAAAAATTAGCCTGGCGTGGTGGTGCGCACCTGTAGTCCCAGCTATTTGGGAGGCTGAGGCAGAAGAATCGCTTGAACCCGGGAGGTGGAGGTTGCAGTAAGCCGAGATTGTGCCACTGCATTCCAGCCTGGGTGACAAAGCGAGATGCTGTCTCAAAAAATAAATAAAAATAAATAAATAAATAAAAGAGGCTGCAGTACATGACACACTGGCAGCACCAACTCCTGCCTGGTGGATGACATCTATCTTTAGACATCCCCACTCCAGGGTTGCTGGGGGTCCATCACCATTGTTGACACTTCTTACAGGTTATGATGTTATCATCAGTCCCAGTGCTATCAGTCAACTCTACAATCCTAGGTAGTCGTTGAATCTACAGTTGACCCTTAAACAATGCAGTAGAAAATCCACATATAACTTTTGACTCCCCCAAAACTTAACTATTAATAGCCTACTGTCGATCTGAAGTCTTACTGATGACATAGATGAACACATATTTTGTATGTTATATGCATTATATACTGTATTCTTGCAATAGTAAAGTAGAGAGAAGAAACTGTTATTAAGGAAATCGTAAGGAAGATAAAATATACTATTCATTAAGTGGAAGTGGATCATCATAAAGGCCTTCATCCTTGTCCTTTTCACATTGAGTAGGCTGAGGAGAGGAAGGGGGGTTGGTCTTGCTGTCTCAGAGTGACAGCGGCAGAAGAAAATCTGAGTATAAGTGGACCAGTACAGTTTAAATCCATGTTGTTCAAGGGTGAACTGTAAACTGTTTGATTTAATGGGCAACCCACGCACCCAAGTGGTTATAAGTGGTACTACAAAATGTATTATAAAAATACCGTAGAATTTTTTTTTTTTTTTTGAGACAGAGTCATGCTCTGTCACCCAGGCTGGAGTGCAGTGGTGTGGTCTCGGCTCACTACAACCTCCGCAGCAATTCTCGTGCCTCAACCTCCTGAGTAGCTCCAGGACTACAGGTGCCTGCCACCATCCCTGGCTAATTTTTTGTATTTTTTGTAGAGACACGGTTTCACCATGTTAGCCAGGCTGGTCTCGAACTCCTGACCTCAAGCGATTCGCCCACCTCGACCTCCCAAAGTGCTGGGATTACAGGCGTGAGCCACTGCACCCAGCTGAACACAATCTGTACCTTCCATGTACTGATTTATGTCTTTGTCTGTAACTCCTGTCCACCTAAAATGTACAAAACCAAACTGTAATTCTACTGTCTCAGGCACACTTTCTCAGGACCTCTTGAGCCTGTGTTCCCCAGGCCATGGTCACTCATATTGGCTCAAAATAAATCTCTTTAAAACATTTCAGTTTGGTTTTTCTGTTAACAGGTGGTTAATTTTTCCTAGTTCTTTAATGAGATCCCTAGAAACCGGGTTTAAGACAATTGATTTTTTTTTTTTGCTTTCTCGGTCAGATAATTTCAGAAACTCCCTCCCTGTGCACCTGTGGGCATTCCCACTTCCACACACCAACAAGACAAGGTTAGACAGATCTTCTAAGGCAGCTTCTAAGGCCTTTCAGCATGTCAAAATGCATCTTTGGGGTATCCGTTTCTGAGTACCAACAAGGGAACGGAATGGGTTAAGATTTCATTCTCTCAGTAGAGGAAAATCTAGGGATTCATTCTACATTTGAAGCCAAAAACAGTTATCTGACTCCTTCCAGAGCCTTTAAATGTTGATCCCTTCCCCTCTTCTCCCATCAAACATACACTTGGAAGTTTAAGAAGAATGGAGGGATCTCAAGGTGTAAAGTTTTCTTTCTGTGCGATGACCAGTGCTGGTCCTCGGATGTCAACTGCCAACCAGGGTAGCTCATGGTTACAACCTCCCGTACAGCTCTCACTTATCCAGAACTACTGAGGCTCCAAGCTCAGTATCAAACTGTTCACTTGCACTATGTCCTCTATGATGTCACTGTCATCATCATTTTACAGACACACTGCGACTCCAAGTGGTCGTTACTAGTTCACAATCAAGTAGCTCTCGTTCATCTTCTCGTTCATCTTCAACTCTATGATTAACTGCAAAATGTTCTGCTCATTTTGACTAGAGTCTTGAAAGATCTGCAAACGAAACGGCAGGACTGATGCTCAGTTCTCTGACCAGGGGATATCCAGTCTCTTATGTGGGGAAACTCACGCCCAGGTCTAACCTCACACTTTTAAGACAGATGAGAAGGAAGGGGGAAATGTTGCTACATTAGGAGGAATTAATTACAAAGAGAGGAAGTAACTAGCTTGATAGTCTCATGGAGTCAGGATTAAACGCCATGTCTGTCCTGGCGTACGCTAAGGGATGGGGAAACGTCTGGGTCCCAGGCTGGGTAAATGGCAGGCCCAAGCCGAATTAGTTCGGCTCTTGGTTTGACTCCCTCTTCCCTCCTGTTCCAAGCGCTCGCATGAACCTGGGTGCCAGGGGGATTATCAGCGTCTGCGCAAGGCCGATGGTGGCAGCGCGGCGTTAGGAATCAGGCCCCCTATCCCTGAGCCCAACAGCCTACCGCTACAGCACCCAACGAAAATGGGAACAACATGTTGAGACGCTGCAGCAACAGCAGGCGCTTCCCACCAGCTACAGTCGGAGATTTGGAGCGCTTGTGTCTGAGGCTCAATCCCGTCAGGTGCCGCGCAACTCAGCGGCGCATTCTCTTTGGACCCGAGGCACCACCATACTTTCCATTGCTTACTTCCGTTAAACCCCGAGCGCTGCCATGGCAAGCCGGAAATAGGGATGAAGCAATTTAGCCAGAAGAGGGCGGAAGTGGCTACTCAGGGCGCCGCCATGACGAGCCGGGCCGGAAGAAGAGGTAGGGCGCCGCCGTGACAGATTAGTCCTAAAGGGAACGGGGTTGTTAGTTCAATTGGCTACCGGAAAAAACCAGGCTGGGCTGGGCGCCGCCATGACAACCGATACCGGAAAAGGCGGGTCGTTCCCCCCGGACAGCCCTACGCCGGCAAAGGTCTCGAGATGTGAGTAGTGAGAGCGCCTACCCCATACGTGCTGCCGCTCCCCTTCTTTTACCCAGTGATCTAGACCTAGTCTAGGACCTCGGGAACTAGGACCAGCCTCCCTCCTTCTTGGAGATCTGACCCTCAGGATTCAGCGCCTTCGCTCACGAGCTCCAACCCTCCGCATGCCCAAGCCCCGCCCTCTAAGCGTTTAGGCCTCGCCCCCTCTCGCGCTGCTTAGGACTTCGGTCCAGTCACTCTTCACCCAATCTCTGCCCCCAGTACCCCAGGTCCGGCCTTCACACTGAAATCCTAAGACTACAGACTTATTTAGGGACCTCTATGACTCCTACACCCATCCTCAGAGCTCCAGGTTCCTCCCCCTTGATCACCAAACTTTACCTTTTGAACCTTCCAGATCTGCCTGGGACCCCAGTCCTCACCTATAGGGTCCACAGACTTGTTCCTAGACCACTCTGACCTTGCCCAGGATTCCCAGAGCACCAACCTCATCCAGGGCTTCCAGACTTCACGCCCCTGGGACCTTGAGTCCCGCACCAGGGCCTTAGGTTTCATCTTGAAGACTCTTTGGCTAAGACACTCTTCCCCAGGACCTGAGACCCCACCTCTTGGAGCTCTAAACCTCACTTTTAGAACCCCCAAACCCATTAAGGGCTCTCAAGCTCTCCCTGGAATTCTAGATCTTTCTTCTAAGGCCCCAAGTCTTCTGTGCATGATCCCCAGGCCTACTGGGGGATGCCTGGATTTCAAGGCCTGTCTTCTAGGACCCTGAAGGCCTACCTTACATTAATCAGACTTTGTTTTAGAACCTCCACTCTCTCCCCAGAAGCTCCCCTCCTGCTTTACAAGCCCCAGGGCTGGGCCTCACCTCTCCACTTCTTTGGCACCATCTCAGGATCCTTCAGATTCCCACATCTGCCCTGAACTCCTAGTCCTACTTCAGACCCAGACCAGAACTCCCTTTCTTTGCGGAGCACCATAGCTTATGCCTGTAATCCTAGCACTTTGGGAGGTCTAAGCAGGGGGATCGCTTGAGCCCAGGGGTTCAATACCAGCCTCGGCAACATAGCAAGACCCTGTCTCTACAAAACATAAAAAATTAGCTGGGCATGGTGGCTCATGCCTGTGGTCCCAGCTACTTAGGAGGTTGGGGCAGGAAGATCACTTGAATCCAGGAGTTGGTGGCTACAGTGAGCTATGATCGTGCCACTGCACTCCAGCCTGGGCCACAGTGAGACCCTGTCTCTAAAAAATAAAAAAAAAAAAAAGAATTCCCTTGCTTGCCTACTGCCTGGAATGATCCTCAGCCCATCCTGTCCCACAGGCAGGCGGCCCTAGAGGTCACCGCTCGCTACTGTGGCCGGGAGCTGGAGCAGTATGGCCAGTGTGTGGCGGCCAAGCCGGAATCCTGGCAGCGGGACTGTCACTACCTTAAGATGAGCATTGCCCAGTGCACATCCTCCCAGTGAGTGCGGGCAAGTATGAGACAGTGTGGGGGGTGGGCAGTGGGGTGGGAATCTCCCAGGGGCTGAACTGCCCTACCCCCACAGCCCAATCATCCGCCAGATCCGCCAGGCCTGTGCTCAGCCTTTTGAGGCCTTCGAGGAGTGTCTTCGACAGAACGAGGCAGCTGTGGGCAACTGTGCAGAGCATATGCGCCGCTTCCTGCAGTGCGCTGAGCAGGTGCAGCCGCCACGCTCACCTGCAACTGTGGAGGTAAGAGGGGCTCACCTCAGTTCATCTCTTTTCTCCATAACATCCCCTTCATCCTTCTGGTTGTTCAGGGTAAAGACTTTGGAGTCATCCTCAGCCCCACCCCATCACCACACAGGCCTTTGCCATGCATCCAGAATCCAGAACATCATCACTTCTTGCCCCATATAGCCCCTGCTTTAATCCACCACCACCCTCACCCTCCACCTCCAGGATACCTGCCCCAGCCTTCTCCCTGGTCTCCCTTCCTCCCTCTTTTCTTGCCTCCATAAAGCGGCCTGGGTGAGCATGTAAGGACTGAAATCTGGTCTCATCACACCTATGCTTAAAGCTCTCCAGTGGCTTTGTGTCACATTGAGAACAAAAGTCCAGGTCCTTGCTGGGTTCTCTGTGTTCTTCCCTAGGCTGACTTCATCTGCCTCCTGCCTCACCCTCTCTCTTCTTTCTCACTACTCCTCATCTGCAACTGCAGAGGGGCTGGGCTGGGGTGGCCAAAAAAAGGTCACTCTTTTAAATGTATCTAATATGTAAACCAGATATACAGTATATCTGTGATATGTAAGTTTCATGGTTGGGCAATTAGAACAAAAGTCTAAAATGACTCCTTGAGGAGAGGCAGTAACGGAAAAAGGTTGAAAAATGCTCTTTTAGATGTTTACTACCCTCCTCACTGGACTGTGAGCTCCAAAGGTGAAAGTCACATCTTTCCCCAGCCCCTGTGAGTACCCTCTCCTGGGGCCCTCTCTCTGCCCCTGCAGCCCTGGCTTCTCTCTTGGGCCACCTGGCCATCCTTCTCCTGGGCCCCATGCTCCATCTTGACTTTCCAGTCATTCTTGGTGATCATCCTAGACTGATCTCAGAGGAAATCTGACCATGTTCTGCTTCTACTTACAAACCTTTCCATGGTTCTCAATTCCACCAGCCCAAGTCTTAATGCCAGCACAGCCCACAGGGCCCTGTGGGATGCAGTCCCTGCGACCCGTGGTCCCACCTCTCCTCTCTTTCCCCCTTAAGCTCTATGTTCCAGCCCCAGTGAACATGCAGTTACTCAAGTGCACGTCTCCGCTGCTTTTGTCCAGCTGTTTCCCTCTGCTGGGACTGCCCTTCCTAATCCATCTCCTGGCTAATTCCTATTCCAGCTTAGACGGCACGTCTCTCAGAAAACCTCCCTGATGTCCCACCCACTTCCCGCCCCTGTCTTCAAGTTCCCAAGGTCCCTGAGCCCCTCCATCAAGGCTCACATCCTATGCCTGTGTCAAGGGAGCTCTTGGCTGAAGATTGGGGTGATGCCCTTCTTACCAGGCCCTATAGGCATTAATTGTTTCTGTAAGGCAAGGATAAGTGAATAGTTCAGACCCCTAGGGCAGAAACTACGACCCCTGAGAGCCGGAAGGAACTTAATTCTCCTCAGGAAACGTTACCTAACGATCACATACTGTTCTCAGTCAGCTGCTGGGGACATTTCTGTCTTTCAAGTTTTTTGGGCATCTGAACAGTAAAGACCCCATCCTCCTATCTTAGAGCCATTTGCTGCTTCCCTCCCTGGACCAGCAACCAGCCTCTCTCTGGTCTCCTTGTGGCCACCCCTGCCCTGACAGTCTTCTCTTCCCTGGCAGCCAAAGAAGCTTTTAAAAATGGGAATTAGGGCCGGGTGCGGTGGCACATGCCTGTAATCCCAGCACTTGGGGAGGCCGAGGTGGGTGGATCACCTGAGGTCAGGAGTTTGAGACCAGCCTGGCCAACATGGTGAAACCCCATCTCTACTAAAAATACAAATATTAGCCAGGTGTGGTGGCAGGTACCTGTAATCCCAGCTACTTGGGAGGCTGAGGCAGGAGAATTGCTTGAACCCAGGAGGCAGAGGTTGCAGTGAGCCAAGATTGCACCATTGCACTCTAGCCTGGGCGATAGAGCGAGACTCTGTCTTCCAAAAAAAAAAAAAAAAGGGAATTAGGTCACATCTCCTCATCATCCCCTCCTTCCTGGGGATGGCATCCCAGTTACAGTTTTTCCTTCCTAGCTAGGGGCAGTGAGATTTGTTGTCTGGTCTACACAATAGCGAACACAAACATTCTCATCTCCTGCAGCATGGCATACAGACTTTACAGAATGTCCTGTGTTTTTGTGGCTGACAATCAAAGTGGTACATGTCCCTCCCATTCCGCACACACCTCTGCTCTTTACCCTGATTAAATTTTCTTCATCGAATTTCTTGGATGTTGACATATTTATTGTCCGTCTCTCCCTGCTTGAGTCAGAGAGTTTTGCCTGCTGGGTACACGGCAGGTGCTCAGTAAATATAGCAGAATGGCGCGTTCCCTGCCTCCCATGACACTTCACCACAGCTGACTTTTTCACATGGCTCAGGGCCAAGGTCATTGCCCAACACCCTTCTCCCTCCAGACTGTGGGCTCTGCAGGGTCTCCCTCTGTGGTGTCTACATAGGCTCCCCAGGCTGGGCACAGAGGAGGTGCTACTAGATGTTGATGTACTTTCTCCACAGGCACAGCCACTTCCTGCCTCCTGAGGACTCCTCTGACGGCAGGAAAACTGGACATGAATGACTGCCCCCACGCCCCTCCCCTGCAGAGTGGCCAGATGGAGTCCTGAGCCCTGGACATGGGCCCGGCTTTCCTGGATATCAGGACTTCCAATAAATAAAGACTCTGTATACTGGGCTTTGATTCCTGCCATCCGTACCTGAGAGGGTCCTAGGAGAGCTGGCTGGGCAGAGTCATCTGTTCCCCAGCTTCACCGGGTGTGCCAAGGAAGTGCCTGGGAAGAACAGGACTCTGCAGCTGTGCCCCAGGGTTGAGACTACCCTGCCTCCCTTGTGAACTCTGCCACACAGCCATTTCCTGACTTCTGCTGCATGTGCCTGGGGTAAAGACCCTCAATCCCTTCCACTCTAGCATTCCCCAAATTGTTATTTTTTTTTAATATATATATTTTTTATTTTATTTTTATTTTTATTTTTTTTTGAGACAGAGTCTCGCTGTCGCCCAGGTTGGAGTGCAGTGGCACGATCTCGGCTCACTGTAGGCTCCGCCCCCCGGGGTTCGTGCCATTCTCCTGCCTCAGCCTCCCTAGTAGCTGGGACTACAGGCGCCCGCCACCTCGCCTGGCTAATTTTTTTTTTTTTTTTTTTTAGTAGAGACAGGGTTTCACCGTGTTAGCCAGGATGGTCTCGATCTCCTGACCTCGTGATCTGCCCACCTCGGCCTCCCAAATTGCTGGGATTACAGGCGTGAGCCACCACGCGCAGCCTATATATATATTTTAAAGACAACGTCTTGCTCTGTTGCCCAGGCTGGAGTACAGTGGTGCGATAATAGCTTACTGCAGCCTCGAACTCCTGGGCTCCAGTGATCCTCTGCCTCAGCCTCCACAGTAGCTAGCACTACCGTAAGCACTTGACACAGTGCCTGGCTGCATTCTCCAAATCTGTTTTCAGTTTTCTGGAGGCTTGGGGGGTGATAAATAATATGCGTCTTTCCCTGCTGAATTCAGAATCAACTGGGCAACAGAGGCATTAGGCAATGGAGATGAAAATACTGGCTTTATTATTGAAAACAACCACATGGAAGGATGTATGGCTTAGAAGGCCATGTACTGGATTTCTTTTCTTTCTTTCTTCTTTTTTTTTTTTTTTTTTCAAGACGGAGTTTCACTCTTGTTGCCCAGGCTGGAGTGCAATGGCGTGATCTCGGCTCACTGCAACCTCTGCCTCCTGAGTTCAAGCAATTCTCCTGCCTCAGCCTCCTGAGTAGCTGGGATTACAGATATCCGCCACCATGCCTGGCTAATTTTTGTATTTCTAGTAGAGATGGGGTTTCACCATGTTGGTCAGGCTGGTCTCAAACTCCTGACCTCAGGTGATCTGCCCGCCTCAGCCTCCCGAAGTGCTGGGATTACAGGCACCGGCCGCCATGCCCGGCTAATTTTTGTATTTCTAGTAGAGACGGGGTTTCACCATGTTGGTCAGGCTGGTCTGTAACTCCTGACCTCAGGTGATCTGCCCACCTCAGCCTCCCAAAGTGCTGGGATTATAGGTGTGAGCCACCGCTTCTGGTCTATGCACTGGATTTCTGTTCTTAGTTTCCAGTTTTCCAGAAGCCAACTCAGAATTTGAGTGCAGATGGTAATTTGAATTTGATTCCAGAAACACTGATAGAGGAATGGAGAAGGGAGACAATAGAGAGGAAGGCAGCCAATAAAAGGTGCATTATCAAGCGAGTTACCACTCTGGGCAACTGGGACTCAGTCCCACTGGGGACCTGTGGGGGACTTTATAGAACATAACCCAGTTACCCTATCAAGGAGCAAGGGAATTGTGTTATCTACCAACTTCCCATCTGTCATTAAGGGGTATTTTCATGGGCATTGACTGGTACTTCTGGCCTGCCCTTTATAGGCCAAGTTCACTTCTGCCATCAGAAGAGGGCCGTAAGCAGAGTATAATGGGATCAAGTGAGCAGCCTTAAACCTGCGGAAGAGATGCTGAGTGGATCTGGGCAGGTACCAACAGTGGCTGCTGTGGCTTCTTCATGCTTCTCAGGAATACAGGCTCCTGCTGTTTGATACAGGCTCCCCAGTAGGGACTGGTCCTAAAGAATAGAAAGCAGACAGGCGTGTATGCAATAGAGGAGGAGACCCCAGAGTGCTGAGCTGAGCATGCCCATGGCCTGCACCCACATTCACCATTCAGACGAGGCCCTCCTCCCTGGAGGTGATCCCAAACCTCTGGAAATTGGAGTAACTGGCCATTTGATACCCAAGGATTATGCTCGGCTTGGAAGAATGAGCCTGGCCTATGGGAGTCTCTCCTAGGGATTAATCTCCAAGACAAAGGAAGTTGTTCATTGGTTTAGGAGCCGGGTAGAAATCCTGTAAGTTCAGGGTTGCAAGATTTTATACCATTTGTCTGAGCTAGGAGGAAACCCAGGTAGTGGAGAGAGAATTGTGATCAGTTCCTGTAACCTGCCACAATCCCTGGTGGACTGAAGAAAGGGTGGCGAATGCAGGAATAAAAGACAAGAGACAAAAGAGTATATTTGGAAGAAGGGGTCAGGGGGCACCTTGCCTCTAGTGGACAAGGGCCCTGAGCTTTACACAGCTTTCTGTATTTATTAGGCAAAAGAGATAGCGAGAAGGCAGGTAGAAGAAGAGGTCAGCTTGTCCAGAGTAGGCTTGCAAGACTGCATTCCCTAGATGTCGCAGTAGATAACCTCAAGGAGCTCGGCGCCAGGAAGCGACTGCCCTCATCAAACCTTCTGGGGCAGGCACAGAAGTGAGTTTGTCCACATTCTGTATTAATGGTAAACAGTTTGCTGTTTGATCATATAGCCCCAGTGGAATGCTGAGTTGGTCACATCCCACAGGCCTTTGGCTCCCTGCAAGTTCCTGTCCCTGAAAGGGTCTGGATCCTGGTGGCTTTTTGTTTCCATCTCTAGTTTCCATGGGCTGTGGTGGATGTTTTCAGCCCACTCCACTTGCTTGAGTAAGCTTGAGTGGGGTTCTATGCCATGCAACTAAAAGAAGTGTGATTAAAACAGACAAAATGGAGATCCAGACTACACTTTAGAACATCTCTATGTGTCCTGTCTTACAATAGGCTAGACTAGCTTCTTTATATGATGGTCTCAGGGGTCCAAGAGAGTGAAAATGGAAACTTCAGACATCACTTTTACCACATTCTATTGGTCAAAGCAGTCATGAGCCCAGCTGAGATTAAAGAGATGGGGAGACTTTACTTCTTGATAGCATTTGGCTGCAAAAAAATTGTGCCTATATTTAAATTACTGCAACAACTTCATAGTGTTTCTTCTTGTGTCAGTTTTGATATTTGAAGGTGGGGGTCTTTGGGAGGTAATTAAGATTAGACAAGGTCATCAGGGTGGGGCCACCATGATGGGACTGGTGGTTTTATAAGAAAAGGAAAAAAGACCTGAACTGGTCTGCTCTTGCCCTTTCACCATGTGACGCTCTCTGCCATGTTATGATGTGGCACGAAGGCCCTCACCAGATGCAGGCACCGTGCTCTTGGACTTCCCACTCTCCAGAACTATAAGGAATAATTTTCTTTTTCTTAAATTACCCTGTCTATTGTATTCTGTTATAGCAACAGAAAATAGACTAAAACAAACATCTACATTTTCAAATTGCCATCAACTTGTTAATAATATCCTCATAGTATATTTTTAAGGTTTGTAGAATCTGTAGTGATAACCCCCTTTTCATTTCTGACATTGGTTATTGGTATGCTCTTCCTTTTTTTTTAATCGATTTTGAGAGAGGGTTATCAATTTTGTTAATCTTCACAGAAATTACTTTTGGCTTTGTTGACACTTTATTTTGTACATTTGTTTTTAACTAGTTCTCTTCTCACTCTGTTGCCCAGGCTAGAGTGCTGTAGCGTGATCTTGGCTCACTGCAACCTCCGTCTTCCAGGTTCAAGCGATTCTCCTGCCTCAGCCTCCTGAGTAGCTGGGATTACAGGTGCCCACCACCACACTCAGCTAATTTTTGTATTTTTAGTAGAGACAGGGTTTCACCATGTTGGCCAGGCTGGTCTCGAACTCCTGACCTCGTGTTCCACCCACCTTGGCCTCCCAAAGTGCTGGAATTACAGGCGTGAGCCACCACGTCCAGCTAGTTCTCTTATTTTCTTCTTTCTTTAGATTTAATTGTCTGTTTCTACCTTTTTGAAATGAATGTTTAGCTCACTGGTTTTCAGCCTTTTTTCTTTTTTTGTTTTTGTTTTTTTGTTTTTTTTGAGACAGAGTTGTGCTCTGTTGCCCAGGCTAGAGTGCAGTGGCGTGATCTTGGCTCACTGTAACCTCTGCCTCCCGGGTTCATGCCGTTCTCCTGCCTCAGCCTCCCGAGTAGCTGGGATTACAGGCGCCCGCCACCACGCCCGGCTAATTTTTTGTATTTTTAGTAGAGACGGGGTTTCACCATGTTAGCCAGGATGGTCTCGATCTCCTGACCTCATGATCCACCCGCCTCAGCCTCTCAAAATGCTGGGATTACAGGCGTGAGCCACCGTGTCCGGCTTTCTTTTCTAATACACTTAAATTTGCCACAAAGCGTGACTTTGTTTTTTTTTTTTTCAAGATATATAATTTGACTTGTCCCATAACTGTGAAGAAATAACAAATCATTCTTCAAAATAGAAGATAAAATAACTATAATAACAACAAAAACCCATGAATGCATTGTTGTAACTTAGCCAATAGTCACGTTTCCTTCTTGCCATCTCTGCCTATAGTAGTCCTGCTCCTTGGATGTCTTTGTCTTTCAATCCTCCTTTTGTTCCTTATTTTCCCTTCTCTACTCTCTTTTGATTTCTCCATTGACCTCAGATTGTTTAGAAGTTTAGAGTCGTATTTCTTAATTTCTAAACATAAGGAGGTTTTTTTTTTTTAGGTATCTTGCTTAATTGCAATTGGGTTGGGAACATTTTATATGATTTTAATCTTTTGAAATGTGTCGAGCCTTTATGGCTTGGCATATGCTCAGCTTTTGTTAATGTGCCATATGTGCTTGAATCATAATCCTTGGTTCATGATGCACCGTCTTAGCTCAGGTTCCCCCAGAAACAGACCCTGGGACAGAGAATTAGAGGTTGATCCCAGTAAGCATTACTAGGGCAGTGGGAAGTGAGACAGGGACAGTCGTCTTGAGTACAATTTTCTATACTGTTTTAACAACTGTCAGAATAATTTTTTAATGGCCCTCCACATTTCTACTCTTCTTTCATCTTTACATGGACTCTGCAGGTTTCCTCCTAGCTCTCTGGCTATGCCACCACCTTCTCCCACCCAGCCGTGACATAATGATTTTCTTCAAGGCTTACACCAGGCCTCTTCTTATTCTCTCCTCTGTGCAGTGATCTCCTTCCTAGAGAATATCAGATAAGTCATTGGTTCACAGATGGTTATCTCCAGCCCTGGCTTCTGCCTTGGGCTTCCACCTGCTGCCATGGACCTTCATATAGATGTCTCAAAGGGAGCACTAAGTCCCAATGTGTCCGGAATTGCAGCAGGCATTATTTTCCCCAGCTTGTCATTCTCACCACCATTTCTTTGCACTCTGCCCCTGCAGAAGGTTTGGTATTGTTATTGTTGTTGCTGTTCTTTTTCTTAGAAGGCCTCACTCCATCTTAAGCCTGGATTTACAATTCCCCTTTTCATTTTTTTTTAATTTTTGTTTTATAGTTTGGGTATACAGTTCCCCTTTTGTTCATTTTATTTATTTGTTTGTTTATTTATTTATGAGATGGGGTCTCACTCTGTTGACCAGGCTGGAGTGCAGTGATGTGATCTCGGCTCACTGCCACCTCCACCTCCTGGGCTCAGATGATCCTCCCACCTCAGCCTCCTGAGTAGATGAGACTACAGGCACGCATGCCCAGCTAATTTTTGTCTTTTTAGTAGAGATGGGGTTTCACCATATTGTCCAGGCTGTTCTCTAACTCCTGAGCTCAAGAAATCTGCCTGCCTTGGCCTCCCAAAGTGCTGGGATTACAGGAGTGAACCACCATGCCCAGCCCCTTTTGTTTATTTTAAAGCTGAAATGAGGACTCAGTTAATTTTGTTGTAGTCTTGTCTGGTGAGGGGCGATTCTTCACCCTTGCTGCCGTCCCTCACACTCTTCCTATTTTCTAAATATGCAGTCAGTCATTTAGATCACATCACCTGTATGAATAAAAGCCTTTCATGTCGGCTGCATTCTTCAGGCTTCTAACTTCTTGCAATTCATCAGTTACGTCTAGTTACATCTGTGGATTCCTGCACCATTGCAGATGCAAAGCAGGAGAAAAGAAGGGTTTTCTTTTCATCTTTTTTTTTTTTTTTTTCTGAGACAGAATCACTCTATGGCCCAGGCTGGAGTGCAATGGCATGGTCTTGGCTCACTGCGAGGACCGTCTCCCGGGTTCAAGCATTACTCCTGCCTCAACCTCCTGAGTAGCTGGGATTATAGACATGCACCGCCACACCCAGCTAATTTTTTTGTATTTTTAGTAGAGATGGGGTTTCAATATGTTGGCCAGGCTGGTCTAGAACTCCTAACCTCAAGTGATCTGCCCTCGTCTGCCTCCCAAAGTGCTGGGATTCCAGGCGTGAGCCACCACACCCTGCCTTCATTTTTGTTTTGAAGGAATTACCTCCTACCCCTTAAGTCCTGCAGTCCCTGAACTTGACCTTATCTGCAGCAAAGATGAGAAAGGGGGAAGGTATGATAAAAGGAGAAAACACTTGCCAATGTTTTCTAAATTAACCCCTGACATTAAAATTTAACATTTTCTGCACTTCCTGATCACAGTCCTGTCTTTTACTCAGTTGTGGGCGTGCACTTTTTTTTTTTTTTGAGGTGGAGTCTCATTCTGTTGCCCAGGCTGGAGTGCAGTGGCGCAATCTCAGCTCACTGCAACCTCCACCTCCCGAGTTCAAGCGATTCTCCTGCCTCAGCCTCCTGAGTAGCTAGGACCACAGGCACGCGCCACCACGCCCAGCTAATTTTTGTATTTTTAGTACAGATGGGGTTTCACCATGTTGGCCAGGATGGTCTCAATCTCCTGACCTCGTGATCCACCTGCCTCAGCCTCCCAAAATGTTGGGATTACAGGCGTGAGCCACCGCGCCCAGCCTGGGCATGCATATTTTATGGATCTTAACTCGACTTTTAAATTTTCTTTGAGCATCTGGGAATTTTATGAAAGCACTTTGTTAGTTTCTATTAGTGTCCCCTATATCCAAAATTCTCATTAAAGAATGCCGTTTCCCATCTCTCAAGAATTTATCAATTCAGGCTGGGCATGGTGGCTTACGTCTGCAATCCCAGCACTTTGGGAGGCCAAGGTAGGCTGATTGTTTAAGGTCAGGAGTTCAAGACCAGCTTGGCCAACATGGTGAAACCCCGTCTGTACTAAAAAAACAAAAATTAGCTGGGCATGGTGGCAGGTGCCTGTAATCCCGGCTATGCGGGAGGCTGAGGTAGCAGGATTGCTTGAGCCCAGGAGGCAGAGGTTGCAGTGAGCCGGGATCACGACGCCACTGCACTCCAGCGTGGGCGACAGAGTGAGAGTCTTTTTTTTTTTTTTGAGACTCACACTGTGCACAGGAAGAAAATTATGTGAATGTCCTTCCTAACAGGGAGAGGCCTTCCCTGACCTTGCTCCCCTTGGGCTGCCATCAGCATGGGGCTTTCTTAGGTATCAAGGCCACCTCAGTTTGGAGAGATGCCAGAAGTGGAAGTGTCAGCCAGACCATGTTTTCATTCTACTTGTCTATATTAGATCAAAGTCAGAGAGAGAATCTCAGTTCATAGAGGGAACACTTTATAACCTGTGTTTATGGAGGAGAATCACATACCAAGTGGAATCACCTTGAAGCAAGGCTTGTGTGCCGGGGGCGATGGCTCGTGCCTGTAATCCCAGCACTTTGGGAGGCTGAGGCAAATGGATCACTTGAGGTCAGGAGTTTGAGACCAGCCTGGCCAACATGGTGAAACCCTATCTCTACTAAAAAATACAAAAATTAGCTGGGCATGGTGGTACATGCGTATAATCCCAGCTACTCGGGAGGCTGAGGCAGGAGAATCGCTTGAACCCAGGAGGCAGAGGTTGCATTGAGCCAAGATCATGCCACTGTACTCCAGCCTGGGCTACAGAACGAGACTCCATCTCATAAATAAATAAATAAATAAATAAATAAATAAATAAATGGGATTTCGAGACCAGGCTGTCCAACATGATGACCATGTTTGTATTAACTTAGCTGGGCGTCGTGGCACATGCCTGTGATCCCAGCTACTTGGGAGGCCGAGGCAGGAGAATCACTTGAACCCGGGAGGCAGAGGTTGCAGTGAGCCGAGATCATGCCATTGTACTCTAGCCTGGGTGACAAGAGCGAAACTCTGTCTCAAAAATAATTAAAAAAAAAAAAAGTGGAACCGTTTAGTAGATAATAATCACATAAAGAGTTATCAACTCTTTCCCTGTGTCAATGTTAAACATTCCCACCTCCACCTTCATCACATACTCTGTTGGAGAAGGGTACTTCTCTGACCCATAGCCAGGGCTGGCTGGTGAGACTTGTGTTAGCCAATGAGAGGTGAAAAGATGTGACATATGCCACATCTGGGCGGAAGTTTTAAATGGCATGCATCTTGTAGCTTTGCATTTTGTGTTTCATCTCTACGTTGTGGGAATGGCCTTAGAGGATGATGCTCATTCAGTCCGGGACCAGGAATGAGAATAGAAACTGAGCAGAGCTACAGGTCAACCTCAGTCCTCATTTAAATGATCAAGAACTACATGCTTCTTGTTGTAAGCCACTGAGATACTGTGGTTATTTGTTACAGCAGCAAAACCTCAGTGATACAATAGGAACAGGCAACTCACAAAAGAGGAAAGGAAAAATATGCAGTCTCTCTAACCATTAGAGAAGTGTAGATTCCAGTGAGATTTTTGGTCCTTCAGATTGGCAAAAACTAAAAAGTCTGATAATATCTAATGTTGACAAGAAAATGTAGAACTAGGCTGGGTGCAGTGGCTCATGCCTGTAATCCCATCATGTTGGGAGGCTGAGGTGGGTGGATCGCTTGAAGCCAGGAGTTTGAGACCAGCCTGACCGACATGGAGAAATCCTGTCTCTACTAACAGTACAAAAATTAGTCGGATGTGGTGGTGCATGCCTGTAATCCCAGCTACTCAGGAGGCTGAGGCACAAGAATTGCTGGAACTCAGGAGGTGGAGCTGAGATCATACCACTGCACTCCAGCCTGGGTGACACAGCAAGACTCTCTCTCAAGAAAAAAAAAAAGAAAGAAAAAGAAAAAGAAAATGTAGGCCAGGCGCAGTGGCTCACACCTATAATCCCAGCACTTTGGGAGGCCGAGGCCGGCGTATCACCTGAGGTCAGAAGTTCGAGACCAGCCTGACCAACATGGAGAAACCCCGTCTCTACTAAAAATACAAAAATTAGCCAGGCATGGTGGCACATGCCTGTAGTCCCAGCTACTCGGGAGGCTGAAGCAGGAGAATTGTTTGAACCCGGGAGGCAGAGGTGAGCCAAGATTGCGCCATTGCACTCCAGCCTGGGCAACAAGAGCAGAATTCTGTCTCAAAAGAAAAAAAAAGAAAAGAAAAATTAAAAAGAAAAGAAAATGTAGAAATAGGGCCAAGCGTGGTGGCTCACACCTATAATCCCAGCACTTTAGGGGGCCAAAGTGGGAGGATAGCTTGAGGCCAGGCGTTTGGGACCAGCCTGGGCAACATAGTGAGACCCCATCTCTTAAAAAAAAAATTAAAATAAGTAGAAAGTGTAAAAATAGGTACCTCATAAGCTATTGTTCATGGTACACACATTTTGGAGGAAAATTGCTGATACATTCCAAACTCTGCATGCTTGTTTGTGCCCGAGTTCATTTGGGATTGGGAGGGGAACTGAAATCACAAGAGAAATATTCAAGGGGTTCTCACACTCTCTTTGTATTGTTTGAAATCTTGTGACAATTAATTTATGTATTACTTCAACAGTTTGTAGGAAGCTTAATTTTTTTTTTTTTTTAGATGGAGTTTCGCTGTTGTTGCCCAGGCTGGAGTGCAGTGACACAATCTCAGCTCACTGCAACCTCTGCCTCCTGGGCTCAAGCGATTCTCCTGCCTCAGCCTCCCAAGTAGCTGGGATTACAGGCGCCCACCACCACACCCGGCTAATTTTTGTATTTTTAGTAGAGATGGGGTTTTGCCATGTTGGCCAGGCTGGTCTCAAACTCCTGATCTCAGGTGATCTGCTTGCCTCGGCCTCCCAATGTGCTGGGATTGCAGGCATGTGCCACCACGCCTGGCCAAGTTTTTATTTTTATTTTTGCTGTATTATTTATTCCTAATTACTTTGAATCATGCTAGTTCATGTGGTCTTTAAAAGTTTTTACTCTTTTTGATTAATTTTTATGTGTTAGTCTTGGATTGATTGACATTTTAATGTTAATTCTTTTGTTGCCATCATTTAGATATTTGTACCTTTCTTTTGAAGTTATACCTATCCTTCACTTAATGACTAATTTATTCCTAAAAACTTTGCTGCTAAGTGACAAACCTGCATATGAAAAAAATATTTCTATTAATTTTAATGAGAAAATACATCATTTATCTCAATCCAAGACACGTGAATAATTTTAATAGAAAAAAAATCAACCAAATAAAGAAAACATATTTATGTCAGTAGTAAACAACAATTTTTTTTTTTTTTTTGAGACGGAGTCTCCCTCTGTCTCCCAGACTGGAGTGCAGTAGCATGATCTTGGCCCACTGCAACCTCCGCCTCCCGGGTTCAAGCAACTCTCCTGCCTCAGCCTCCTGAGTAGCTGGGGCTACAGGCACGCGCCACTACGCCCGGCTAATTTTTGTATTTTTATTAGAGACAGGGTTTCACCATGTTGGCCAGGCTGGTCTCAATCTCCTGACCTCGTGATCCACCTGCCTCGGCCTCCCAAAATGCTGGGATTACAGGCGTGAGCCACAGCGCCCAGCCCAACAAGTTTAATGTAAATAAATATTATGTGCATAGAACTTCGTGTAATGTAGATATGTTGCCTTCCCCAAAAGAGGAACTCAGGACTTGACCATCGGGGAAGGGGCATTTTTCATCTTGCACCATTGTCCTCACCAATTTTTCAGTCTTTTGGGAGCTCATGATTACAGTGCCCTCAAACTTTACAGAAAATAAACTTATGGCACCCCAAATACGTTTGAAACAAAATTAAGGCTAAGCAAGGGCGTTTCCTAGCATGGAAGCATGCATGGAATTAAGATGCTGGCTCTGCCGCCGACCAGGAGGTGGCGCTGTCCCACACAGACCAGAGGCAGCTGCTTCCACGTGAGGCCTCCGGCTGGGAACTGCGCATGGAGATTTTGGGGTGTGTCTTTGCTGGAAACCCTAAGGTCAAGTATTACTTCTTACAGTGTACTTATTTAGTGTGTTTTTGGGGAGTCATTATACTGTAAAAAGGGAGTCATTACAAAAAGTGGCATAACTTTAGTTATTAACTGAATGGTGCTATGTGCAGATAAGTCCATAGCCCTGTATTTTAAAGATAATAGTTTATTCTTTCTACTTCTTAGGTTGGACATTGATTACACACATGTTTATTATAATATTTTTAAGAACACAAAATAAATGAAAGCAGGGTATGTATAGAATGGTGATGAGAGTGTATTATGAAACAGATTTTGATCTATCTAAGTCTGAGCTCTCTTGAGGTACAAAAATTAGAAGGAATTAGTAAAATTAAAACCTGATGTGAATAAAACAGGAAATAAAAACAAGGCAAAAGATGATTGAAAGGATTAATCTCAAATTGCTTCTTTCAGGATAAACTATATGCACCCTTCAGGAGACTGAATAGATAAAGAAAGTAAAAGGTTAAAAACAGATGCATTTAGAAATCAGAAAGGAATGTAATCAGAAATTGTCTGGAGGCTACTGCATGCCACTCTAGTAAAAATATTTCCTGCTGAACTTCTAAGGATCATATTTGACACAAGATGTAGAAAACACAAGTGTCCTAGTTACTGTGGAAAAGTTTGGAAAGGTGATTAAAAAAACGTTGTTTTTATTTTTTGAGACAGAGTCTCACTGTATCGCCCAGGCTGGAACGCAATGGCGTGATCTCGGCTCACTGCAACCTCCGCCTCTCAGGTACAAGCGATTCTCCTGCCTCAGCCTCCCAAGTAGCTGCAACACCACGCCCCGCTAATTTTTGTATATTTATTAGAGACAGGGTTTCACCATGCTGGTCACGCTGGTCTCGAACTCCTGACCTCGTGATCTGCCCACCTCTGTCTCCCAAAGTGCTGGGATTACAGGCATGAGCTACCATGCCCAGCCAAAAAAAAAAAATCGTTATATATATATATAAAATCTCCTTTCTCAGATTTTCCTCCTGTGGACATTTTGCTTTATTTGCTTCATTGCTTTTCTTTCTCTCTGTTCTTTTATTTTTGGAGACAGCATCTTGCTATTGTTCAGGGTGGCAACAGCAGTGGTGTGATCATGCAGCCTCGACCTCCTGGGCTCAAGTGATCGTCCTGCCTCAGCCTCCCACATAGCTGGGACCACAGGTATACACCACTATGCCCAGCTAATTTTTTTTTTTTTTTTTTTTGGTAGGGGTCTTGCTATGTTTCCCAGGCTGTTCTCAAATTCCTGGGCTCAAGGAATCCTCCCACCTCAGCCTCCCAAAGTACTGGGATTACCGGTGTAAGTCACTGTGCCCGGCCTCTCTCTGTTCTTAACATTTTTTTTCCCTGAACAATTTGAGAATGTGTTGCAGACATCATGGCCCTTTACCCCAGATGTAGTGTAGAGTGCACTAGTGAGGGAGCTTCTGGTATCAATGGGAAACTCACTGGTGGAGTCTCCATAGGCTAGGAGTGACAGTGAGATACGATGCCATTGAACTGGGCTCCCTAGGGTTAATGGGAGTGACAGGATTCTGAAATAGCAGAGGCAGGTGGAGGCACTTAACCATCAGAGACAAAGTGAGTACAAATTACTGGAATGGGCAGCAAGCCTGGACTGGTAGTCAGGGTGCCGTGATACGCAGATACCTGTGGCAATGGCCAATGGTCCACACAGTCCCCTGGGGAGAACACCATCCCATGGGGGATATTGCCTAGAGTATTATTTGACTGTATAACCAGGAAAAATGAAGATCTGGGGAGCAGAGCCCTATGTCATCTTCCACAATGAAAATCACAAGTCTGGCCAGGCACCATGGCTCACACCTGTAATCCCAGCACTTTGGGAGGCCAGTGTGGGTGGATCAGGTGAGGTCAGGAGTTCAAGACTAGCCTGGCTAATATGGTGAAACCCCGTCTCTACTAAAATACAAAAATTAGCCGGGCGTGGTGGTGGGGACCTGTAATCTCAGCTACTCACGAGGCTGAGGCAGGAGAATCGCTTGAACCCAGGAGGCAGAGGTTGCAGTGACCCGAGATCATGCTATTGCACTCCAGCCTCGGTGACAGAACAAGACTCCATCTCAAAAAAAAAAAAAAAAAATCACATGTCAGTTCTCAAGCTCAGACCCTGTTGACAGAAGGGCAGCCCAGTTCCCCCGAGGAAGAATCCGACAATGCTACTGCAAATACATGCAGCAAGTATTCCTCTAGCTCTTTGTTAAAGGGACCGAGCCATGTTCTAGGGTAACTGTCCACTATAGAAAGGGAAGTACCTAGATTTCTCAAGGGCCATGGAATACCAGGTTCATGAAATCGGTACCAGAGGATCTGAAATGCCACTATAGATCCCTGCCTAGAGTGGGCACGGGAGACAAGGTAATAAGCGGAGTCCTGCCTCATGTTTGTCTCATGTTTGTCCAGTGGGCCCACAGTTCCCTCTTGAAGTTATTTCCAGGTCTCTTAATTGGGGTGGATATACTTAGCAGGTAGCAGAACTTGCATATTAGTTCTCTCACCAATTATGTTAGGCAGGTCCAAGCATCAAGTGTCAAGATGATAAATAAAAAATAACACCACGTCTGGAGAATTGCAGAGATCAGCACCTCCATCAAAGACTAAAGATGCAGGGAGGATGGTTCCTATCATATCGCCATTTGGCTCATATGTATAAAAAACCATATGGATTGTGGTGGATGACTGTGGGCTTCCATCAACTTAACCAAGTGATAGCCGAAATTGTAGCTGCTAGGCTGGATGTTTACCTGAACAGATCGATACAGCCTGTGGCACTTGGCATGCAGCTATTGATCTGATAAATGCATTCTTTTCAATCCTCATGAGTAAAGAGACTCAAAGTTATTTTGTTCACATGTAGGGAAGGCAGCAGAATAGATTTACCTTCTTGCCCCAGTGCTATGGTAACTCTTCTCCTCTCTATCACAGTATGATCCACAGGGACCTGATCATCTTGCCATTCCACAGAACATAATGCTAGCTGGACTTGGTTGAACAAAATATGGCAGGTACTCTGAATGACCAGATGCCAGTTGGTGGGAGACAGGACTCCCCTCCCCTAAAATTCGGAGGCTTTGCCATATTGGTGACATTTGTAGGGTCCACTGGTCTGAAACAAGTTGCTGTACCTTAAGCACCCCCTATTGCTAAGAAAGAGGCATTTTGAGGCATCATATACCACACTGGCAATACAGCATTTACTCATTTATCTCCTAGTTCAAATAATACCCAAACAATGAGACCCTGCAGCAGATCCAAGGTGTGGGGCAAACTGCCCTGCTCTTTGCCTTCTATGCCAGCGGGCTCAGTGATGCTAGTGTAGGCATAGTAGATCAAGATGCCGTGTGGTGTTTCTGGAAAGTCCACTGGGAGAATTGCAGCACAGACCCCTAGAGATCTGGAGCAAGACTATGCCTTCTGTAACAGACAATTATTTGCCATTCATTGGAAAAGCAATTCTTGTCATACCATTGGGCCCTAAAAGAGATTTTGAAATTGACCATGGGGCATCAAGTGACTTTGCACCTGGAGCTGCCTTTCAAGTATGATAGAAATGGTCATTCAGGAGCAGGTCGAGAACATAAGTAAGTTAAATGGACACATGGCCCAGATCCCCAGGTCATCCACCTCGGTTGCATTGAAGCCATTGACTCAGCTGATGTCCATAGCCTCAGGTAGGTGTGTATGATCAACTGATAGAAGAACAATCCTGGGCCTTGTTGGTGTGAGCTGAAATAGACTGTTATCCACTGAAGTAGACTGCTATCATACTACAGCCCTACTCAAGGTGGCCCTCAAAATAGCCATGAGGGGAAATCTTCCCAGCAATCAGAGCTGAATAGTGTATTTGGCCATCCACTTTGTATAGAGGGAGAAGAGGCCTGAAGTAGGTATGAGTATGGACTCCTGAGCTGTGGCAAATGGCTTGGCTAGTTGGTCAGGGACCTGGAAGGACCAAGTTAGGCAAAAGGGAGACAAGGAGATTTTGTATTTTTAGTAGAGATGCAGTTTCGCCATGTTGGCCAGGCTGGTCTCGAACTCCTAACCTCAGGTGATCCGCCCACCTCGGCCTCCCAAACTGCTGGGATTACAGTCGTGAGCCACCATGCCTGGCCTAGTAATTAACTTTACATATTTTGACATTCATAATTAACATGTATAAAATCAAGAAATAGCTCTACTGTCCTTCAACTATATAAGGATATTTGATTACATTAACCTCACATCCTCTCCCCCTTACATGCTGTGTTTCTCTTGCTCTTTTGGGCCCAGAAGACATTCTTACAGGGTACTGTACCATCAGTGTTCTTTGTTCTTTCCTGCGTCTCTGATCTTCCTGGATTACTCTTCTGCATAAGCACATCCTTCAGAATTTATGGCAGCTCTTTTTGGAGCAAACCCTCTATATCGTTAGCCCAAAAATGTCTTTATTTTACTGTCATTCTTGAAATATATTTTTGTTGAATATATAATTCCAAGTGAACAGCCTGTGTAGAAAAAAGTTAACACAGCAGGCCTGAGCCTGCTATTCTCGGAAAAGTCGGCTTGCAAGGTTGGCCCTTGGCTGGCATCTAGTCAGTTGGATTTCCATCATTCTCTCATCGGAGTGTCTCACTGTATCTAAAGTGTTCAGCTTATGCTGAACACCTCTTTTCCTTCTGAGAGTCTAGAATTTTGGTACATGCCAGACAGTGGACGCCAATGTAAGTACCTTCCCTGCATTAAAACCTTACACACTGAGTCTCTAATGAGCCTCCCTGGTAGACAATGTTTCACATGTGTTGTCATAACCTGTTGCTGGAGGAATTACGTGCATCCTGTGGATTCCATTGGGAAAGGACTCTTGGAAGCTTGTGTTGCACCCAGTAGGAACTTGGCCTGGCCTGGCACCCCATGTATTACCTGGCCCCTTTAATGATGATGTTTGAGTCTCTGATTTTCAGTGTTAACTTGGATCCTGTGTCCAATAGTTCCTGAAAGGTCGATTATTCCCTTTTCCCCAGTGTACATTTACCTGAGTACATGCCCTCAGGTCTTTCTGGAGAAGGATTGGAGGGAATCATTACCACATACATTTGCCGTGATGTAGGATCCTCCCTTATGTGGGCTGGCATCCCATTCAGTCAAGGGGTACTGGCTCAGGTCTAGAAACTGATCAAAGGATCATAGTTTTTTATTGAGATGTGTCTTGAGCCTTGATCATTTCTGATTCCCTCTGATTGCATAAATTAAGCTGTATTTTGCCCTTAGGAAAATTATGTCCTATTATCATTTCTATAATACTCTCTCTCTTTTTTTTTGAGACAGAATCTCATTCTGTTACCCAGGCTAGAGTGCAATAGCACCATCTCGGCTCATTGCAACCTCTGCCTCCTGGGTTCAAGCGATTCTCCTGCCTCAGCCTCCTGAGTAGTAGGGATTATAGGCACCCACCACCACGCCTGGCTAATTTTTTGTATTTTTAGTGGAGACTGGGGTGTTTCACCATGTTGGCCAGGCTGGTCTTGAACTCCTGACCTCAGGTGATCCACCCACCTAGGCCTCCCAAAGTGCTGGGATTACAGGCGTAAGCCACAGCGCCTGGCCCATCTCTATAATTCTCTATGGGAACAGACTCCCCTGCCTGTCATACATTACATCTGTTCTTGCCATGTATTACAGCAATCTCACCCAGCATTCTTCTGGCAGTGAAGTGTTGTCACCTGGCCTCTATTATTTCAGGACTCATCCTCATTAGTATTGGGAACATAGCTCTGTAACATCATCTCCCACGATCAGCCCACAGTCACCACCAAGCTTCTTGCTGATGCTGGTGGCCCCATTGAACAGCACATTCCTCCTCGTTTGGATAAACAGAAGGTGCCCACGGCTCCCCTGTGGACTGCGGTGACCTGGTGGGTTTTCTTTCCTCAGTAGCATATCCACTCCAGCATGCCTGCTTCTCTGAGCCACCTCATTCCTGTATCCACTATTGCACGGCATTTCTGGCAGTTCTGCTTTCCTGGGGGATATTGCTTTTTCCAGGCTTCCATGAGACCATTGAGTGGAGTGTTAGTACTATCTTCACCTCCTTGCTGGGGTGTGAATCCCATACCCCACAGCAGCACTCTCGCATCAATAAACTTCCCTTTATCCAACTTTGTCCCACTTGATGCAGCATGAGGAGAGCCAGCCCCGTGTGTCTCCCCAGCACCTACTGGACATTTGGCCACGTCCTGTGGTTCCTTCATGTATCATTCTTTCCTCCCTTAGTAGACCGAGTATCTTCCTGTCAGATGGCCAAGCAGCAGCCCCTAAGCAGCAGCCCCTAAGCAGCAGCCTGGGGGAGCCACAGCTGCTATGTATCAAGCACAAGGCAAGGCCTGGCTGACATGCATGGTCAGGAAAGCAACAAGGAGCCATTTTTTAGATCAGGCAGTTTATATTACTCATACAGATGGTGAAAGCGCAAGTAGACAGAGGTGCCAGGTCCCTGTGACCCTTGCACAGGGCGGCACCAAAACAACAGGGGCCAAATGGCAGCAACATGAGTGCCAGGTGAAGCCCATACCACACTGCAGCCAAGCAGCTTTATAGCTGGTAGCTATGCACATGCTCTCAGGGATGGGAAGGCATAATTCTAGGTGGTCCCCAAATTCCCACTCCCTCATATACATGCCTTGTATCATCGCCTCCCGTCGAGTGTGGGTGCTAATTCTAAGCTACAGACAAGCATTTTCCCCTTCCTTCCTAAGCTACAGCCAAGCCTGCCTGCCTGCCTTCCTTCCTTCCTAAGCTACAGTCAAGCCTGCCTTCCTTCCTCCCCTCCCTCCCTCCTTTCTTTCCCTCCCCTCGCCTCCCCTCCCCTTCTCTCCCCTCCCCTCCCTTCCCTTCCCTTCCTTTCCCTTCCCTTCCCTTCCCTTTCCTCCTTCTCCCTCCCCTCCCCTCCCCTTGCCTCCCCTTCCCTGGCCTCCCCTTCCCTTCTTCTCCCTCCCCTCCCCTCGCCTCGCCTCCCCTCACCTAACCTCTCCTCCCCTTGCCTCCCCTCCCCTCCCTTTGCCTTCTCTTGCCTTCCCTTCCCTTCCTCTTTCTTTTGACAGAGTCTTGCTCTGTTGCCCAGGCTGGAGTGCGGTGGTGTGATCTCATCTCACTGCCTCGGCCTCCTGAGTAGCTGTGATTACAGGCATGCGCCACCATGCCCAGCTTCTTTTTTTTTTTTTTTTTTTTTTTTTGTATTTTTAGTAAAGACGGAGTTTTCCCCATGTTGGCCAGGCTAGTCTCAAACTCCTGACCCCTAGTGATCTGCCTACCTTAGCCTCCCAAAGTGCTGGGATTACAGGCATGAGCCACCGTGCCTGGCCCAGCCAAGTGTTTTCTAGTCTGCAGCTATACTCAGAGGAGGGCAAGGCATGGAGTCTCATGCTTACCAGAACCAGGGAAGCAGGTGATAAACTGGCTCGGGAGAGTTCTGAAGAAGACTGCCCATCTTGAAACCGCCTTTGCCAAAATTATGGGGAATTATGACAGTGAAATAGATCAGACCTAACTGACTCCATCTTGCTTCTAACCTCTAAACTGTCCTTATCCATTCCTGGGCATAGGCCGAACTAGCCTTGGGAAGGAATTTAGTTTATAGTTTAAATAACAGCCCTTCCCAAAAGCAAATCTGTTCTTGTAAAACGAATGAAAGGCCACCAGCCACCAAGTTAGGATGAGAGGGGCTGGAACTCTAAATATTACCAGCTGTTACGTGGAAGGTCATGAGATTTGCAACTTCCCTGATTACTCTTGAAGATAACATCACCATTGTGAACCTGAGATTGGCCTTTTGAGATGTCTTTTCAGGTTTTTCCATTTCTGACAAGTGGTTGGCCTCACCTGGACCTGCCAACCAGTTCTGTGGCACTCACCCAGGAACTGACTCAGCATAAGAGGATAGCTTCGACTGCCTATGAGTTCATCCTCAAGCCAACCAATCGGTGCTCCTGGCTCACTGGACCCCTACCCACCAAATTATTCTTAAAAACCCTGATCCCTGAGTTTTCTTTTCTTTTCTTTTTTTTTTTTTTAATTATACTTTAAGTTCTGGCAAACATGTGTACATCGTGCAGTTTTGTTACATAGGTATACACGTGCCCTGGTGGTTTGCTGCACCCATCAACCCGTCACCTACATTAGGTATTTCTCCTAATGTTATCCCTCCTCTAGCCCCCGACCCCCTGACAGGCCCCGGTGTGTGATGTTCCCCTCCCTGTGTCCATATATTCTCATTGTTCAACTTCCACTTATGAGTGAGAACATGTGGTGTTTGGTTTTCTGACCTTGTGATAGTTTGCTGAGAATGATGGTTTCCAGCTTGATCCATGTCCCTGCAAAGGACATGAACTCATCCTTTTTTATGGCTGCATAGTATTCCATGGTGTATATGTGCCACATTTTCTTAATCCAGTCTATCATTGATGGACATTTGGGTTGGTTCCAAGTCTTTGCTATTGTGAATAGTGCCACAATAAACATACGTGTGCATGTGTCTTTATCATAGAATGATTTATAATCCTTTGGGTATAAGCCCAGTAATGGGATTGCTGGGTCAAATGATATTTCCAGTTCTAGATCTTTGAGGAATCGCCACACTGTCTTCCACAATGGTTGAACTAATTTACACTCCCACCAACAGTGTAAAAGCATTATTTTTCCACAACCTCTCCAGCATCTGTTGTTTCCTGACTTTTTATTTATTTATTTATTTTTTTATTGAGACAGAGTCTCGCCATCTTTCCCAGGCTGGAGTGCAGTGGCACGATCTCAACTCTTTGCAAGCTCTGCCTCCTGGGTTCACGCCATTCTCCTGCCTCAGCCTCCCGAGTAGCTGGGACTACAGGCACCTGCCACCACGCCTGGCTAATTTTTTTGTATTTTTAGTAGAGACAGGGTTTCACTGTGTTAGCCAGGATGGTCTGGATCTCCTGACCTCGTGATCCACCCACCTCGGCCTCCCAAAGTGCTGGGATTACAGGCTTGAGCCACCGTGCCCGGCCTGTTTCCTGACTTTTTAATGATCGCCATTCTAACTGGCATGAGATGGTATCTCATTGTGGTTTTGATTTGCATTTCTCTAATGACCAGTGACGATGAGCATTTTTTCATGTCTGTTGGCTGCATAAATGTCTTCTTTTTAGAAGTGTCTGTTCATACCCTTTGCCCATTTTTTGATGGGGTTGTTTGCTTTTTTCTTGTAAATTTGTTTAAGTTTTTTGTAGATTCTGGATATTAGCCCTTTGTCAGATAGATAGATTGCAAAATTTTTCTCCCATTCTGTAGGTTGCCTGTTCACTCTGATGGTAGTTTCTTTTGCTGTGCAGAAGCTCTTTGGTTTAATTAGATCACATTTGTCAATTTTGCCTTTTGTTGCCATTGCTTTTGGTGTTTTAGGCATGAAGTCTTTGCCCATGCCTATGTCCTGAATGGTATTGCTCAGGTTTTCTTCTAGGATTTTTATGGTCCTAGGTCTTACATTTAAGTCTTTGATCCATCTTGAATTGATTTTTGTAAAAGGTGTAAGGAAGAGGTCCAGTTTCAGTTTTCTGCATATGGCTAGCCAGTTCTCCCAACACCATTTATTAAATAGGGAATCTTTTTCCTATTGCTTGTGTGTGTCAGGTTTGTCAAAGATCAGATGGTTGTAGCTGTGTGGTGTTATTTCTGAGGCCTCTGTTCTGTTCCATTGGTCTATATCTCTGTTTTGGTACCAGTACCATGCTGTTTTGGTTACTGTAGCCTTGTAGTATAGTTTGAAGTCAGGTAGCATGATGCTTCCAGTTTTGTTCTTCTTGCCCAGGATTGTCTTGGCTATGCAGGCTCTTTTTTGGTTCTATATGAAGTTTAAAGTAGTTTTTTCCAATTCTGTGAAGAAAGTCTGTGGTAGCTTGATGGGGATAGCATTGAATCTATAAATTACTTTGGGAAGTATGGCCATTTTCACGATATTGATTCTTCCCATCCATGAGCATGGAATGTTTTCCCATTTGTTTTTGTCCTCTCTTATTTCCTTGAGCAGTGGTTTGTAGTTCTCCTTGAGGAGGTCCTTCACATCCCTTGTAGGTTGGATTCCTAGGTATTTTATTCTCTTAGTAGCAATTGTGAATGGGAGTTCACTCATTATTTGGCTTTCTGTTTGTCTGTTATTGGTTTATAGGAATGCTTGTGATTTTTGCACATTGATTTTGTATCCTGAGACTTTGCTGAAGTTGCTTATCAGCTTAAGGAGGTTTTGGGCTGAGACAATGGGGTTTTCTAAATTTACAATCATGTCATCTGCAAAGAGAGACAATTTGACTTCCTCTCTTCTTATTTGAATACCATTTATTGCTTTCTCTTGCCTGATTGCCCTGGCCAGAACTTCCAATATTATGTTGAATAGGAGTGGTGAGAGATGGCATCCTTGTCTTGTGCCGGTTTTCAAAGGAATGCTTTCAGTTTTTGCCCATTCAGTATGATATTTGCTGTGGGCTTGTTATAAATAGCTCTTATTATTTTGAGATATGTTCCACCGATACCTAGTTTATTAGAGTTTTTAGCATGAAGGGGTGTTGAATTTTATCAAAGGCCTTTTCTGCATCTATTGAGATAATCATGTGTCTTTTGTCTTTGGTTCTGTTTATATGATGGATTACGTTTATTGATTTGCGTATGTTGAACCAGGGTTGCATCCCAGGGATGAAGCCAACTTGATCATGGTGGATAAGCTTTTAGATGTGCTGCTGGATTCAGTTTGCCAGTATTTTATGAGGATTTTTGCATCGATGTTCATCAGGGATATTGGCCTGAAATTTTTTTTTGTTGTGTCTCTGCCAGGTTTTGGTATCAGGATGATGCTGGCCTCATCAAATGAGTTAGGGAGGATTCCCTCTTTTTCTATTGTTTGGAATAGTTTCAGAAGGCATGGTACCAGATCCTCTTTGTACCTCTGGTAGAATTCGGCTGTGAATTCATCTGGTCCTAGACTTTTTTTGGTTGGTAGGCTATCAATTACTGCCTCAATTTCAGAACTTGTTACTGGTCTATTCAGAGATTCGACTTCTTACTGGCTTAGACTTGGGAGGGTGTATGTGCCCAGAAATTTATCCATTTCTTCTAGATTTTCTAGGTTATTTGCATAGAGGTGTTTATAGTATTCTCTGATAGTAGTTTGTACTGCTGTAGGATCAGTGGTGATATCCCCTATATCATTTTTTATTGCGACTACTTGATTCTTCTCTCTTTTCTTCTTTATTAGTCTGGCTAGCAGTCTATCTATTTTGTTGATTTTTTCAAAAAACCAGCTCCTGGATTCATTGATTTTTCGAAGGGATTTTCATGTCTCTATCTCCTTCAGCTCTGCTCTCTTAGTTATTTCATGTCTTCTGCTAAGTTTTGAATGTGTTTGCTGTTGCTTCTCTAGTCCTTTTAATTTTGATGTTAGGGTGTCAATTTTAGATCTTTCCTGCTTTCTCTTGTGGGCATTTAGTGCTATAAATTTCCCTCTAAACACTGCTTTAAATGTGTCCCAGATATTCTGGTACATTGTGTCTCTATTCTCATTGGTTTCAAAGAACATCTTTATTTCTGCCTTCATTTCGTTATTTACCCAGTAGTCATTCAGCAGCAAGTTGTTCAGTTTCCATGTAGTTGTGCAGTTTTGAGTGAGTTTCTTAATCCTGAGTTCTAATTTGATTGCACTGTGGTCTGAGAGACTGTTTGTTATGATTTCTGGTCTTTTGCGTTTGCTGAGGAGTATTTTACTTCCAATTATGTGGTCGGTTTTAGAATAAGTGTGATGAGGTGCTGAGAAGAATATATATTCTGTTGATTTGGGGTGGAGAGTTCTGTAGAGGTCTATTAGGTCTGCTTGGTCCAGAGCTGAGTTCAAGTCCTGAATATCCTTGTTAATTTTCTGTTTCATTGATCTAATATTAACAATGGGGTGTTAAAGTCTCCCACTATTATTGTATGGGAGTCTAAGTCTCTTTGTAGGTCTCTAAGAACTTGCTTTATGAATCTAGGTGCTTCTGTATTGAGTGCATATATATTTAGGATAGTTAGCTCTTCTTGCTGCATTGTTCCCTTTACCATTATATAATGCCCTTCTTTGTCTCTTTTGATCTTTGTTGGTTTAAAGTCCGTTTCATCAGAGATTAGGATTGCAACTCCTGCTTTTTTTTGCTTGGTAAATATTCCTCCATCCTTTTATTTTGAGCCTGTGTGTGTCTTTGCATGTGAGATGGGTCTCCTGAATACAGCACACTCATGGTTCTTGACTCTTTACCCAATTTGCCAGTCTGTGTTTCTAATTGGGGCATTTAGCCCATTTACATTTAAGGTTAATATTGTTTTTGTTTTGTTTTGTTTTTGTTTTTGAGATGGAGTCTCACTCTGTTGCCCAGGCTGGAGTGCAATGGCACCATCTCAGCTCACTCAACCTCCGCCCCCTGGGTTCAAGCAATTCTCCTGCCTCAGCCTCCCGAGTATTACAGGCACCTGCCACCAGGCCTGGCTAATTTTTTTATTTTATTAGAGATGGGGTTTCACCATGTTGGTCAGGCTGGTCTCGAACTCCTGATCTTGTGATCCGCCTGCCTTGGACTCCCAAAGTGCTGGGATTACAGGCATGAGCCACCATGCCCAACCCAAGGTTAATATTGTTATGTGTGAATTTGATCCTGTCATTATGATGCTAGCTAGTTGTTTTGCCCGTTAATGCAGTTTCTTCATAGTGTCGATGTTTTTTACACTTGATATGTTTTTGCAGTGGCTGGTACTCATTGTTCCTTTCCATGTTTAGTGCCTCTTTCAGGAGCTCTTGTAAGGCAGGTCTGGTGGTAACAAAATCCCTCAGCATTTGCTTGTCTGTAAAGGATTTTATTTCTCCTTCACTTATGGAGCTTAGTTTGGCTGGATATGAAATTCTGGGTTGAAAATTCTTTCTTTAAGAACGTTGAATATTGGCCCCTACTCTCTTCTGGCTTGTAGGGTTTCTGCCGAGAGATCTGCTGTTAGTCTGATGGGCTTCCCTTTGTGGGTAACCCGACCTTTCTCTCTGGCTGCCCTTAACATTTTTCCTTCATTTCAACCTTGGTGAATCTGACAATTATGTGTCTTGGGGTTGCTCTTCTCAAGGAGTATCTTTGTGGTGTTCTTTGTATTTCCTGAATTTGAATGTTGGCCTGTCTTGCTAGGTTGGGGAAGTTCTGGATAATATCCTGCAGAGTGTTTTCTAACTTGGTTTCATTCTCCCTGTCACTTTCAGGTACATCAATCAAACGTAGATTTGGTCTTTTCACATAGTCCCATATTTCTTGGAGGCTTTGTTCATTCCTTTTTATTCTTTTTTCTCTACTCTTGTCTTCTCTATTTCATTAAGTTGATCTTCAATCGCTGATATCCTTTCTTCCACTTGATTGATTTGGCTGTTGATACTTGTGTATTCTTCACGAAGTTCTCATGCTGTGTTTTTCAGCTCCATCAGGTCATTTATGTTCTTCTCTACATTGGTTATTCTAGTTAGCAATTTGACTAACCTTTTTTCAAGGTTCTTAGCTTCCTTGCATTGGGTTAGAACATGTTCCTCTAGCTCGGAGTTGTTTGTTATTACCCTCCTTCTGACGCCTACTTCTGTCAGTTCGTCAAACTCATTCTCTGTCCAGTTTTGTTCCCTTGCTGGCGAGGAGTTGCGATCTTTTGGAGGAGGAGAGGCGTTCTGGTTTTGGATTTTTCAGCCTTTTTCCACTGGTTTTTCCCCATCTTTGTGGATTTATCTACCTTTGGTCTTTGATGTTGGTAACCTTCGGATGGGGTCTTTGAGTGGACGTGCTAATCCTTTCTGTTTGTTTCTTTTTCTTCTAACAGGCCCCTCTGCTGCCAGTCTGCTGGTGTTTGCTGGAGGTCCCCTCCTGACCCTGTTTTCCTGGGTATCACCAGTGGAGGCTGCAAAGCAGCAAAGATTGCTGCTTGTTCTTTCCTCTGGAAGCTTCGACCCAGCAGGGAACCTGCCAGATGCCAGCCAGAGCTCTTCTGTATGAGGTGTCTGTCAGCCCCAACTGGGAGGTGTCTCCCAGTCAGTATACACAGGGGTCAGGGATCCACTTGAGGAGGCAGTCTGGCCCTTAGCAGGCTCGCATGCTGTGTTGGGAGATCCGCTGCTGTCTTCAGAGCCATCAGGCAGGGACGTTTAAGTCTGCTACAAGCCTGACTGGGCTGCTGCCTTTTTTACAGAGATGCCCTGTCCAGGGAGGAGCAATCTCGCAGTCTGAACACGGCAGCCTTGCTGAGCTGCAATGGGCTCCACCCAGTTTGAACTTCCCAGCAGCTTTGCTTACACTGTGGTGGTAAAACCGCCTGCTCAAGCCTCAGCAACGGCGGACGCCCCTCCCCCTACCAAGCGCCACCGTCCCAGGTGGATCTCAGATTGCTGCTGTGCTGGAAGCGAGAATTTCAAACCAGTGGATCTTACTTTCCTGGGCTCCATGGGGGTGGGAACCGCCGAGCCAGACCACTTGGCTCCCTGGCTTCAGGCCCCCTTTCCAGGGGAGTGAACAGTTCTGTCTCGCTGGCGTTCCAGGTGCCACTGGGATATGGAAAAATAAAATAAAATAAAAGCTCCTGCAGCTAGTTCAGTGTCTGCCCAGTTGGCCGCCCAGTTTTGTGCTTGAAACCCAGGGCCCTGGTGGGGTAGTCACCAGAGGGAATCTCCTGGTTTGCAGGTTGTGAAGACCATGGAACAAGTGCAGTATATGTGCCCAAGTTCCTCAGGCTGAGACCCTCACAGCTTCCCTTGGGTCAGGGGGAAAATTTCCCGATTCCTTGCGCTTCCCAGGTGAGGTGACACCCCACCCTGCTTCCGCTCAGCCTCTGTGGGCTGCACCCACTGTCCAACCTGCCCCGGTGAGATGAACCAGGTACCTCAGTTGGAAATGCAGAAATCACCCACCGTCTGCATCGATCTCGCTGGGACCTGCAGACTGGTGCTGTTCCTATTCGGCCATCTTGAACCTCTCTCCTGATCCCTGAGTTTTCAGAGAGACTGATTTGAGTAATAATAAAACTCTGGTCTCCTGCTCAGCCAGCTCTGCATGAATTACTTTTTCTCCATGTAATTCCCCTGTCTTGAAAAATGGGCTTTGTCTAGGCAGGGGGCAAAGTGAACCCACTGGGCGGTTACAATCTCACCGTGTTTCAGGAGCCTCGGGTGTTCTTGCACAAGGGGAGTCAGACTGTGGTTGAGCCTTGTCTACATGGCCTAAGTGAAGACATGCAGGGTTGCCAGGGCACTGTGGAGTTGGCACTCCATACCACCATGCTGGACCTTCCACATACCCCGCTGATAATTCTTCTGGATATTGTTTTTTTTTTTTTTTTTTTTGAGATGGTGTCTCACTCTGTTGCCCAAGGCTGGAGTGCAGTGGCACAATCTCGGCCCACTGCAACCTCTGCCTCCGGGTTAAAGCAATTCTCATGCCTCAGCCTCCTGAGTAGCTGTGACCACAGGTATGTGGTACCACACCTGGCTATTTTTTGTATTTTTAGTAGAGACAGGGTTTCACTATATTGGCCAGGCTGGCCTTGAACTCCTGGCCTCAAGTGATCCACCCACCTCGGCCTCCCAAAGTGCTGCAATTACAGGCATGAGCCACTGTGCTGAGCCTGGGAATTCTTTTTTTTTTTTTTTTGAGATGAGGTCTCACTGTGTTGCCCAGGCTGGAGTGCAGTGGCACAATCTTGGCTTACTGCAACCTCTGCCTCTTGGGTTTAAGTGATCCTCCCTCCTCAGCCTACCAAGTAGCTGTGACCACAGGTGTGCACCACCACACCTGGTAATTTTTGAATTTTTGGTAGAGGTGGAGTTTCACCTTGTTGCTCAGGCTGGTTTCAAACTCCTGAGCTCAAGTGATTTGCCCACTTGGGCCTCCCAAAGTGCTGATATTACATGTGTGAACCACCATGCCTGGCCTGGAAATTCTCCATCACTTACCTTAGATGTACTGGTAGAAGGTTGGACCAAATCCTTTTCCTTAGGCAACATTAAATGAGAGTAACCATGATGATGACTCCCAGGAGGACAATTAGGCCTGCTTGGAAAAAGATAGGCTGCAATCAGACTTCCCATCCAGAGCCAAGCCAGTTAGGTATGTCATTAATTCAGATGTCCTACTTGGCTGGCTGGCAGAAAATCCAGGGCAATGTGATCATCCATTACCGCTCACACTTGATAGCCCAAACTAGGTGCGTGGTAGGCAATTATATGCCTGATATCCACCATAAGAAGTGCTATTCATTTGGGGCAAAACTGTAAGAGTATAAGTCTCCGGCTATCGTAGCCCAACCTAGTCTCAATGCTACGTCCTGCTCAGGGCGAATTAGATTCTGCTAATAGGTTTGGGTGACCACAGCAGCAGCACAGTGCTGACGTGACGTCAAGGTCCAATTCTCACAAGACTGGAGGCTGGGATTAACAATATAAAGGAAATTTAAGTATCAGAAAGAGCCTGAAAGAAGGAATAGTTCCTGGAAGAATACTTCCAAAGTACTCAAAGGAGGAGATTTTTTTTTTTTTTTGAGATGAAGTCTTGCTCTATCCCCCAGGCGGAGTGCTTTGGCACGAACTAGGCTCACTGCAACCTCCGCCTCCTGAGTTCAAGCAATTCTCCTGCCTCAGCCTCCTAAGTAGCTGGGATTACAGGCACATGTCACCATATCTGATTAATTTTTCATATTTTTGGTAGAGGCGGGGTTTCACCATGTTGGCCAGGCTGGTCTCGAACCCCTGATCTCAAGTGATCGACCTGCCTCAGCCTCCCAAAGTGCTAGAATTACAGGCATGAGCCATCGAGCCCAGGCAGGAGGAGCTATTAAAAGTTTGTCAGCAGGGTCAGGAGGGGTAAGACAGATTGAGCAACACAAGGAAGTTTTGTTATTTTTTTTAGGTAGTGGAAGGGGACCAGAGATACCAGCAATAATAGGATAGGAGAAAGCAGGAAAGAAACCTAAGTGTCCAGAAAATTATCTTTTTTCTGATGTCTTGGGCAGAAGTTCTCCACTTCTAAAGTTGGAGGTCCTCGATTTAAGGTCTCTCGATAGAATGGGAGTAGTAGTTAGACTGAGGGCAGTGGTGATAGCCTGGACAACATGACAAAAAGATTCTGAGATGACAGGCCAAGCCAGGTGTTCTGCAGGCAAGAGCCAAGAGAGATCTAGAGTGTTCCTTCACCACCATCCTGGGCTTTTGATGTTTTTTCATGGCCATGAGATAGGTATAGCTAGTCCCTGCAGTCCTCACTCAGTCTAATACACACCATATGGCTGAGTTTATTCCTAAGCAGTGCAGCTTTGTGTGTGTGTGCGTGTGTGTGTTTGCAACTTGTGCCATCTAGAACATCTTCCACTCCCTCACATAGTGTGCCATGCCGGGACCACTTTGGGAGTCGTCACTTCATACTCATGATCAATATCATCAGTATCTATAATTGCCCAGATCCAGGAAGCATAACTGGACAGTAAAAGCAGCATCAGGTTAGGCTGGGCATGGTGGCTTATACCTGTATTCCCAGCATTTTGGGAGGCCGAGGCAGGTGGATCACGAGGTCAGGAGATCAAGACCATCCTGGCTAACATGGAGAAACCCCGTCTCTACCAAAAATACCTAAAATTTAGCCGGGTATGGTGGCAAACGCCTATAGTCCCAGCTACAGTCCCAGCTACTCGGAGGCTGAGGCAGGAGAATCTCTAGAACCAGGAAGGCGGAGGTTGCAGTGAGCCAAGATTGTGCCACTGCACTCCAGCCTGGGCGACAGAGCAAGACCCCGTGTCAAAAAAAAAAAAAAAAAAATGCTGGGCGCTGTGGCTCACACCTGTAATACCAGCACTTTGGGAGGCCAAGGTGGGTGGATCACCTGAGGTCAGGAGTTTGTGACCAGCCCGGCCGATATGGTGAAACCCCGTCTCTACTAAAAATACAAAAATTAGCCGGGCGTGGTGGTGGGCGCCTGTAGTCTCAGCTACTCAGGAGGCTGAGGCAGGAGAATTGCTTGAACCCAGGAGGCGGAGGTTGCAGTGAGCTGAGATTGCGCCACTGCACTCCAGCCTGGCGACAGAGTGAGATTCCGTCTCAAAAAAAAAAAAAAAAGAAAAAAGCAGCATAGTTTGGTTTCCCCAGGGGTGAGCGTGGGAGGGAAAGGAGGAATGAAGAAGGAGAGTATATTGTGTTGGTTTGGGTCTCTTACAGACAGTCTGGGCCTCCTCCCCGACTCCTCAAACTCACACAGATTCTATTTAAAAAGGAAGTTCCCTTTTGGGGTATTGGCACATTTAGAATCCATATTGTCTGTTTTAAGTGTGTACTCTACTGAGAATTGAGCTTTGGTTCTCTATGTACCCTTTTTAGCTTCTCCTTTAAGCATCCATCTCTCTCTCTCTCTTTTTTTTTTTTTTTTTTTTTTTTGACACCGGGTCCCATTCTGTCGCCCAGGCTGGAATGCAGTGGTTCAATCACGGCTTACCCTGCAGCCTCAACCTCCTGGGCCCAGGTGATCCTCTCACCTCAGCCTTCCCAGTAGCTGAGACCACAGGGGTGTACCACCACACCCGGATAATTTTTTGTATTTTATGTAGAGACAGAGTTTCACCATGTTGCCCAGGCTGGTCTCAAGCGATCCACCTGCCTCAGCCTCCCAAAGTATTGGGGATACAGGTGTGGGCCATGGCGCCCAGCCTCATTCCATCCTTTTATGGCATCTATTGCCTGTGGGTGATGAGGGTCCTGAGATGTCCTGGCAATGTCCAAGGTGGTTGGCCAGTGTTGGGTACTCTTGACTATAAATGCGCATCATTTGATGAGATACATTCAGGGAATCTCAGTATGTAACACAGGTCATCTGCGAGTCCCTAAATTTATGTTACATCTACCTCCTATCTGTGGTAAGGACCTACATTGCCATGCCATACCCAGAAAGGTGCCTACTGTAGGAAATGCTTAATTGCATCCCCAAGTGGAGCATTTAGGAGGTTATGTAGCCTATTTGCCAGGACTGGCCAGAATCTGGTGTCCTGAGTTTATATGTGCCCTGGAGTTTTCTTTGCCCCTTGACTGACAGGCTCATTTACCAGACTTCGGTGGCTTCCTGTGCTGGAGTCATTCATCTTTGCTTTGGGTCCCAGTCCTGCACTGTAGACAGAATGTCGTGGCCTCTGTGATGATGTATTCAGTTGTCCTTACCTGGAAGGCACAAGTCTGATTGGGTTTTGAATTCCACTCATGCTATTTCTATGGACATCCACATCCATAAAACAGAGGGCAGTGGTGTAGTATTAATAAAATCTGAGGCTGGGTGCGGTGGCTCATGCCTGTAATCCCAGCATGGGAGGCTGAGGCGGTGGATCACTTGAGGTCAGGAGTTCGAAACCAGCCTGGTCAACATGGCAAAAATCTCATCTCTAATAAAAAAAAAAAAAAATAGCCAGGCATGGTGGATCACCTGAGGTCAGGAGTTCAAGACCAGCCTGGTCAACATGGCAAAACCCCGTCTCTACTAAAAATACAAAAAAAAAAAAAAATTAGCCAGGCACGGTGGTGCAAGCCTATAATCCCAGTTACTTGGGAGGCTGAGGCAACAGAATCACTTGAACCTGGGAAATGGAGGCTGCAGTGAGCTGAGATCGTACCACTGCACTCCAGCCTGGGCAACAGAGGGAGACTCCATCTCAGAAAAAAAAAAAAAAGTCTGATACCATAATGTTCACTGCCATAGGGATTGAGACTTGATCATTTAGTCTTGCTTCCAGGCACAGGCCCGCACTGCCAGCCCATTGGCTACCGTCTCTAAATCAATGAAAAAGCAGCAAGGAGCATTTTGGAGGGGTTTTTCAGGAAAACCACCACTGTCCCCAACTCTGTCCACTGGGTAGTACCTTTTTTTTGTGTGCAAAATTTTAAACAGCTTTTGTTTTCCCCTGTGGCTGCACAGCTGCAAGGGCCAAGAACAATCCGCCAGCCTGTAACTTAGCGGGCTCCATCTGTGAACCAGCTTCAGGCATCCTCAGGGACTTGGTGTATCAATGCCTCCATGAAGCTGGAGGTGCTGGCACAAAATGTTCCTCTGGGATCAAGGGATGTCTGGCCATCTTGTAATGCCATTATGTGACTCTTTTGATGCCTGATGACCCCATTCTACAGAGTAGCCAGTCACTGGCACTTGTAGCTGAAAAGGATCATTAGAGCTAACTGGCCTGAGCAGAGTGCAGTCTGTACAGTCTGCCGGACACTGCTTTTTTTTTTTTTTTTTTAAGATGGAGTCTCACTCTGATGCCAGGCTGGAGTGCAGGGACTTGATCTTGGCTCACTGCAACCTCCACCTCCCGGGTTCAAGCGATTCTCCTGCCTCAGCCTCCCGAGTAGCTGGGACTACAGGCACACGCCACAATGCCCAGCTAATTTTTGTATTTTTAATAGAGATGAGGTTTCACCATGTGGCCCAGGATGATCTTGATCTCTTGACCTCGTGATCTGCCCGCCTCGGCCTCCCAAAGTGCTGCGATTACAGGCATGAGCCACTGTGCCTGGCCTGGACACTGTTCTTAAGCACGCTGGACCCTGCCAGCTCTTTTCCTCAGTGCAGTGGTCTTTTCCCCGCCTGTACTGCTTCACCCACACCACATGGCTGGGCTCAGGGAGCCCAGTGGGTCCTGGATGTGCTCTCATCCCACTAATGCTGTTCTCACTGTAGCATTTTTCCAAAGGCAACATCACTTGCCATTATGGACAGAAGTATTACATATCCTTAGAACAGGCTGTGTGTCCCTACACTGGGAAGGGTGCATGACCTTGGGTAAGACTGTTCCTGTGGGCCAAGGACATTCTTGGAAGAGGTTTCACCTGTGAATCATTAGCAGTCCATACTCTAGCAGCTCATGGAATCACTGCTTAGGTCCTGATGGGAAATTCTGAGAGGTATCCAAAGGTTCACTACACATTGTAAAGTCGTAGATGTGGAGCCCACACTGCCACCATAATTAAGGCTGCGGCAGGTCTTTCCACTACCTTCTGTGAAGCTGCCTGCTGCTAGGAGATGTGGCATGTAGTAAGCAGGAACTCCATAGCCATGGCCCATAGCTTAACATCTTTTATCATGAAAACATGCCCATGGACAAATAATTTGTATGTAAGACATCATTGCAATTGAATAAGCATTTGTAAATCTATGAATATATGGTGCTGGAGGAAGTGCTGTGGGCGGGATAAGCAAACCCATGAATATGTTTGTGTTAATCCACCTTCATTCTCCACCAACATTTGCCTCTTGCACTGACCAAATAGGTGAGGTAATAATGGTGTTATGGAAATCAGTAGCCCTGCATCTTTCAAATCTTTATGGAACTAATTTCTGCAATGTCATCAGGCACAGAATTGTTTTTTTTTTAACAACTGGTAATCAATTTATTAAAATAGTTGACTTAAGCATCTGCAATGGTAACTTCCACCTCAACTCCTGGCTCAATACTGATGGAAGTAATCTGCTTAACAATCTCAGAAGGACTGTGCAAGTCAATGAGTCGCTTGTGAATTCTCATCTGGAAATGATCCCAGGTCTTAGAATCTTCACCACAAGTAGTTTTTCTTGTAGTGATTCTCAAAGTCTTGGCAGGCATTCGAACTGGTCCTTTCACTTTGAGATTCTTTTCCTTTGCGCCTCTGATTAAGTCATCACACACCTTTTCCAGGGATTTTACATTGCGGCTTGTTAGGGTGATTCGAATTTGGTGAATGGCCACCTCCGGCTCCACGGGTGTTTTCCGGTATCCTTAAAAGCCAAGGCTGCTGCGCGGCTTCCTGACCGACTTGTTCCTCGGCGAGAGTGAACAGCGGTAAGTCAGGAGCAGGAGCGTCTGAACGAGAAATCCTCAGCACCTACGACCGCGTCTTCCTCCACAGAATTGTTTTTAGGTTATTATCTTGGTTGTAGGTGGCCCTTTCAAGGATTCTAACTGGGCATTCCCACCATGACAGACCGCATTCCTCGGATAAGGACAGCAAGGCTGGCAAAATAGCCACACGGTGTGCCTGGGATCCTACCTGACCCACTGTGAGGTGGACTCTGGCCAAGACCTGTCTATCCCCTGACCTCCCTAAGCCTCTCTCCAATTGACCATAGAGATTCCAGGGATTAGGCTCAGATAATACCAGTATCTACACATGTGGCTTCCAGTAAAATGAGCACAGACTGAGATTACAGAACCCAATTCCTGGCCCTCTCTGCTGCTAAATATCTATCAGGAAAGATCCTCCCTGAGCTTGCTTACTCATCTGTAAGTTGGAGCCAAAAATGTTCTTTGGATCGTGTGTCATTTGTGCAGATGTGATAAGATTACACACGTCAAGTGCTTTACACATTGCCTAATAAGTACCATTCACCGTTTCTTCTGCAGAGTGTAAAGAGGAAGATAAATTATCTATTACTATTTAGCAGTATTTTAATAACTTTTATGCACTTTTAATTTATTTCCAAATTTTTTCTTTTCTTTTTTTTTTCTTTTCTTTTCTTTTTTTTTTTTTTTTTTTTCAGTAGAGACAGAGACTCTCTTTGCTGCCCAGGATGGAATGCAGTGGCAGTCATAGCTCACTGAAGGCTTGAACCTCTGGGCTCAAGTGATTTTCCTGCCTCAGCTTTCTGAGTAGCTGGGACTATAAGCATGCACCACCATGCCTTACTATTTCTTTTCTCTTTTCTTTTCTTTTTTTTTTTTTTTTTTTTGAGACGGAGTCTCGCTCTGTCACCCAGGCTGGAGTGCGGTGGCTTGATCTCGGCTCACTGCAACCTCCACTTCCCAGGTCCAAGTGATTCTCCTGCCTCAACCTCCCAAGCAGCTGGGACTACAGGCGTGTGCCACCATGCTCAGCTAATTTTTGTATTTTTAGTATATTGGTCAGGCTGGTCTTGAACTCCTGACCTCGTAATCCACCCACCTTTGCCTCCCAAAGTACTGGGATTACAGGGTGAGGCACCACGCCCAGCCACCTGGCTATTTCTTAAAAAAAATTTGTAGAGATGGGGTCTTGATATGTTGCCTAGGCTCAAATTTTGTCATCTTTTAGATAACAGGATTTGGGGCTGGGTGCAGTGGTTCACACCTGTAATCCCAGCACTTGGGGAGGCCTAGGTGGGCAGATCATGAGGTCAGGAGTTCGAGACCAGCCTGGCCAATATGGTGAAACTCTATCTCTACTAAAAATGCAAAAATTAGCCGGGCATGATGGCGGGCGCCTGTAATCCCAGCTACTCAAAAGGCTGAGGTGCGAGGAGAATTGCTTGAACCCGGGAGGCAGAGGTTGCAGTGAGCTGAGATTGTGCCATTGCACTCCAGCCTGGGCGACAGAGCGAGACTCTGACTCAAAAAAAAAAAACCAAAAAAAATTTAAAAAAAAATTAAAAAACAAAACAAAACAGGATTTAGGGATAAGAATTTAGGACTAAGTCAATTTTCTATGAATATTCTTACATGTCAAATTTCGAAGGCCCAGACTCAAATGACTTGATTCTTATTTTCAAATAATTGGGCTGTAAGATTTATCTGTTACTTCTTAACATATAATTTGTACACCTGTCTAGGATTTAACTTGGAAAAGATTTTTCAAAACTTGGTACGATTATATAAAATGTGTGCTTATGACCATAGCTGGTAGGCATGTGAGATGGTAAGGCATTTCCGCAGAGCAGAGGTTCATAAAAGCTTTATCATGCATCAGAGCTATCCGGAAGGCTTTTTAAAACACAGATTGCTCAGCTGGGCGCAGTAGGGTGCGCCTGTAGTCCTAGCTACTTGGGAGGCTGAGGCAGAAGGATCTTTTGAGCCCTGGAGTTTGAGGCTACAGCATGCTATGATTGTGCCTGTGAATAGCCACTGCACTCCAGCCTGGGCGGCCTAGCAAGACCCTGTCTCTAAAACAATAACATCAACTAAAACAAAAACCACGCAGATTGCTGGACCCCAACCTAGAGTTTCTGATCCAGTAGTATTGGGGTGGGGCCTGAGAATTTGCATTTCTGACAAGTCCCCAGATGATGTTGATCCTTATTCTCCTGGCCCATAGACCACTTAATTAAAGCCAGCAAAGTAGTCATCAACGTTGACCCAGGATATAAGCTGAAGATGATGAACAGCCTTGAGGCAGTAAGGGAGGCCTGCCCTCCAACATCAGGAAGCCAAGTGAAGGCGTGACTCACCAGGGCAGGGTGGGGTTCCTGCGTGTGAGAAACCAGAATTGAGAGCTGCACCAGCTGTGTGGCCCCAGGTTTCTCAGGGTGAGGAGAGGCAGCCCAGGGGAAAGGCACTCGGGACCACACCCCAACTCACCTACCCTGTGTAAGTTTTTTCCATTGCATGTATCAACATCTAACATGTCATATATTTGATTTACCTCATTTATTCTCTGACTCCTTGCCTCCTGTTAGAATATAGGTTCTCTAGAACAAGGATTTTTATATGTTTTATAGAAGAACAGTAACTGAATCATAGCAGGTGTTCAAATACTGACTGAATGCATGCCTATATACATATAACTATGTTCATGATACTGTTTCTAGAAGGATCCACAAGAAAATGGCAGCAGACTGTCTCTGGGCAAGGGAAATGGAGGAATGGGTGGGGCAACTAAAACTTTTTACTGACTCTATAGCTCTTTGAATTTTTCCTTTTTTTTTTTTTTTTTTTGAGATGGAGTCTTGCTGTGTCACCCAGGCTGGAGTGCACTGGCGCAATCTTGGCTCACTGCAACCTCTGCCTCCGGGGTTCAAGCAATTCTCCTGTCTCAGCCTCCCGAGTAGCTGAGATTACAGGCATGCATCACCATGCCCGGCTCATTTTTGTATTTTTAGTAGGGACAGGGCGGGAGTGGGGGAGGGTTTCACCATGTTGGCCATGTTGGCCAGGCTGGTCTTGAACTCTTGACCTTGTGATCCACCCGACTCAGCCTCCCAAAGTGCTGGGATTACAGGTGTGAGCCACAGCGCCCAGCCGAATTTTTCCTATGTATCTCATCTAGCTAATCAAAAACAGATCTCTATTGTTGATTAGGAAATATAAATTGGAAGAGAAATAGGTATAATAGGAAAAACCTGAGGGAGCCCCATTCCCCCTCCCCAAATCTGGTGAGATCATTGTGTAGAGCTAAGTGAGAACGCCTGAAATATGCTTGAAGAAACGTTCATCTTTGATGGGGCATTCAGCTCAGTCTCATGCAGCCCTACCCCAGCCCCAAACTGGGCCTGGTCCTATCCCAGGACAACCCTAGGGGGGCCCCAGAGTTCCCTCCTAGAAACCAGAAGTTCCCAGCCCTTCCTGCTGCCCACCCCACCCCATGGACACGTGCCCATGTGTCAAGTAACAACAGTTAATAGTGAAGTGGGCTAGAAACACCCTGTGGCTGCCTCAGGAAGGAGAGAATATCTCTAAGTCCAGTGAGCTCAAGGTGGAACAAGAATCCAGGTGTTCAAAGGGAAGGCAGAAGGAAATGATGAGAGAAAAGGGGGATTTGTGCTCATCTCAGCAGGAACCTGGGTTGGGGCTGAGGAACTAGGAGAAGCCATGCCCCGGGGAGCCTGGAGGAAGATGCCCAGGCCAGAGCACCAGCTTGGAATTGGGAGAGCCAGGCAGGACCCCGAGTAGACATTAGGGGTTAGCGTCTGTTAGAGGAAGTTGAGGAAGAAAAACAATAAAGTTGCCCTTCCAAACAAGACAGAAGCAGTTTCTACCGTAGGTAACCGCTGGCCTAGTTATTTATTCAATATATATTCACTGAGCACATCGTCGTGCTAGGCCCTATGTCAGAAAAGGGATTTTGGGGCCAGGCACGGTGGCTCATGCCTATAATCCCAGCACTTTGGGAGGCTGATATTGGCAGATCGCCTGAGGTCAGGAGTTCAAAACCAGCCTGGCCAACGTAGTAAAACCCTGTCTCTAGGAAAAACACAAAAATTAGCTGGGCATGGTGGCTGGTGCCTGTAGTCCCAGCTACTCCGGAGGCTGAGGCAGGAGAATCACTTGAACCCAGGAGGCGGAAGTTGCAGTGAGCTGAAATTGCACCACTGCACTCCAGCCTGGGTGACAGAGCGAGATTCTGTCTCAAAACAAAAAAGAAAAAAGAAAGGGATTTTAATTAAATGCAGACTTACAGGACCTGAGACTACCTTCCTAGAGACTGAGTCTTCTTTGGAAGGCGGCAGGGATGCAGCAGCCCACAATCAAGCCATTCCCACCTCACGAATGTGGAGAATCTGAGAGGGGGTGCCTCCTTCCCCTGTGGGATTTTCTGTGGTCTCAGACCCCACAGCAGCTTCTATGCTCACCCAGCAGAGGGCAGCCTGAGCTCAGGCGCCATCTTCCCAGCACCTGCTTAGGAGACGGGACAGATGGGCACCTAGCCCCCTCACTGCCCACTGCAGGGTGGGCATGGTGCCCACTTGCTGGTGGCAGCAGCACCAGAGAAACAGGATGCACCAGGAGGCTGTAAAAAAAGGCTGTTTTTGAGTTCTCCCTAAGCCGTGATGGTGCTGCCTGGCAGATGCTCGGCCCTGGCATGCTGCCACACTCACCCTCTGTAGCATCCTGAGACTAAGGATCATCTCCTTCTCATTCCAGAGCAGCCTGCTCACCCTGCTTCTACTCCCTGTTTCTCCGAGGCATAGAATCCTCGGGAGGGACCCCAGAGCTGGAAGGGACTTGGTTGCTGCTAGTGCTGGAGTTGCCATTTCAAATAACTTCAAAGGGCAGGCAGGGAGCCTGAATTTGTGAAGCTGACTTAGGGTAAGATGGCAGGAAATGGTAGTGGCTATGCCGAACTGGAGAAAAGAGCCTTGTGCAAAGGCACCTAAATTGAATTGTTTTTCTAACTGTGAGTAAGATAAAATGCAGCCACAGGCTGAGTTGGGACATGAGTTGGCTGCCAGTTTCCTCCCTGTCCAGTTCACCCCTTAACCTTCGAGATGGGCAAACAAAGGTCCAGAGAGGGCCCAAGATAGGGCCTGATTCCCTTCTCACCAGAATCCAGTTCTGTAGTGCTGTTTATTCCTTGGGGGCACAGGGCAAATATTAAGCACAAAGAGTTGGGGGTGGTGTGGACGTCTAGCTCTGCCTGCCCCACGGCTGCTGATCAGTCTTGGATTGCTTCATTTCCTTCCTTGGCCACAGATCTCCTGTTTGGAGAAAGCAGCCTCCTCCAGAATACAGGGCACTCCTTTTCCTCAGAGTGAGTCACAGCCTCCGAGCAGACTTGTGGACAGCTTACTCCGAGACAGAATTCTCCACTCCCACTGCTTTTTCCAATGAATACCTCCAGCGGTGGGCCTCCACTGCCTTGGGCCACCGCCCTAGGGCTGCGAACTTTAATTTACTCAGGTTTTTCCCTCCTTAAAAAGAGGTCCTACAGAGAAACACCCAGGGGTCTTTTGGCCTTGATTCTTCAGATCTCATTTAAAAAAAATAGATAGATAGATAGATAGATAGATAGATAGATAGATAGATAGATAGATAGATAGATGGATGGATGGATAGATAGATAGATTAGAAGCATAAAGTGCTGTTTTCTCATAAGGTGTGAAGGTTGCAGGAGTGTGGCTGGTACTTGTCGTGGCTCTGCAAGCACCAAGAGTGGTTCTTCAGAAATCCAGGCTTGTACCTGAATTGCCTCCATCTCCAGGAGAATCAGCAGGCCATGCTGAGCTTGATGGGGATGCTTCACTAGGGCAGGAAACCTGAACCTCAGTCTCCTGGGTAGCAGGAACTGGGTTGTGGCCCCATTACCAATCATAGAGACACCTTTGGGACCTGGGGTAAGTATTTATGATATAGCTAGTCATGTGAAGAATGAGGGGAGGATTAGGACACAACTAAGGCCACTGTCACAGAGCTCCTGCCCGCCTAGCACCTCCCAACCTCCCAACCAACATGTGCAAAAGATGGCCAGAGTCCTGAAAAACTGGTCTCGAAAGGACATTGTCTCAAGTATACCTTTGAGAGGAGGAAACAGAACATTTAGTTTTTTTTTTTTTTTTTTTTTTTTTGAGACGGAGTCTCGCTCTATTGCCCAGGCTGGAGTGCCATGGTGTGATCTCGGCTCACTTCAAGCTCCGCTTCCCGGGTTCATGCCATTCTCCTGACTCAGCCTCCCGAGTAGCTGGGACTATAGGTGCCCGCCACCATGCCCGGCTAATTTTTTGTATTTTTAGTGGAGAGGGGTTTCACTGTGTTAGCCAGGATGGTCTTGATCTCCTGACCTCGTGATCCACCTGCCTTGGCCTCCCAAAATGCTGGGATTACAGGCGTGAGCCACCAGGCCGGCCACATTTACCTATTTGTTCAAGGAAAAAGAAACAGAAAAAGAAAAAAACAGAGATGGATGAGATTAGCTACCTGCAGGGCATGGTAGGAACAGGATGGAAATAAAGGGAATGAGGGGGAATGAGACTTCTAGGAATATCTCTTTTTGTTTATTTTATTTTATTTTTAGCAGAGATGTGGGTTCCTTATGTTGCCCAGCTGGTCTTGAACTCCTGGGCTCCAGCTATCCTCCTGCCTCCATCTCCCAAAGTGCTGGGATTACAGGTGTGAGCTACCGCACCCGATCCTCTTTTTGTTCTGAACTGACTTTTAAAATCATTTTAATATTTCACATCTCAAAAATAAATACAAATAAAACTCACAAGGACAGGGAAAACGCTAAAGTTGAACACAAGCAGAAACAAGCAAATAAAATGTACCCTTTGACTTCTATCTTACCACTTTGTAGTAAAAATAACTAATCCCAGTAACATGTTAAACTTTTTCTAGTTTAACCCTTGCAGCATCCCTAAATGGTAGGTACGATGACTAGTCTAGTTTTACAAAAGGGGAATTGCCCTTTAGGAAGGAGGCAAAGGAAGCTCCCAAGCTCCCAGGGACTTGAACTCAGATTTTGCACCAGATTTATATTAGATCTCAATTCCGAAATCCTATTACATCCTCAGCTCTGAGCCAGGCACAGAAGGATGATTTAGTGTCTCTGAGTTCCAAGAATCTACAACACTTAAAATCTCAGTGACAAACATTTAACATCCTGAGGTTATACATAAGGGAATGAATAATTCCTTTATGATTCATAAAGATTTAAAGACCAGGCCGAGCATGGTGGCTTACGCCTGTAATTCCAGCATTTTGGGAGGCCGAGGTGGCTGGATCACAAGGTCAGGAGTTCGAGACCAGTCTGGCCAACATGGTGAAACGCTGTTTCTACTAAAAATTCAAAAAATGAGCTGGGCATGATGGCGGGTGCCTGTAATCCCAGCTACTCGGGAGGCTGAGGCAGGAGAATCTCTTGAACCCAGGTGGCAGAAGTTGCAGTGAGCCAAGATCACACCACTGCACTCCAGCCCTGGTAACAGTGCGAGACTCTGTCTCAAAAACAAAACAAAACAAAAAGATTTAAAGACCAAAAAGATTTTAGGAATTCTGGGCACTCTGTGTGGGCTGCTTTCTTGGAGGATATAGGATTTTAGGTAGGTATAGAAAAGGAGACAGAGAATTCCGGAGAGCAGAAGACACTTGGGGCAAAGGGTTAAAAGGGGCTTGGCGTGTTAAGAGCAAAGGAGACCGGCTTCTGCATGGGAACGAACAACACAGAAGGACGTCCGTCACGCTGCTGGATGACTCTTAATATAAGAGTTCCAAGTCAAGGCGAACATCATGGAAGGAAGAAGTCCACAATGAGGCTGGGGTGAGGTTGGTAAATTCCAGTCCCTAACTTTAGCCCTTAGACAGCTACATTTAGATATTGGATATTTGCCACCCCTTTCAATTACTGGGCTCCAAGAGATTACCTAGGAGAAGGCAGACTCTATATTCTGGATCTGCGACTAAAAAATGTTTTTGCACAAAACGTTTGCTCCTTTAGTTGTTTTTGCTTTTCTCTTTTGTCTCTACTTTCTAAGCCACTCCCTGTTTGCTGAGCTGAAAAGCAAGTTCTCAGCCCTGCTGTCTCTTTCTAAAGCCAGCTTGCCTGTAGCCCCCAGGGGTGAGGAGAGGTGTTAGAAGAAAACACTTCTCCCCTTCTGGGTCCCTTCCGCAGCTGGAGTTGGTGCACAGTGGGGATAATGAGAAAAAATAGGAAAGCAAAAAGGCTTTGTGGGAAAGGAAGGTGGCCACATACCAACGCTGGGTCTAGCTGGAGGGCAAGCAGGAAACATGAACAAAATGAAAACATGGAGAATTCCTATCAGACCACTGCTTCACGGCATCCTAAGTTTTAATCAGGACGAATGTTCAGATAAACCCAAAAAATCCTTGAAACGAGGACAAATGCAACATTTGGCCCTCAAGTCGCTGCCTCCCATTGTCATCCCCTTTTGAAACAACAAAAAATATCACACATGTCTGACCTGCCTGGCCAACATGGTGAAACCCTGCCTCTACTAAAAGTACAAAAATTAGCCGGGTATAGTGGCAGGTGCCTGTAATCCCAGCTACTCGGGAGAGGCTGAGGCAGCAGAATTGCTTGAATCTGGAAGGCGGAGGTTGCAGTGAGCTGAGATTGTGCCACTGTGTGTGTGTGTGTGTGTGTGTGTGTGTGTGTGTGTGTGGTGTATACACACACACACACATATATATCTCCCACATCTCCCACAAGATAAAGTCAATATCTGGTCCGCTTTGATCGTTTCCTCCCTGTCATCATTGCCCCTGTGTCCCTCCTGGCACCTCTGCCCAAGCCTGGTCCAGCAGCCCCTTGCCCTGGATTCCCACACCAGGCTACAGCTGTCCATCCACGCCCCCATCCCCTCCGAGAACACGCTTCCTCCTGCAGCCCGCTTCAGGACCAGCCCACACACCACCTCCTCCAGGGGCACTGGGGTTCCTGGAAGGTGCTGGCTCCTCCTCCCAACTCCAGGCACCCTGACGCCACTTTGTCAGTGTGGTTTTCACATCCTGTCCTAGCGGTATGTTTGTCTTTTCGCCCCCAGATTCACAGCTTCCTAAGTGAAGGAGCCAAGTCTTGCTCTTTTCTTTACCCTAGAACAAGATACAGTTTCTGATCATACTTAATATTTGATGAACAGATGTTTTCCTTTAAACGTTTAAAGTTTAACTTTTAAAATCTCAGTAAGAAATACATCTGACATTACCACCCAGACTCATACACACATGTCACTGAATCAAAAGTTTCATGAAATAATACTTACTCTGTTGGATGCACTCTGATATTTTCTTTAATTTCATTTTTTAAAAAGTGCTTGTGGGGACTTGTAGGTGGAAAGCCATGGTCCTAAAGTGTACGGAGAAGCTGTCATTGCTAAAGTGAGAGAAGCTTTGCTTCCAAGCTAGGATCAGGTTAGGATTAAACTATAAACAGATGAGGGCTTCTGTTTGCTCTGATCTGCAGACTGAGAGAGTCTGGCCTCATTAAGAAACAGAAGCCAAGGCGGGGCTTACTGACGATGATGGACTTCAAGCTCCTAGGGCCTGCTCTTTGCAGCTTTCCTGTTCAGTACTTTATATCTTTCCTTCACTCCTTTAACATACCCATCCCTAACTCACAAAGATTCCCCAGACTCCACCTGGTACCCCAGCGATATTGTGTGCACAGCTCTACGATGGCTCTTGTCACACTGTACTGTAATGCAAATCTTTTTTAGGTGGCTAGCTCTTCAACTGAGCTGCTGGAGGGATCCCGGCCAGGGAAATGCTGGCCAAAAAGAGTGTGTGAATGGGAGGAGAGGAACTTTTGCATCTTGGGGTCTAGAGGTGCCCATCTCTTCCTTGTTGTTGCCTGGGCAGGGGGTCACCACTGGCTCTGGAGCCACAGCGGGGAAAGGCAGGCCAGGGTACACCGCGGTGGAGCAGAAGGGCAGGGAGCAGTGATGTAATTCAATTACAGAACTCGGTTATCCCTTCACTTTGTGTAGAAACGTCACCACTTAATAAATTTTTTTGTTTGTTTGTTTGAGACAGAGTCTCACTCTGTCACCCAGGCTGGAGTGCAGTGGCATGATCTCAGCTAGCTGCAGCCTCTGCCTCCCGGGTTCAAGCGATTCTCCTGCCTCAGCTGGAGAGTCCTACTCTCCTGAGTAGCTGGGACTACAGAGGTGCACCACCACACCCAGCTAATTTTTGTATTTTTAGTAGAGATGGGGTTTTACCATGTTGGCCAGGATGGTCTCGATTTTCTGACCTTGTGATTCGCCCACCTCGGCTTCCCAAAGTGCTGGGATTATAGGCATGAGCCATCGCGCCTGGCCACCACTTAAGAAATTAATAGTCCCAGCTACTTGGGAGGCTGACGCAGGAGAATCACTTGAATCTAGGAGGCGGAGGTTGCAGCGAGCCAAGATCACACCACTGCACTCCAGCCTGGGTGACAGAGCGAGACTCTGTCTCAAAAAAAAAAAAAAGTAAGAAATTAAGAAAATAGGCTGAAGGTGGTGGCAAGTGCCTGTAATCATAGCTGCTAGGGAGACTGAGGCATGAGAATTACTTGAACCCAGGAGGCAGGGGTTGCAGTAAGCCGAGATCACGCCATTGCAGTCCAGCTTGGGTGACAGAGCGAGGATCCAACTCAAAAAAATAAATAAATAAATAAGCCGGGCATGGTTGCACATGCCTGCAGTCCCAGCTGCTTGGGAGGCTGAGGCAGGAGAATCACTTGAACCTGGGAGGAGGAGGTTGTAGTGAGCAGAGATAGTGCCACTACACTCCAGCCTGGGCGACAGAGCAAGAGTGTCTCAAAAAAAAGAAGAAGAAGAAACAAAACCAAACCAAAGAAAATGCATGACTGTTCCTCTTAATTATTTACCTAGCTCTGTTTTGTTACATATTGTAGTTGTAACCCATGAGCAATAGATAAAATGTCACTAGATAGAATGTTTGTGGCCGGGCACAGTGGCTCACTCCTGTAATCCCAGCACTTTGGGAGGCCGAGGCAGGCGGATCACCTGAGGTCAGGAGTTCAAGACCAGCCTGGCCAACATGGTGAAACCCCTGTCTCTACTAAAAATACAAAAAATTAGCCGGGTGTGGTGGCACGCACCTATAATCCCAGCTACTCGGGGGGGCTGAGGCAGGAGAATCGCTTGAACCTGGAAGGTGGAGGCTGCAGTGAGCTGAGATCGTGCCATTGCACTCCAGCCTGGGCAACAAGAGTGAAACGCCATCTAAAAAAAAAAAAGGTAACAAAAAACTCTCCCTCAAATTCGTGTTGATACCTAATTCCCAATGTGATAACATTTGGAGGTGCGGCCTTTGGGAGGTGATGCAGTCATGAGGGTGGAGACCTCATGAATGGGATTAGTGCCCTTATAAAAGAGACCACCAGAGAGCTTCCTCTCCCCTTCCTTCATCTGAGGACACAGTGAGAAGCCAGCTGTCTATGAACCAGAAAGCAGGCCCTCATCACACATTGATTCTGCTGGCGTTTTGATCTTGGACTTCCCAGCCTCCCTGTGAGAAATGAATTTCTGTTGCTTACAGGCCACCTGGTCTATAGTCCTCTGTTACAGCAGCCTGAATGAACCAAGACACCCATGTACACATTTACAAACAAAACAAGTACGGCCTAGCCCACATTCTCAGGAGCTTACAATTTTCCTTTAAGTAAAGTTACGTGGGAAGACCCTGAACTGTGGAGCAAAAAGGGCCTGCGTTGAGACTAGCTCTCCTGCTTGTCGTGCTGTGGTCTTGAGAAGCACCTGAACTCTTTGACCCCTTTCTCCTCATCTGTGGAATTAGGGTAACTATGCCATTCCCCAGGCTTGCTACCAGGAGGAGAATGCGGGGACAGACTTGGGAGCAGCTCACATTCCTGAAGAAGTTAACGTTCTAAGGTATGGTGGTGACAAGCCGGACCGGGCAGAATACATTCTTCCCGTGGTGAAACAGAGGAAAATAAAGCTGGACAGACAGTGAAGGGCCCTGTCATGGAAAGCTCCAGCCAGACAGAGCGGTCTGGAGTTTGTTTTGCAGGCAGTGGTCATGGGGAAAGGCTTTGTGAAACTCACGGTTCAGCGGCTGAGTCTCACCGCCTGTGTAGCTTGGGTGGGGTGGAGTGAGACTGGAGGCTGGGAAGCACCTGAGAGGTGTCAAGGGCTGCCGTGTGGACTTAGCCTGGGGCAGTGGGAGGGGTAGGGGTGGAAGGCAGGCCACAGGAGTGAAAATAGGGCCCCGGTTTCCAGGGCGTCGTTCCCCCTGCATCTTGCTCTCTGCCTTTCTCCTCTTGTCCTTCTGTCTCCACCCCTATCCCCATCTCCCAAATGCTTCAGAGCATAAAGGTGCTGCCCAGCCAAAATCACCCGCACAAACTCCAGGTAAACTTGGTCTGGGCAGCTTTGAGTGGGTCATGAGTGGAGGAAGGGCAGGCCCACTCTTTCCTTAGTATATGAGTGAGAAAAGCGACCGCTGGTTAGATCTCACAGGAAACCAGAGCCTTGTGGCAGCACCTGACTTCAGGTGCAGCACAGCCCACGGAGTGAGAAGCTGACACCTCTGTGCCTGCTGAGGCAGGCTGCTCCTTCTACACCAGGCCAGGGAAATCAGGTCACCCACTCCAACAGTCTGCCGGACGCTGGGGACTGACTGCTGCCTCTGGGGCATCCACCACAAAGGATTCATGGACTCACTGACAGGGCCAGGCACCTGGCTAAGGATCTCAAACTGGTGCGGCCCACGGGTCCATTCAATCTATAGATGGGTTTTGTGCGGCCAACACCGTCCTTCTTGTCTACCTGTTGTATATGCATTCTGGCCTTGCCCCTGAGTTTATGAATTTACCAACCCCACCTTAGCAGGGCATGAAGAAATGCAAAGGCGCTCCAGGAGCTTCTGATTTTGCTGGGAAAACAAAACAAGTATACAGGCAAAGAGGGAGGACAATGGCAGACCCAATGCATGGGGCAGTCATCTGCATTTCTGAGTTGAATTTAGAGAAGAGATCTTCTCCCACAGATGATAAAGGGGTGCATAGAGGTGAGGTGCACACGGCCTGGGGGAAGTCAGCCCTGGGATGAGCATGGGAGAGGGAGGTTCCCCAGTGGGGAAGGACACGAGGGTATGGACTGGAGAAAATCTGCATGGCTGGGCCCCATTCCACAAACAGAGGGCCCCGAGAGGTGTCTGCGTAAGGGAGTGATGATGAAGGCACATGGGGAGAGTGTACAGGACTGGGCCACCCAGGAATCAATAATCTGGAAAAGGTGGCAGAGTGGGGAGCTCTGATTCAGGAGAGGCACTGCTTTGGGAGAAATCTCAGAGGATGTAAAGACTGATGCCGTGTGGAAGTTGGATTCAAAGGACACCAGGCTTGAAGCTTCAGAGTATGTAAGAGAGGTGCAGCTCTGGTTATTGAAGCAGGGGAATCATGAGAGGGAGGTTGCTCAGGGTGGGAGGTGAGAAGCTGAGACATTTTGGTTTAAATGTTATATTTAACAGAAGAGATATGCAGCTTACATTGAGAGCTATGGGGCAGGACATGGAGGCCTGGTGGAAAAGTGCATGTGGAGGTGATGATTTAGGGCAGGGATGGATTCGGTGAAACCCCGAAAAAAATGTGGAGGGACAGATACTGGGGATAAGGAAAAAGGAAATTGTTGTGGAACTGGAGAGGTGGGGTGTACACAGGTGTCAGGGGAGAAGACAGTCCTAGGGAAGTGCTCTATTAGCATTACCAATTGCAGAGGTTTCAGAAAGAGTGCTGAGAAGAGGCTGGGGCGTCTGAAGCTAAGGGGCAACAAGATTTTCAGCAGGGGTGCGGAAACGGGCAATACCTTTCAGGGTAGAGGAGAGCAGGTGCAGGGGAAGGAAGGTGGACTGGTAGAGACTGCTATCTCAGGGAACAGGCAGTGGAAGTGATGGGTAGGAAGAAAAAGGAAGGCATAGATGTTTGGAGGCAAAAGGGAAGGAGACAGTGAGAAGGAAGTGCTGAATTTGCTGAGGACAAAGGAGAAAATGAGACAGAAAGAGGCAGATGAGGTGGACGGGGTAGACGGAGATGCTAATCTTGGATTTCACAACAGGCTGCATCCCCTATCCCTCCACTGTGTGCCAGGCCTACCAGCCTGCACCTGGCCCCAGTACCCCCAGGCCTTGGTCTTTATTCTTGTGGTTAGGCAGCATGGAAGTCAGGCAACTGGATGGACCAGGCATTCTCTGGGAATGGCCAAGGGTGTTCAAAGCCCAGGGCTGGGACCCAGAGCACCAGCAATTATTCCTTTTCCCGTTTGCTACTGATTCTTCTTTTCTTCCTTCATCATAGGGCCCATCAGAGCTGGTGGCTAGAAATCATCCAGAGGGCTGTAAACATTAGTGAGGCACTGAGTGGTCCCTGTTTCGGCCAAGGCATAAGCAGACAGATGGGAAGTGAAAGTGGGTAACCACTGAAAGGTGAGGGCGAGGGCTGGTTTCATCATCAGCGCCGCTGGCAACAAGAGCTATTAAGAGCCAGCCTTTGGCGAGACAGTAAGGAACTACAGATTTAAAATTCCTAGCAGCAAAGCTGTGTCTCTTCAGGGTTTGGTTACCCATGCTGATCCCATAACAACCACCATGCCAATGGCAGGGAACATCAACAAGCAAGGTGGTGACCATGAGGATGACCTTGCCACAAAACCAACCATACACCCCACACCCCTGGGGAAGGAGGCACCCACCAGCTGGGCCCTGTGGGGCTGTTCCAGAAAGTGCAGGTTGGGAGGAGGATGGAGTGAGGAAAGAGGCCAGGGTCTAAATGGAAAGGGCCAGTGAAAGGGAGAGACAGGCTTGTTAATCAATGACCACTACAGAGTTGGAAAGAGAAGGCAAAGAAAATGCCTCACTGCTGAGGATCAGCGTCCAAAGATTTCATTCTACTGAGAGTTAAAGAGATGCCAAAGCCGGGATTAATGTTGGCAAAGGAGATATGGATGGGCCATGACACCACCAGCCATATGTAATCAGAAGGGGATCAAAAAACATCCCCAGCCTTGAAATTGGCATTTTCTCTTATGTGCTGGGTGGACATTTGGCAATATCATATAAAATGAAAATATTTGCATAGCCCATGACCCAGAGAGTCCACTTGCATAAGGACGTGCTTTATAATGGTCTATTCCACTGCAGATAATAAAAGAAGGCGTGCAAGAAGATCTATATGCAGTGACGTGCAAAGGTATCAAGAACAAGTTGCGAAACCCCATGGTATGATTTCATCTGATTAAAAGAAAAAAGGTATACACTATATATTATAGTGAAAATACCTATGTGTGTGTGTGTGTGTGTGTGTGTGTGTGTATTACAAGTAATGATTAAAAGTAGTTATGTCGGGGGGTTAGACTAGAAAGTTGAGATTCTAAGGAGGAGCATTTTTCACTTGATATTCTTCTCTATGGTATAGTTTTTACATGAGCTTTTTTTTTTTTTTTTTTTTTTTTAGACAGAGGAGTCTCATTTTGTCTCCCAGGCTGGAGTGCAATGATGTGATCTCAGCTCACTGCAACTTCCATTTCCCAGGTTCAAGAGATTTTCATGCCTCAGCTTCCTGGGTAGTTGGGATTACAGGCATGCTCGGCTAATTTTTTTTTTTTTTTGATACCGAGTTTCGCTCTCGTTACCCAGGCTAGAGTGCAATGGTGTGGTCTTGGCTCAATGCAACCTCTGCCTCCCGAGTTCAAGCAATTCTCCTGCCTCAGACTCCCTGAGTAGCTGAGATTACAGGCATGCTCCACTATGTCTGGCTAATTTTTCGTATTTTTAGTAGAGACGGGGTTTCTCCATGTTGGCCAGACTGGTCTTGAACTACTGACCTCAGGTGATCCACTCGCCTCGGCCTCCCAAAGTGCTGGGATTACAGGCATGAGCCACTGCACCCAGCGAGCATGTATTATTTTTATAATAATTTTTAAAAATCTTGAGCTCCTCTTGCCCTAAACTATTTCCCCTATTAGTCTGGTTGTTTCGGTGCCCATATATTATGAAATAATCAGAATACAAGTCTGATAAATATGAATTCTAGTGGGGACAATGGAATAGGGTATTTGCAATTGAAGTCACTGCATGAAGTACTCTCTCCCTTGTCCCTTTCTCTCCCTTCTCTGGCCTGAATGTCCCATCCCTATCCCCATACCTGTAAGTCACTCCTCTGGCTTAAATGGGGAGTTAACACAGGGTGGTGGGAAGTATAGTAGACTTGGAGTCTCTCACGCATTGCCTGCCAGGGCCCACCGTGCAGGACTCCAGGCCCTACTCTAAAACTTGCTACTTGCCCGACTGCAGGCTCTCAGACCCTCATTTCCCTGTGATAGGGTAAAAAAAATACTTGCTCTGCCTACATCACACAGATGTGAAGATAAAATGAAACAATGCCTTTGAAGGTATCTGGAAACAGGAGAGTGAGTCCTATATATATCTATATATATGTGTGTGTGTGTGTGTGTGTGTGTGTGTATATATATATATATATACACATATATGGTTTTTATAAATCAGCGTTAACATTTGATTTTATAACCATCATTAAAAAGGGAGAGGTAAATGGGTGGAGAGGGAGGAGTGAAAAAACAAAATAAAAGGTAGAGGCAGTATTCAAGGTCACAGTTAAAAATTTCATATTCCCTGCAGGTGGTAGGTGCTGAATGGTTGAATAAATGAACAGTCCTAAAATGGATATATTTTGGGGCAACAGTAAGTTGCCCCCAGGAAGAAAATCACTTTTGGAAAATAAAACTGGCAAGAATCTATGCTAAATGGATGAGACCAGCCACAGAAGCACTTCATCCTAAAAGATGGTAAAGGTGGTGTATACAAAATTAGGCCGGGTGCAGTGGGTTATGGCTGTAATCTCAGCACTTTGGGAGGCCTAGGTGGGTGGATTGCTTGAGCCCTGGAGTTCGAGACCAGCCTGGGCAACATGGTGAAACCCAGTCTCTACAAAAAATACAAAAATTAGCCATTCGTGGTGGGATGCAACTGTAGTACCAGGTACTGGGGAGGCAGAGGAAGGAGGATCACCTGAACCTGGGAGGTCAAGGCTCCAGCGAGCTGAGATTGCACCACTGTACTCCAACCTGGGCAACAGAGTGAGGCCTTGTGACAAAAAAACAAAACAAAACAAAACAAAAAACCCAACCAACTTGGGTTGGGCAGGGTGGCTCACGCCTGTAATCTGAAAACCTTGGGAGGCCGAGGCGGGTGGATCACTTGAGGTCAGGAGTTTGAGACCAGCCTGGACAACATGGTGAAACCCTGTCTCTACTAAAATTACAAAAATTAGCTGGGCATGGTGGCAGGAGCCTGTAGTCCCAGCTACTCAGGAGGCTGAGGTGGCAGAATTGCTTGAACCCAGGAGGCAAGGGTTGCATTGAGCTGAGATTGTGCCATTGCACTCCAGCCTGGATGATGGAGCAATACTCCGTCTCAAAAAATTAATAAACAAATAAAAACAAAATAACAAAACTGGGGGATACCCAAACCCAATTAATATTCAAATAAATGCTTGTTAAATGCCAGGGATAGTGCTATGCATTTTACTTATTTAAGTCTCATAACAACCCTATTATTTCCACTTTACAGAGGAATGGGAGGCACAGAGAAGTTAAGCAATTTGCCCAACCTCATAGCATGTAAATGGTCGACAAGATTCTAATTTCTAATAGTCTGGCCCCAGGTCCCATGTGCTAAACTATCCCTTACCTAGAACAGTAGGAATGCTTGCTCAGAAAAACAGGACTTAAAATAGAAAAAAGTGGTGTTTTTTGAACATCTGACTGAAACGGAATGTGTTAACATATTGTTTCTAAACTTACCAGGTAGCAAGAGTCATTCTTGTGATTGCTTCCCAAACTGCAGCATGCTTATGAATCATATGGGGATCTTGTTAGAATGCAGATTCTCATTCAGCAGGTCTGGGGTGGAGTGAAGGCTCTAGGCAGAGGGCTAGAGGGTCCCATCATTGGAGATAGACTTCCCCACGGAAAATGAAGAAACTGGGTTCTGCTCAGAACCTCAGTCTCCCATGAGGCAGTTCCCAATAGCAGAAGCCTCTCTTTGAGTGCCCCAAACACCTGAATTTCTGGACCAGGAAAGCAGAGGTACAGCCCCAGGCCCTACTCCCTCCCTGAAAACTCAGCTTTTTGTGCCCAGCAAGCTCTGAGGTGGGGGGTCTTGTTGGGAAGCTTTCTCTTGCTGAAGGGATCAGACAAGTGAGGGGCACTGACCCTGGAAGAGGAATGCTGGGGAGCAAGAGCCTCGGCAGTGGTGGAGTGGACTGTGCAGTGAGTGGCCTGGCACAGTCTCCTGTGCTCTGGTCTGTAGAGAGAGCGAATGATAAATAAGGATGTACTGGAAGATGAGGTGTGTGGTTCATGTCCAGAAGTGGCAGGTCTGTTGGGGGAAGGGAGAGATTGACTTTGCCTCTTTGGCTGTTGTATTCATGGCCAGTCCTCAGTGTGAAACTCAATGCAAGAAGGGGTTTGTGGCCCATAAAAGCATGGGCTGGTCAATCTTGTTGATCCACTAGATCCATAGCAGGCTATTTGTTGACTGAACAGACGAATGAATGAAAGGCTAGGGAAGCCATACAAAGCCAGATGCTGTTACCCTCCACCTCCTCCTGGGATGACTTTGGGGATGACTCACGTCCTGCTGCCCCCTCACTTTCTCAGCCTAAAACCACACATCCTGGACTGTGCGGGCAGCGAGCTGACCCTTCCTTTTCTGCTGTAGGATCTTCATTACACAAAGTTCCTGAGTTTCCAGCAAGTTGCCTTTCTTCCCTGTTTAAGAGCTGAGAAAAC